>NC_000023.11:58239523-58555579 GCF_000001405.40 Homo sapiens | reverse complement strand
GATCCGCAAGGGGATATTTGGACCTCTTTGAAGATTTCGTTGGAAACGGGATAATCTTCACCTAAAAGCTAAACGGAAGCATTCTCAGAAACTTCTTTGGGATGTTTGCATTCACCTCACAGAGTTGAACTTTCCCTTTGATAGCGCAGCTTCGACACACTTTTTCTACAATGTGCAAGTGGATATTTAGCGGGCTTGGAGGACTGTGTTGGAAAAGGAAATATCTTCTCCTAAAAACGACATAGAAGCATTCTCAGAAACTGCTCTGTGATGATTGCATTCAACTCCCAGAGTTGAACACTCCTTTTGATAGTGCAGTTTGCAAACACTCTTTTTGTAGAATCTGCAAGTGGAGATTTGGACCGCTTTGAGGCCTGTGGTAGTAAAGGAAAGAACTTCATATAAAAACTAGACGGTAGCACTCTCAGAAAATTCTTTGTGACGATTGAGTTTAACTCAGGGAGCTGAACATTCGTTATGATGGAGCAGTTTCCAAACACACGTTTTGTAGAATCTGCAAGGGGATATTTGGACCTCTCTGAGGATTTCGTTGGAAACGGGATCAACTTCCCATAACTGAACGGAAGCAAACTCAGAACATTCTTTGTGATGTTTGTATTCAACTCACAGTGTTGAACCTTCCTTTGATAGTTCAGGTTTGCAACACCCTTGTAGTAGAATCTGCAAGTGTATATTTTGACCAGTTTGTAGCCTTCGTTTGAAACGTCTATATCTTCACATCAAACCTAGACAGAAGCATTCTCAGAAAGATTTCTGCGATGACTGCATTCAACTCACAGAGTTGAACAATCCTTTTGATGGAGCAGTTTTGAAACCCTCTTTCTTTGGAATCTGCAAGGGGATATGTGGACCTCTTTGAAGATTTCACTGGAAACGGGATCATCTTCACATAAGAACTAAACAGAAGCATTCTCGGAAACTACTTTGTGATGTTTGTATTCAACTCCCAGAGTTGAACTTTCCTTTTGAAAGAGCAGCTATGAAACACTCTTTTTCGAGAATCTGCAAGTGGACGTTTGGAGGGCTTTGAGGCCTGTGGTGGAAAAGGAAATATCTTCACATAAAAACTAGATAGAAGCATTCTCAGAAACGACTTTGTGAGGATGGCATTCAACTCATGGAGTTGAACAATCCTAATGATAGAGCACATTGGAATCACTCTTTTTGTAGAATCTGCAAATGGAGATTTGGACTGCTTTGAGGCCTACGGTAGTATAGGAAGGAACTTCATATAAAAGGCAAACGGAAGCATTCTCAGAATATTCTTTGTGATGATGGAGTTTCACTCACAGAGCTGAACATGCCTTTTGATGGAGCAGTTTCCAAATACACTTTTGGTAGAATCTGCAGGTGGATATTTGGACCTCTCTGAGGATTTCGTTGGAAACGGGAATAATTTCCCATAACTAAACACAAACACTCTGAGAAAGTTCTTCATGATGAATGCATTGAACTCGCAGAGATGAACCTGCCTTTGAGAGTTCAGGTTCGAAACACTCTTTCTGTAGAATCTGCAAGTGGATATTTGGACCACTGGCTGGCCTTCGTTCGAAACGGGTATATGTTCACGTAAAAACTAAAGAGAAGCGTTCTCATAAACTTCTGAGTGATGATTGCATTCAAGTCACACAGTTGAACCCTCCTTTTGATTGAGCAGTTTTGAAACTGTCTTTTTGTAGAATCTGTAAGTGGATGCGTGGACCTCTTTGAAGATTTCTTTGGAAACGGGAATATTTCCACAGAAAAACTAAACTGAAGCATTCTCAGAAACTGCTTTGTGATGTTTGTGTTCGAGCCACAGAGTTTAACATTGCTTTTCATAGAGCAGTTTTGAAATATTCTTTTGGCAGAATCTGCAAGTGGACATTTGGAGCGCTTTCAGGCCTGTGGTGGAAAAGGCCTGAAAGCCTTTTCCTTTATCTTCACAGAAAGACGAGAGAGAAGCATTGTCAGAAACTTCTTTGTGATGATTGCATTCAACTCACAGAGTTGAAGATTCCTTTTGAAACAGCAGTTTCGAAACACTCTTTCTGTGGGATCCGCAAGGGGATATTTGGACCTCTTTGAAGATTTCGTTGGAAACGGGATAATCTTCACCTAAAAGCTAAACGGAAGCATTCTCAGAAACTTCTTTGGGATGTTTGCATTCACCTCACAGAGTTGAACTTTCCCTTTGATAGCGCAGCTTCGACACACTTTTTCTACAATGTGCAAGTGGATATTTAGCGGGCTTGGAGGACTGTGTTGGAAAAGGAAATATCTTCTCCTAAAAACGACATAGAAGCATTCTCAGAAACTGCTCTGTGATGATTGCATTCAACTCCCAGAGTTGAACATTCCTTTTGATAGAGCAGTTTGCAAACACTCTTTTTGTAGAATCTGCAAGTGGAGATTTGGACCGCTTTGAGGCCTGTGGTAGTAAAGGAAAGAACTTCATATAAAAACTAGACGGTAGCACCCTCAGAAAATTCTTTGTGACGATGGAGTTTAACTCAGAGAGCTGAACATTCGTTATGATGGAGCAGTTTCCAAACACACGTTTTGTAGAATCTGCAAGGGGATATTTGGACCTCTCTGAGGATTTCGTTGGAAACGGGATCAACTTCCCATAACTGAACGGAAGCAAACTCAGAACATTCTTTGTGATGTTTGTATTCAACTCACAGAGTTGAACCTTCCTTTGATAGTTCAGGTTTGCAACACCCTTGTAGTAGAATCTGCAAGTGTATATTTTGACCACTTTGTAGCCTTCGTTTGAAACGTCTATATCTTCACATCAAACCTAGACAGAAGCATTCTCAGAAAGTTTTCTGCGATGACTGCATTCAACTCACAGAGTTGAACAATCCTTTTGATGGAGCAGTTTTGAAACCCTCTTTCTTTGGAATCTGCAAGGGGATATGTGGACCTCTTTGAAGATTTCACTGGAAACGGGATCATCTTCACATAAGAACTAAACAGAAGCATTCTCGGAAACTACTTTGTGATGTTTGTATTCAACTCCCAGAGTTGAACTTTCCTTTTGAAAGAGCAGCTATGAAACACTCTTTTTCGAGAATCTGCAAGTGGACGTTTGGAGGGCTTTGAGGCCTGTGGTGGAAAAGGAAATATCTTCACATAAAAACTAGATAGAAGCATTCTCAGAAACGACTTTGTGAGGATGGCATTCAACTCATGGAGTTGAACAATCCTATTGATAGAGCAGATTGGAATCACTCTTTTTGTAGAATCTGCAAATGGAGATTTGGACTGCTTTGAGGCCTACGGTAGTATAGGAAGGAACTTCATATAAAAGGCAAACGGAAGCATTCTCAGAATATTCTTTGTGATGATGGAGTTTCACTCACAGAGCTGAACATGCCTTTTGATGGAGCAGTTTCCAAATACACTTTTGGTAGAATCTGCAGGTGGATATTTGGACCTCTCTGAGGATTTCGTTGGAAACGGGAATAATTTCCCATAACTAAACACAAACACGCTGAGAAAGTTCTTCATGATGAATGCATTGAACTCGCAGAGATGAACCTGCCTTTGAGAGTTCAGGTTCGAAACACTCTTTCTGTAGAATCTGCAAGTGGATATTTGGACCACTGGCTGGCCTTCGTTCGAAACGGGTATATGTTCACGTAAAAACTAAAGAGAAGCGTTCTCAGAAACTTCTGAGTGATGATTGCATTCAAGTCACACAGTTGAACCCTCCTTTTGATTGAGCAGTTTTGAAACTGTCTTTTTGTAGAATCTGTAAGTGGATGCGTGGACCTCTTTGAAGATTTCTTTGGAAACGGGAATATTTCCACAGAAAAACTAAACTGAAGCATTCTCAGAAACTGCTTTGTGATGTTTGTGTTCGAGCCACAGAGTTTAACATTGCTTTTCATAGAGCAGTTTTGAACTATTCTTTTGGCAGAATCTGCAAGTGGACATTTGGAGCGCTTTCAGGCCTGTGGTGGAAAAGGCCTGAAAGCCTTTTCCTTTATCTTCACAGAAAGACGAGAGAGAAGCATTGTCAGAAACTTCTTTGTGATGATTGCATTCAACTCACAGAGTTGAAGATTCCTTTTGAAACAGCAGTTTCGAAACACTCTTTCTGTGGGATCCGCAAGGGGATATTTGGACCTCTTTGAAGATTTCGTTGGAAACGGGATAATCTTCACCTAAAAGCTAAACGGAAGCATTCTCAGAAACTTCTTTGGGATGTTTGCATTCACCTCACAGAGTTGAACTTTCCCTTTGATAGCGCAGCTTCGACACACTTTTTCTACAATGTGCAAGTGGATATTTAGCGGGCTTGGAGGACTGTGTTGGAAAAGGAAATATCTTCTCCTAAAAACGACATAGAAGCATTCTCAGAAACTGCTCTGTGATGATTGCATTCAACTCCCAGAGTTGAACACTCCTTTTGATAGTGCAGTTTGCAAACACTCTTTTTGTAGAATCTGCAAGTGGAGATTTGGACCGCTTTGAGGCCTGTGGTAGTAAAGGAAAGAACTTCATATAAAAACTAGACGGTAGCACTCTCAGAAAATTCTTTGTGACGATTGAGTTTAACTCAGGGAGCTGAACATTCGTTATGATGGAGCAGTTTCCAAACACACGTTTTGTAGAATCTGCAAGGGGATATTTGGACCTCTCTGAGGATTTCGTTGGAAACGGGATCAACTTCCCATAACTGAACGGAAGCAAACTCAGAACATTCTTTGTGATGTTTGTATTCAACTCACAGTGTTGAACCTTCCTTTGATAGTTCAGGTTTGCAACACCCTTGTAGTAGAATCTGCAAGTGTATATTTTGACCAGTTTGTAGCCTTCGTTTGAAACGTCTATATCTTCACATCAAACCTAGACAGAAGCATTCTCAGAAAGATTTCTGCGATGACTGCATTCAACTCACAGAGTTGAACAATCCTTTTGATGGAGCAGTTTTGAAACCCTCTTTCTTTGGAATCTGCAAGGGGATATGTGGACCTCTTTGAAGATTTCACTGGAAACGGGATCATCTTCACATAAGAACTAAACAGAAGCATTCTCGGAAACTACTTTGTGATGTTTGTATTCAACTCCCAGAGTTGAACTTTCCTTTTGAAAGAGCAGCTATGAAACACTCTTTTTCGAGAATCTGCAAGTGGACGTTTGGAGGGCTTTGAGGCCTGTGGTGGAAAAGGAAATATCTTCACATAAAAACTAGATAGAAGCATTCTCAGAAACGACTTTGTGAGGATGGCATTCAACTCATGGAGTTGAACAATCCTAATGATAGAGCACATTGGAATCACTCTTTTTGTAGAATCTGCAAATGGAGATTTGGACTGCTTTGAGGCCTACGGTAGTATAGGAAGGAACTTCATATAAAAGGCAAACGGAAGCATTCTCAGAATATTCTTTGTGATGATGGAGTTTCACTCACAGAGCTGAACATGCCTTTTGATGGAGCAGTTTCCAAATACACTTTTGGTAGAATCTGCAGGTGGATATTTGGACCTCTCTGAGGATTTCGTTGGAAACGGGAATAATTTCCCATAACTAAACACAAACACTCTGAGAAAGTTCTTCATGATGAATGCATTGAACTCGCAGAGATGAACCTGCCTTTGAGAGTTCAGGTTCGAAACACTCTTTCTGTAGAATCTGCAAGTGGATATTTGGACCACTGGCTGGCCTTCGTTCGAAACGGGTATATGTTCACGTAAAAACTAAAGAGAAGCGTTCTCATAAACTTCTGAGTGATGATTGCATTCAAGTCACACAGTTGAACCCTCCTTTTGATTGAGCAGTTTTGAAACTGTCTTTTTGTAGAATCTGTAAGTGGATGCGTGGACCTCTTTGAAGATTTCTTTGGAAACGGGAATATTTCCACAGAAAAACTAAACTGAAGCATTCTCAGAAACTGCTTTGTGATGTTTGTGTTCGAGCCACAGAGTTTAACATTGCTTTTCATAGAGCAGTTTTGAAATATTCTTTTGGCAGAATCTGCAAGTGGACATTTGGAGCGCTTTCAGGCCTGTGGTGGAAAAGGCCTGAAAGCCTTTTCCTTTATCTTCACAGAAAGACGAGAGAGAAGCATTGTCAGAAACTTCTTTGTGATGATTGCATTCAACTCACAGAGTTGAAGATTCCTTTTGAAACAGCAGTTTCGAAACACTCTTTCTGTGGGATCCGCAAGGGGATATTTGGACCTCTTTGAAGATTTCGTTGGAAACGGGATAATCTTCACCTAAAAGCTAAACGGAAGCATTCTCAGAAACTTCTTTGGGATGTTTGCATTCACCTCACAGAGTTGAACTTTCCCTTTGATAGCGCAGCTTCGACACACTTTTTCTACAATGTGCAAGTGGATATTTAGCGGGCTTGGAGGACTGTGTTGGAAAAGGAAATATCTTCTCCTAAAAACGACATAGAAGCATTCTCAGAAACTGCTCTGTGATGATTGCATTCAACTCCCAGAGTTGAACACTCCTTTTGATAGTGCAGTTTGCAAACACTCTTTTTGTAGAATCTGCAAGTGGAGATTTGGACCGCTTTGAGGCCTGTGGTAGTAAAGGAAAGAACTTCATATAAAAACTAGACGGTAGCACTCTCAGAAAATTCTTTGTGACGATTGAGTTTAACTCAGGGAGCTGAACATTCGTTATGATGGAGCAGTTTCCAAACACACGTTTTGTAGAATCTGCAAGGGGATATTTGGACCTCTCTGAGGATTTCGTTGGAAACGGGATCAACTTCCCATAACTGAACGGAAGCAAACTCAGAACATTCTTTGTGATGTTTGTATTCAACTCACAGTGTTGAACCTTCCTTTGATAGTTCAGGTTTGCAACACCCTTGTAGTAGAATCTGCAAGTGTATATTTTGACCACTTTGTAGCCTTCGTTTGAAACGTCTATATCTTCACATCAAACCTAGACAGAAGCATTCTCAGAAAGATTTCTGCGATGACTGCATTCAACTCACAGAGTTGAACAATCCTTTTGATGGAGCAGTTTTGAAACCCTCTTTCTTTGGAATCTGCAAGGGGATATGTGGACCTCTTTGAAGATTTCACTGGAAACGGGATCATCTTCACATAAGAACTAAACAGAAGCATTCTCGGAAACTACTTTGTGATGTTTGTATTCAACTCCCAGAGTTGAACTTTCCTTTTGAAAGAGCAGCTATGAAACACTCTTTTTCGAGAATCTGCAAGTGGACGTTTGGAGGGCTTTGAGGCCTGTGGTGGAAAAGGAAATATCTTCACATAAAAACTAGATAGAAGCATTCTCAGAAACGACTTTGTGAGGATGGCATTCAACTCATGGAGTTGAACAATCCTAATGATAGAGCACATTGGAATCACTCTTTTTGTAGAATCTGCAAATGGAGATTTGGACTGCTTTGAGGCCTACGGTAGTATAGGAAGGAACTTCATATAAAAGGCAAACGGAAGCATTCTCAGAATATTCTTTGTGATGATGGAGTTTCACTCACAGAGCTGAACATGCCTTTTGATGGAGCAGTTTCCAAATACACTTTTGGTAGAATCTGCAGGTGGATATTTGGACCTCTCTGAGGATTTCGTTGGAAACGGGAATAATTTCCCATAACTAAACACAAACACTCTGAGAAAGTTCTTCATGATGAATGCATTGAACTCGCAGAGATGAACCTGCCTTTGAGAGTTCAGGTTCGAAACACTCTTTCTGTAGAATCTGCAAGTGGATATTTGGACCACTGGCTGGCCTTCGTTCGAAACGGGTATATGTTCACGTAAAAACTAAAGAGAAGCGTTCTCATAAACTTCTGAGTGATGATTGCATTCAAGTCACACAGTTGAACCCTCCTTTTGATTGAGCAGTTTTGAAACTGTCTTTTTGTAGAATCTGTAAGTGGATGCGTGGACCTCTTTGAAGATTTCTTTGGAAACGGGAATATTTCCACAGAAAAACTAAACTGAAGCATTCTCAGAAACTGCTTTGTGATGTTTGTGTTCGAGCCACAGAGTTTAACATTGCTTTTCATAGAGCAGTTTTGAAATATTCTTTTGGCAGAATCTGCAAGTGGACATTTGGAGCGCTTTCAGGCCTGTGGTGGAAAAGGCCTGAAAGCCTTTTCCTTTATCTTCACAGAAAGACGAGAGAGAAGCATTGTCAGAAACTTCTTTGTGATGATTGCATTCAACTCACAGAGTTGAAGATTCCTTTTGAAACAGCAGTTTCGAAACACTCTTTCTGTGGGATCCGCAAGGGGATATTTGGACCTCTTTGAAGATTTCGTTGGAAACGGGATAATCTTCACCTAAAAGCTAAACGGAAGCATTCTCAGAAACTTCTTTGGGATGTTTGCATTCACCTCACAGAGTTGAACTTTCCCTTTGATAGCGCAGCTTCGACACACTTTTTCTACAATGTGCAAGTGGATATTTAGCGGGCTTGGAGGACTGTGTTGGAAAAGGAAATATCTTCTCCTAAAAACGACATAGAAGCATTCTCAGAAACTGCTCTGTGATGATTGCATTCAACTCCCAGAGTTGAACATTCCTTTTGATAGAGCAGTTTGCAAACACTCTTTTTGTAGAATCTGCAAGTGGAGATTTGGACCGCTTTGAGGCCTGTGGTAGTAAAGGAAAGAACTTCATATAAAAACTAGACGGTAGCACCCTCAGAAAATTCTTTGTGACGATGGAGTTTAACTCAGAGAGCTGAACATTCGTTATGATGGAGCAGTTTCCAAACACACGTTTTGTAGAATCTGCAAGGGGATATTTGGACCTCTCTGAGGATTTCGTTGGAAACGGGATCAACTTCCCATAACTGAACGGAAGCAAACTCAGAACATTCTTTGTGATGTTTGTATTCAACTCACAGAGTTGAACCTTCCTTTGATAGTTCAGGTTTGCAACACCCTTGTAGTAGAATCTGCAAGTGTATATTTTGACCACTTTGTAGCCTTCGTTTGAAACGTCTATATCTTCACATCAAACCTAGACAGAAGCATTCTCAGAAAGTTTTCTGCGATGACTGCATTCAACTCACAGAGTTGAACAATCCTTTTGATGGAGCAGTTTTGAAACCCTCTTTCTTTGGAATCTGCAAGGGGATATGTGGACCTCTTTGAAGATTTCACTGGAAACGGGATCATCTTCACATAAGAACTAAACAGAAGCATTCTCGGAAACTACTTTGTGATGTTTGTATTCAACTCCCAGAGTTGAACTTTCCTTTTGAAAGAGCAGCTATGAAACACTCTTTTTCGAGAATCTGCAAGTGGACGTTTGGAGGGCTTTGAGGCCTGTGGTGGAAAAGGAAATATCTTCACATAAAAACTAGATAGAAGCATTCTCAGAAACGACTTTGTGAGGATGGCATTCAACTCATGGAGTTGAACAATCCTATTGATAGAGCAGATTGGAATCACTCTTTTTGTAGAATCTGCAAATGGAGATTTGGACTGCTTTGAGGCCTACGGTAGTATAGGAAGGAACTTCATATAAAAGGCAAACGGAAGCATTCTCAGAATATTCTTTGTGATGATGGAGTTTCACTCACAGAGCTGAACATGCCTTTTGATGGAGCAGTTTCCAAATACACTTTTGGTAGAATCTGCAGGTGGATATTTGGACCTCTCTGAGGATTTCGTTGGAAACGGGAATAATTTCCCATAACTAAACACAAACACGCTGAGAAAGTTCTTCATGATGAATGCATTGAACTCGCAGAGATGAACCTGCCTTTGAGAGTTCAGGTTCGAAACACTCTTTCTGTAGAATCTGCAAGTGGATATTTGGACCACTGGCTGGCCTTCGTTCGAAACGGGTATATGTTCACGTAAAAACTAAAGAGAAGCGTTCTCAGAAACTTCTGAGTGATGATTGCATTCAAGTCACACAGTTGAACCCTCCTTTTGATTGAGCAGTTTTGAAACTGTCTTTTTGTAGAATCTGTAAGTGGATGCGTGGACCTCTTTGAAGATTTCTTTGGAAACGGGAATATTTCCACAGAAAAACTAAACTGAAGCATTCTCAGAAACTGCTTTGTGATGTTTGTGTTCGAGCCACAGAGTTTAACATTGCTTTTCATAGAGCAGTTTTGAACTATTCTTTTGGCAGAATCTGCAAGTGGACATTTGGAGCGCTTTCAGGCCTGTGGTGGAAAAGGCCTGAAAGCCTTTTCCTTTATCTTCACAGAAAGACGAGAGAGAAGCATTGTCAGAAACTTCTTTGTGATGATTGCATTCAACTCACAGAGTTGAAGATTCCTTTTGAAACAGCAGTTTCGAAACACTCTTTCTGTGGGATCCGCAAGGGGATATTTGGACCTCTTTGAAGATTTCGTTGGAAACGGGATAATCTTCACCTAAAAGCTAAACGGAAGCATTCTCAGAAACTTCTTTGGGATGTTTGCATTCACCTCACAGAGTTGAACTTTCCCTTTGATAGCGCAGCTTCGACACACTTTTTCTACAATGTGCAAGTGGATATTTAGCGGGCTTGGAGGACTGTGTTGGAAAAGGAAATATCTTCTCCTAAAAACGACATAGAAGCATTCTCAGAAACTGCTCTGTGATGATTGCATTCAACTCCCAGAGTTGAACACTCCTTTTGATAGTGCAGTTTGCAAACACTCTTTTTGTAGAATCTGCAAGTGGAGATTTGGACCGCTTTGAGGCCTGTGGTAGTAAAGGAAAGAACTTCATATAAAAACTAGACGGTAGCACTCTCAGAAAATTCTTTGTGACGATTGAGTTTAACTCAGGGAGCTGAACATTCGTTATGATGGAGCAGTTTCCAAACACACGTTTTGTAGAATCTGCAAGGGGATATTTGGACCTCTCTGAGGATTTCGTTGGAAACGGGATCAACTTCCCATAACTGAACGGAAGCAAACTCAGAACATTCTTTGTGATGTTTGTATTCAACTCACAGTGTTGAACCTTCCTTTGATAGTTCAGGTTTGCAACACCCTTGTAGTAGAATCTGCAAGTGTATATTTTGACCACTTTGTAGCCTTCGTTTGAAACGTCTATATCTTCACATCAAACCTAGACAGAAGCATTCTCAGAAAGATTTCTGCGATGACTGCATTCAACTCACAGAGTTGAACAATCCTTTTGATGGAGCAGTTTTGAAACCCTCTTTCTTTGGAATCTGCAAGGGGATATGTGGACCTCTTTGAAGATTTCACTGGAAACGGGATCATCTTCACATAAGAACTAAACAGAAGCATTCTCGGAAACTACTTTGTGATGTTTGTATTCAACTCCCAGAGTTGAACTTTCCTTTTGAAAGAGCAGCTATGAAACACTCTTTTTCGAGAATCTGCAAGTGGACGTTTGGAGGGCTTTGAGGCCTGTGGTGGAAAAGGAAATATCTTCACATAAAAACTAGATAGAAGCATTCTCAGAAACGACTTTGTGAGGATGGCATTCAACTCATGGAGTTGAACAATCCTAATGATAGAGCACATTGGAATCACTCTTTTTGTAGAATCTGCAAATGGAGATTTGGACTGCTTTGAGGCCTACGGTAGTATAGGAAGGAACTTCATATAAAAGGCAAACGGAAGCATTCTCAGAATATTCTTTGTGATGATGGAGTTTCACTCACAGAGCTGAACATGCCTTTTGATGGAGCAGTTTCCAAATACACTTTTGGTAGAATCTGCAGGTGGATATTTGGACCTCTCTGAGGATTTCGTTGGAAACGGGAATAATTTCCCATAACTAAACACAAACACTCTGAGAAAGTTCTTCATGATGAATGCATTGAACTCGCAGAGATGAACCTGCCTTTGAGAGTTCAGGTTCGAAACACTCTTTCTGTAGAATCTGCAAGTGGATATTTGGACCACTGGCTGGCCTTCGTTCGAAACGGGTATATGTTCACGTAAAAACTAAAGAGAAGCGTTCTCATAAACTTCTGAGTGATGATTGCATTCAAGTCACACAGTTGAACCCTCCTTTTGATTGAGCAGTTTTGAAACTGTCTTTTTGTAGAATCTGTAAGTGGATGCGTGGACCTCTTTGAAGATTTCTTTGGAAACGGGAATATTTCCACAGAAAAACTAAACTGAAGCATTCTCAGAAACTGCTTTGTGATGTTTGTGTTCGAGCCACAGAGTTTAACATTGCTTTTCATAGAGCAGTTTTGAAATATTCTTTTGGCAGAATCTGCAAGTGGACATTTGGAGCGCTTTCAGGCCTGTGGTGGAAAAGGCCTGAAAGCCTTTTCCTTTATCTTCACAGAAAGACGAGAGAGAAGCATTGTCAGAAACTTCTTTGTGATGATTGCATTCAACTCACAGAGTTGAAGATTCCTTTTGAAACAGCAGTTTCGAAACACTCTTTCTGTGGGATCCGCAAGGGGATATTTGGACCTCTTTGAAGATTTCGTTGGAAACGGGATAATCTTCACCTAAAAGCTAAACGGAAGCATTCTCAGAAACTTCTTTGGGATGTTTGCATTCACCTCACAGAGTTGAACTTTCCCTTTGATAGCGCAGCTTCGACACACTTTTTCTACAATGTGCAAGTGGATATTTAGCGGGCTTGGAGGACTGTGTTGGAAAAGGAAATATCTTCTCCTAAAAACGACATAGAAGCATTCTCAGAAACTGCTCTGTGATGATTGCATTCAACTCCCAGAGTTGAACATTCCTTTTGATAGAGCAGTTTGCAAACACTCTTTTTGTAGAATCTGCAAGTGGAGATTTGGACCGCTTTGAGGCCTGTGGTAGTAAAGGAAAGAACTTCATATAAAAACTAGACGGTAGCACCCTCAGAAAATTCTTTGTGACGATGGAGTTTAACTCAGAGAGCTGAACATTCGTTATGATGGAGCAGTTTCCAAACACACGTTTTGTAGAATCTGCAAGGGGATATTTGGACCTCTCTGAGGATTTCGTTGGAAACGGGATCAACTTCCCATAACTGAACGGAAGCAAACTCAGAACATTCTTTGTGATGTTTGTATTCAACTCACAGAGTTGAACCTTCCTTTGATAGTTCAGGTTTGCAACACCCTTGTAGTAGAATCTGCAAGTGTATATTTTGACCACTTTGTAGCCTTCGTTTGAAACGTCTATATCTTCACATCAAACCTAGACAGAAGCATTCTCAGAAAGTTTTCTGCGATGACTGCATTCAACTCACAGAGTTGAACAATCCTTTTGATGGAGCAGTTTTGAAACCCTCTTTCTTTGGAATCTGCAAGGGGATATGTGGACCTCTTTGAAGATTTCACTGGAAACGGGATCATCTTCACATAAGAACTAAACAGAAGCATTCTCGGAAACTACTTTGTGATGTTTGTATTCAACTCCCAGAGTTGAACTTTCCTTTTGAAAGAGCAGCTATGAAACACTCTTTTTCGAGAATCTGCAAGTGGACGTTTGGAGGGCTTTGAGGCCTGTGGTGGAAAAGGAAATATCTTCACATAAAAACTAGATAGAAGCATTCTCAGAAACGACTTTGTGAGGATGGCATTCAACTCATGGAGTTGAACAATCCTATTGATAGAGCAGATTGGAATCACTCTTTTTGTAGAATCTGCAAATGGAGATTTGGACTGCTTTGAGGCCTACGGTAGTATAGGAAGGAACTTCATATAAAAGGCAAACGGAAGCATTCTCAGAATATTCTTTGTGATGATGGAGTTTCACTCACAGAGCTGAACATGCCTTTTGATGGAGCAGTTTCCAAATACACTTTTGGTAGAATCTGCAGGTGGATATTTGGACCTCTCTGAGGATTTCGTTGGAAACGGGAATAATTTCCCATAACTAAACACAAACACGCTGAGAAAGTTCTTCATGATGAATGCATTGAACTCGCAGAGATGAACCTGCCTTTGAGAGTTCAGGTTCGAAACACTCTTTCTGTAGAATCTGCAAGTGGATATTTGGACCACTGGCTGGCCTTCGTTCGAAACGGGTATATGTTCACGTAAAAACTAAAGAGAAGCGTTCTCAGAAACTTCTGAGTGATGATTGCATTCAAGTCACACAGTTGAACCCTCCTTTTGATTGAGCAGTTTTGAAACTGTCTTTTTGTAGAATCTGTAAGTGGATGCGTGGACCTCTTTGAAGATTTCTTTGGAAACGGGAATATTTCCACAGAAAAACTAAACTGAAGCATTCTCAGAAACTGCTTTGTGATGTTTGTGTTCGAGCCACAGAGTTTAACATTGCTTTTCATAGAGCAGTTTTGAACTATTCTTTTGGCAGAATCTGCAAGTGGACATTTGGAGCGCTTTCAGGCCTGTGGTGGAAAAGGCCTGAAAGCCTTTTCCTTTATCTTCACAGAAAGACGAGAGAGAAGCATTGTCAGAAACTTCTTTGTGATGATTGCATTCAACTCACAGAGTTGAAGATTCCTTTTGAAACAGCAGTTTCGAAACACTCTTTCTGTGGGATCCGCAAGGGGATATTTGGACCTCTTTGAAGATTTCGTTGGAAACGGGATAATCTTCACCTAAAAGCTAAACGGAAGCATTCTCAGAAACTTCTTTGGGATGTTTGCATTCACCTCACAGAGTTGAACTTTCCCTTTGATAGCGCAGCTTCGACACACTTTTTCTACAATGTGCAAGTGGATATTTAGCGGGCTTGGAGGACTGTGTTGGAAAAGGAAATATCTTCTCCTAAAAACGACATAGAAGCATTCTCAGAAACTGCTCTGTGATGATTGCATTCAACTCCCAGAGTTGAACACTCCTTTTGATAGAGCAGTTTGCAAACACTCTTTTTGTAGAATCTGCAAGTGGAGATTTGGACCGCTTTGAGGCCTGTGGTAGTAAAGGAAAGAACTTCATATAAAAACTAGACGGTAGCACTCTCAGAAAATTCTTTGTGACGATTGAGTTTAACTCAGGGAGCTGAACATTCGTTATGATGGAGCAGTTTCCAAACACACGTTTTGTAGAATCTGCAAGGGGATATTTGGACCTCTCTGAGGATTTCGTTGGAAACGGGATCAACTTCCCATAACTGAACGGAAGCAAACTCAGAACATTCTTTGTGATGTTTGTATTCAACTCACAGTGTTGAACCTTCCTTTGATAGTTCAGGTTTGCAACACCCTTGTAGTAGAATCTGCAAGTGTATATTTTGACCAGTTTGTAGCCTTCGTTTGAAACGTCTATATCTTCACATCAAACCTAGACAGAAGCATTCTCAGAAAGATTTCTGCGATGACTGCATTCAACTCACAGAGTTGAACAATCCTTTTGATGGAGCAGTTTTGAAACCCTCTTTCTTTGGAATCTGCAAGGGGATAAGTGGACCTCTTTGAAGATTTCACTGGAAACGGGATCATCTTCACATAAAAACTAAACAGAAGCATTCTCGGAAACTACTTTGTGATGTCTGTATTCAACTCCCAGAGTTGAACTTTCCTTTTGAAAGAGCAGCTATGAAACACTCTTTTTCGAGAATCTGCAAGTGGACGTTTGGAGGGCTTTGAGGCCTGTGGTGGAAAAGGAAATATCTTCACATGAAAACTAGATAGAAGCATTCTCAGAAACTACTTTGTGAGGATGGCATTCAACTCATGGAGTTGAACAATCCTATTGATAGAGCAGATTGGAATCACTCTTTTTGTAGAATCTGCAAATGGAGATTTGGACTGCTTTGAGGCCTACGGTAGTATAGGAAGGAACTTCATATAAAAAGCAAACGGAAGCATTCTCAGAGTATTCTTTGTGATGATGGAGTTTAACTCACAGAGCTGAACATGCCTTTTGATGGAGCAGTTTCCAAATACACTTTTGGTAGAATCTGCAGGTGGATATTTGGACCTCTCTGAGGATCTCGTTGGAAACGGGAATAATTTCCCATAACTAAACACAAACACTCTGAGAAAGTTCTTCATGATGAATGCATTTAACTCACAGAGATGAACCTTCCTTTCAGAGTTTAGGTTTGAAACACTCTTTCTGTAGAATCTGCAAGTGGATATTTGGACCACTGGGTGGCCTTCGTTCGAAACGGGTATATGTTCACGTAAAAACTAAAGAGAAGCATTCTCAGAAACTTCTGAGTGATGATTGCATTCAAGTCACACGGTTGAACCCTCCTTTTGATGGAGCAGTTTTGAAACTGTCTTTTTGTAGAATCTGTAAGTGGATATGTTGGACCTCTTTGAAGATTTCTTTGGAAACGGGAATATTTCCACAGAAAAACTAAACTGAAGCATTCTCAGAAACTGCTTTGTGATGTTTGTGTTCGAGCCACAGAGTTTAACATTGCTTCTCATAGAGCAGTTTCGAAATATTCTTTTGGCAGAATCTGCAAGTGGACATTTGGAGCGCTTTCAGGCCTGTGGTGGAAAAGGCCTGAAAGCCTTTTCCTTTATCTTCACAGAAAGACGGGAGAGAAGCATTGTCAGAAACTTCTTTGTGATGATTGCATTCAACTCACAGAGTTGAAGATTCCTTTTGAAACAGCAGTTTCGAAACACTCTTTCTGTGGGATCCGCAAGGGGATATTTGGACCTCTTTGAAGATTTCGTTGGAAACGGGATAATCTTCACCTAAAAGCTAAACGGAAGCATTCTCAGAAACTTCCTTGGGATGTTTGCATTCACCTCGCAGAGTTGAACTTTCCCTTTGATAGCGCAGCTTCGACACACTTTTTCTACAATGTGCAAGTGGATATTTAGCGGGCTTGGAGGACTGTGTTGGAAAAGGAAATATCTTCTCCTAAAAACGACATAGAAGCATTCTCAGAAACTGCTCGGTGATGATTGCATTCAACTCCCAGAGTTGAACATTCCTCTTGATAGAGCAGTTTGCAAACACTCTTTTTGTGGAATCTGCAAGTGCAGATTTGGACCGCTTTGAGGCCTGTGGTAGTAAAGGAAAGAACTTCATATAAAAACTAGACGGTAGCACTCTCAGAAAATTCTTTGTGACGATTGAGTTTAACTCAGGGAGCTGAACATTCGTTATGATGGAGCAGTTTCCAAACACACTTTTTGTAGAATCTGCAAGGGGATATTTGGACCTCTCTGAGGATTTCTTTGGAAACGGGATCAGCTTCCCATACCTGAACGGAAGCAAACTCAGAACATTCTTTGTGATGTTTGTATTCAACTCACAGAGTTGAACCTTCCTTTGATAGTTCAGGTTTGCAACACCCTTGTAGTAGAATCTGCAAGTGTATATTTTGACCACTTTGTAGCCTTCGCTTGAAATGTCTATATCTTCACATCAAACCTAGACAGAAGCATTCTCAGAAAGTTTTCTGCGATGACTGCATTCAACTCACAGAGTTGAACAATCCTTTTGATGGAGCAGTTTTGAAATCCTCTTTCTTTGGAATCTGCAAGGGGATAAGTGGACCTCTTTGAAGAATTCACTGGAAACGGGATCATTTTCACATAAAAACTAAACAGAAGCATTCTCGGAAACTACTTTGTGATGTCTGTATTCAACTCCCAGAGTTGAACTTTCCTTTTGAAAGAGCAGCTATGAAACACTCTTTTTCGAGAATCTGCAAGTGGACGTTTGGAGGGCTTTGAGGCCTGTGGTGGAAAAGGAAATATCTTCACATGAAAACTAGATAGAAGCATTCTCAGAAACTACTTTGTGAGGATGGCATTCAACTCATGGAGTTGAACAATCCTATTGATAGAGCAGATTGGAATCACTCTTTTTGTAGAATCTGCAAATGGAGATTTGGACTGCTTTGAGGCCTACGGTAGTATAGGAAGGAACTTCATATAAAAAGCAAACGGAAGCATTCTCAGAGTATTCTTTGGGATGATGGAGTTTAACTCACAGAGCTGAACATGCCCTTTGATGGAGCAGTTTCCAAATACACTTTTGGTAGAATCTTCAGGTGGATATTTGGACCTCTCTGAGGATCTCGTTGGAAACGGGAATAATTTCCCATAACTAAACACAAACACTCTGAGAAAGTTCTTCATGATGAATGCATTTAACTCACAGAGATGAACCTTCCTTTCAGAGTTCAGGTTTGAAACACTCTTTCTGTAGAATCTGCAAGTGGATATTTGGACCACTGGCTGGCCTTCGTTCGAAACGGGTATATGTTCACGTAAAAACTAAAGAGAAGCATTCTCAGAAACTTCTGAGTGATGATTGCATTCAAGTCACACGGTTGAACCCTCCTTTTGATGGAGCAGTTTTGAAACTGTCTTTTTGTAGAATCTGTAAGTGGATATGGTGGAGGACCTCTTTGAAGATTTCTTTCGAAACGGGAATATTTCCACAGAAAAACTAAACTGAAGCATTCTCAGAAACTGCTTTGTGATGTTTGTGTTCGAGCCATAGAGTTCAACTTTGCTTTTCATAGAGCAGTTTTGAAACATTCTTTTCACAGTGTCTGCAAGTGGACATTTGGAGCACTTTCAGGCCTGTGGTGGAAAAGGCCTGAAAGCCTTTTGTTTTATCTTCACATAAAGACGAGAGAGAAGCATTGTCAGAAACTTCTTTGTGATGACTGCATTCAACTCACAGAGTTGAAGGTTCGTTTTGAAACAGCAGTTTCGAAACACTCTTTCTGTGGGATCCACAAGGGTATATTTGGATCTCTGGGAAGATTTCGTTGGAAACGGGATAATCTTCACCTAAAAGGTAAACGGAAGCATTCTCAGAAACTTCTTTCGGATGTTTGCATTCACCTCACAGAGTTGAACTTTCCCTTTGATAGCGCAGTTTTGACACACTTTTTCTAGAATGTGCAAGTGGATATTTAGAGGGCTTTTACGACTGTGGTGGAAAAGGAAATATCTTCTCCTAAAAACTATATAGAAGCATTGTCAGAAACTACTCTGTGATGATTGCATTCAACTCCCAGAGTTGAACATTCCTTTTGATATAGCAGTTTGCAAACACTCCTTTGTAGAATCTGCAAGAGGAGATGTGGACTGCTTTGAGGCCTGTGGTAGTAAAGGAAAGAACTTCATATAAAAACTAGACAGTAGCCCTCTCAGAAAATTGTTTGCGACGATTGAGTTTAACTGAGAGAGCTGAACATTCATTTTGGTGGAGCAGGTTCCAAACACACTTTTTGTAGAATCTGCAAGGGGATATTTGGACCTCTCTGAAGATTTCGTTGGAAACGGGTTCAACTTCCCATAACTGAACCGAAGCATTCTCAGAAACTTCTTTGTGATGCTTGCATTCAACTCACAGAGTGGAACCTTCCTTTGATATTTCAGGTTTGCAACACCCTTGTAGTAGAATCTGCAAGTGTCTATTTTGACCACTTTGTAGCCTTCGTTTTAAACGTCTATATCTTCACATCAAACCTAGACAGAAGCATTCTCAGAAAGTTTTCTGCGATGACTGCATTCAACTCACAGAGTTGAACAATCCTTTTGATGGAGCAGTTTTGAAACCCTCTTTCTTTGGAATCTGTAAGGGGATATGTGGACCTCTTTGAAAATTTCATTGGAAACGGGATCATCTTCACATAAAAACTAAACAGAAGCATTCTCGGAAACGACTTTGTGATGTTTGTATTCAACTCCCAGAGTTGAACTTTCCTTTTGAAAGAACAGCTATGAAACACTCTTTTTCGAGAATCTGCAAGTGGACGTTTGGAGGGCTTTGAGGCCTGTGGTGGAAATTGAAATATCTTCACATAAATACGAGAGAGAACCATTGTCAGAAACTACTTTGTGATGATGGCATTCAACTCACAGAGTTGAACAATCCTATTGATAGAGCAGATTGGAAACACTCTTTTTGTAGAATCTGCAAATGGAGATTTGGACTGCTTTGAGGCCTACGGTAGTATAGGAAGGAACTTCATATAAAAAGCAAACGGAAGCATTCTCAGAATATTCTTTGTGATGATGGAGATTAACTGACAGAGCTGAACATGCCTTTAGATGGAGCAGTTTCCAAACACCCTTTTGGTAGAATCTGCAAGTGTATATTTTGACCTCTCTGAGGATTTTTTTGGAAAAGGGGTAAACTTCCCATAACTAAACTCAAACATTCTCAGAAACTTCTTCATGATGTTTGCATTTCACTCACAGATTTGAAACTTTCTTTGATAGTTCAGGTTTGAAACACTCTTTTTGTAGAATCTGCACGTGGATATTTGGACCACTGTGTTGCCTTCTTTCGATACGGTATATGTTTATTTAAAAACTAAAGAGAAGCATTCCCAGAAACTTTTGTGTAATGATTGCATTCAAGTCACTGAGTTGAACCCTCCTTTTGATTGAGCAGTTTTGAAACTCTCTTTCTTTGAATCTGCCAGTGGATATGTGGACCTGTTTAAATATTTCATTGGAAACGGGATCATCTTCTCATAAAAACTAAACAGAAGCATTCTCAGAGACTACTTTGTGATGTTTGTATTCAACTCCCAGAGTTGAACTTTCCTTTTGAAAGAGCAGCTATGAAACACTCTTTCTAGATTCTTCAAGTGGACATTTGGAGGGCTTTGAGGCCTGTGGTGGAAAAGGAAATATCTTCACATAAACACTATATAGAAGCATACTCAGAAAGTACTTTGTGATGATTGCATTCAAGTGACAGAAGTGAACATTCCTATTGATAGAGCAGATTGGAAACACTCTTATTGTAGAATCTGCAAATGGAGATTTGGACTGCTTTGAGGCCTACGGTAGTAAAGGAAATAACTTCATATAAAAACCAAACGGAAGCATGGTCAGAAAATTCTTTGTGATGATGGAGTTTTACTCCCAGAGCTGAACATGCCTTGTGATGGAGCAGTTTCCAAACACACTTTTGGTAGAATCTACAAGTGGATATTTGGACCTCTCTGAGGATTTCTTTGGAAACGGGATATACTTCACATAACTAAGAAACATTCTCAGAAACTTGTTCGTGATGTTTGTATTCAACTCACAGTGATGAACCTTCCTTTGATTGTTGAGGTATGAAACACTCTTTTTGTAGATTCTGTAAGTGTATATTTTGACAATTGGGTGGCCTTCGAACGAAACGGGTATATCTTCAAGTAAAAACCAAAGAGAAGCATTCTCAGAAACTTCTGTGTGATGATTGCATTCAAGTCAGAGAGTTGAACCTTCCTTTTGATTGAGCCGTTTTGAAACTCTCTTTTTGTATAATCTGTAAGTGGATATGTGGACCTCTTTGAAGATTTCTTTGGAAACGGAAATGTCTTCACAGAAAAACTAAACTGAAGCATTCTCAGAAACTCTTTTGTGATATTTGTATTTGAGCCACAGAGTTTAACATTGCTTTTCATAGAGCAGTTTTGAAACATTCTTTTCGTAGAATCTGCAAGTGGACATGTGGAGCGCTTTGTGCTCTGTGGTGGAAAAGGAAATATCATCACATAAAAACTAGAGTGAAGCATTGTCAGAAACTTCTTTGTGATGATTGCATTCAACTCACAGAGTTGAGGATTCCTTTGGAAACAGCAGTTTCAAAACACTCTTTCTGTGGGATCCGCAAGTGGATATTTGGACCTCTTTGAAGATTTCACTGGAAACGGGATCATCTTCACATAAAAGCTAAACAGAAGCATTCTCAGAAACTTCTTTGGGATGTTTGCATTCACCTCACAGACTTGAACTTTCCCTTTGATAGCGCAGCGTTGAAACACTCTTTTTCTAGAATCTGCAAGTGGACATTTGGAGGGCTTTGCGGACTGTGGTGTAAAAGGAATTATCTTCTCATAAAAACTACCTAGCAGCATTCTCAGAAACTACTCTGTGATGATTGCATTTAACTCACAGAATTGTACATTCTTTTTGATAGAGCAGTTTGGAAACACTCTTTTTGTAGAATCAGCAAGTGTGTATTTAGAGTGCTTTGAGTCCTATGGTAGAAAAGGAATTATCTTCACATAAAACTAGACAGAAGCATTCTTAGCAAATACTTTGTGATGTGTCCATTCAACTCACATAGTTGAACATTCCTCTTGATAGAGCTGTTTTGAGACACTCTTTTTGTAGATTCTGCCACTGGATATTTGGACCTCTTTGAGGCCTTCATTGGAAACGGGATTGCTTCCTATAAAACCAGGCAGAAGAATTCTCAGAAACTTCTCTGTGTTGTGTGCATTCAACTAACAGATTTGAACCTTCCTTTTGATAGAGCGGATTGGAAACAGTCTTTTTGTAGTATTTCCAAGTGGATATTTAGAGCGCTTTTAGTCCTACAGTACAAAAGGCAATATGTTCATATAAAAACTAGACAGAATCATTCCCAGAAACTACTTTGTGATGTGTGCGTTCAACTCACCGAGTTTAACCTTTCTTTTGATAGAGCAGTTTAGAAACCCTCTTTTTGTAGAATCTGCAACTGGACATTTGGAGCGCTTTGAGGCCTATGGTGAAAAAGGAAATATCTTCACATAACAACTACACAGAAGCATTCTCAGAAACCTCTTTGTGATGTGTGTCTTCAACTCACAGATTTGAACCTCTCTTTTGATAGAGCAGTTTTGAAACCTCCTTTTTGTAGAATCTGCAAGTGGACATTTGGAGAGCTTTGAGGCCTATGGTGAAAAAGGAAATATCATTACATATAAACTACATAGAAGTATTCTCAGAAACTTCTTTTTGTTGTTTGCTTTCAACTCACAGAGTTGAACATTCCTTTTCATAGAGCAGTTTTGAAACACTCTTTTTGTAGAATTTGTAAGTGGATATTTGGACCGCTTTGGGGCCTTCGTTGGAAATGGGATATCTTCAGAAAAACTGGACAGAAGCATTCTCACAAACTTCTTTGTGATTTGTGCATTCAACTCACAGACTTGAACATTTCTTTCGATAGAGCAGTTTTCAAAAACTCTTTTTGTAGGATCTGCAAGTGGACATTTGTAACGCTTTGAGGCCTGTTATGAAAAACGAAATATCTTCACATAAAAACTAGACAGAAGCATTCTCAGAAACTTCTTTGTGATGTGTGGATTCAACTCACAGAGTTGAAGCTTTCCTTTGATAGAGCACTTTTGAAACACTCTTTTTGTAGAACCTGCAAGTGGACATTTGGAGGGCTTTGAGGCCTATGGTGAAAGTGGAAATATCTTCACAATGAAACTACACAGAAGCATTCTCAGAAACTTCTTTCTGATGTTTGCTTTCAACTCAAGGAATTGAACATTCGTTTTCATAGTGCAGTTTTGAAACACTCTTTTGTAGAATTTGCAAGTGGATATTTGGAAGCCTTTGAGGTCTTCGTTGGTAATAGGATATCTTCACAAACACTGGACAGAACCATTCTCAGAAGCTTCTTTCTGATGTGTGCATTGAACTCACAGAATTCAACTATTCTTTCGATAGAGCACTTTCAAAAAAATCTTTTTGTTGAATCTGCAAGTGGCTCAAAACCCCCCAAATGCCCACTTGCAGATCCTACAAAAAGAGTATTACACAACAGCTCTATCAAAAGAAACGTTCATCTCTGTGAGTTGAATGCATACATCAGAAAGGAGATTCTGAGAATGCTTCTATCTAGTTTTCCTGAAGATTTCCCTTTTCCAGAGAAGACCTCAAAGCGGTCCAAATATCCTCTTGCAAGTTCTACATAAAGTGTGTTTCAAAACTGTTCTATGAATAGGAATGTTCAACTCAGTGAGTTCAAAGCAAACATCAGAAAAAGTTTCTGAGAATGCTTCTTTGTAGTTTCGTTGTGAAGATATTTCCTTTCTCACCATAGACCTCAAAGCGCTCCCAATGTCCACTTGCAGATTCTACAGAAAGAGTGTTTCAAAACTGCTGTATCAAAAGATGTCTTCGACTCTTTAATTTGAGTGCACACAACACAAAGATGTTTCTTAGAATGCTTCTGTATAGTTTCTATGCGAAGATATTTCCTTTTTCACCTTAGGCTTCAAAGAGCTACAAATATCCACTTGCAGATTGTACAAAAAGAGAGTTTCAAACTTCTCTATCAAAAGAAAGCTTCAACTCTGGGATTTGAGCGCACACATCACAAAGAAGTTCCTGAGAATGCTTCTGTCTAGGTTTTGTTAAGATATCCCTTTTCCAGTGAAGGCCTCAAAGCGGTCCAAATGTCCAATTTCAAATTAAAAATAGTGTTTCAAAATTGCTCTATGAAAAGGATGTTCAACTCTGTGAGTTGAGTGCAAACATCACAAGAAGTTTCTGAGAATGTTTCTCTCTGGTTTTTATGTGAAGATATTCCCGTTTCCAATGAAAGCCTCAGAGCTATCCAAATATCCACTTGCAGATTCTACAAAAAGAGTGTTTCAAAACTGCTGTAACAAAAGAAAAGTTCAACTCTGTGAGTTGAGTACACACATCACAACGAAGTTTCTGAGAATGCTTCTGTCTAGTTTTTGTGAAGATATCCCTTTTCCAACGAAGGCCTCAAAGCGTTCCAAATATCCCTTGCAAATTCTACAAAAAGAGTGTTTCAGAACTGCTCTATAAAAAGGAATGTTCAGCTCTGTGAGTTGAAAGCAACCAACACAAAGCAGTTTCTGAGAGTGCTTCTGTGTAGTTTTTTTGTGAAGATATTTCCTTTTTCATCATATGCCTCAAAGCACTCCAAATGTCCAGTTGCTGATTCCACAAAAGGAGGGTTTCCAGACTGCTCTATCAAAAGATGGGTTCATCTCTGTGAGTTGAATGTACACATCACAATGTTGTTTCTGAGAATGCTTCTGTGTAGTTTTTATGTGACGATATTTCCTTTTTCAGCATTGGCCCCAAAGCACTCCAAATATCCAGTTTCAGATTCTACAAAAAGAGGGTTTCAAAACTGCTCTGTCAAAATAGCGGTTCAATTATATGAGTTGAATGCATACATCACAAAGAAGTTCCTCAGAGTGCTTCTGTGTTGTTTTTATATGGAGATATTTCCTTTTTCACCGTAGGCCTCAAAGCACTCCAAGTGTCCACTTGCAGATTCTACGAAAAGAGTGTTTCAAAACTGCTCTATTAAAAGAACAGTTCAATTCTGTGAGTTGAATGCACACATCACAAAGAAGTCCCTGAGAATGCTTCTGTCTAGTTTTTGTGAAGATTTCCCTTTTTCAACGAAGGCCTCAAAGCAGTCCAGATATCCATTTGCAAATTTTAGAGAAAGAGTATTTCAAATCTGCTGTATGAGAAGGAAAGTTCAAATCTGTGAATTGAAAGCAAACACCACAAAGAAGTTTCTGAGGATGCTTCTGTGTAGTTTTAACTTGAAGATATTTCCTTTTTCACCACAGGACAAAAAGGGCTCAAAATGTCCACTTGCTGATTCTACAAAAACAGTGGTTCAAAACTGCTCTATCAAAAAAATGGTTCAACTCTGTGAGTTGAAGGCACACATCACAAAGAGGTTTCTTAGAATGCTTCTGGCTAGTTTTCATGTGAAGATATTGCCTTTTTCACCATAGGCCTCAAACTGCTACAAATGTCCACCTGCAGATTCTACAAAAAGAGTGTTTCAAAACTGCTCTTTCAAAAGAAAGGTTCAACTCTGTGAGTTGAATGCACACATCAGAAAGAAGTTTCTGAGAATGCTTCTGTCCAGTTTTTGTGAAGATGTCCCTTTTCCAACGAAGGCCTCAAAGCCTTCCAAATATCCACTTGCAAATTCTACAAAAAGAGTGTTTCAAATCTGCTCTATGAAAAGGAATGTTCAAATCTGTGAGTTGAAAGCAAACATCACAAAGAAGTTTCTGAGAATGCTTCTGTGTAACTTCGTTGTGAAGATATTTCCTATTTCACCATAGGCTGCAAAGAGCTCCAAATGTCCACTTGCAGGTTCTACAAAAGAGTGTTTCAAAACTGCTCTATGAAAAGAAAGTTTCAACTCTGTGAGTTCAATGCAGACATCACAAAGGAATTTCGGAGAATGCTTCTCTTTAGTTTCTGTGAAGATGTACCGTTTCCAACGAAGGCCTCAAAGTGGTCCAAACATCCACTTGCAAATTCTACAAAAAGAGCATTTCAAAACTGCTCTATGAAAAGGAATGTTCAACTCTGTGAGTTGAATGCAAACAACTCAAAGAAGTTTCTGAGAATACTGTGTAGTTTTTATGTGAAGATATTTCCTTTTACACCTTAGCCCTCAAAGCGCTCCAAATGTGCAGTTGCAGATTCTACAAAAGGAGGGTTTCAAAACTGCTCTATCAAAGGAGAGATTCAACTATATGAGTTGAATGCATACATCACAAAAAAATTCCTGAGAATGCTTCTGTCTTGTTTCTGTGAAGATATACCATTTCCAACGAAGGCCTCAAAGTGATCCAAATATCCACTTGCAAATTCTACAAAAAGTGTTTCAAAACTGCTCTATGAAAAGGAATGTTCAACTCTGAGAGTTGAAAGAAAACAACACAAAGTAGTTTCTGAGAGTGTTTCTGTGTAATTTTTCGTGAAGATGCTTGCTTTTTCATCATAGGCCTCAAAGCTCTCCAAATGTCCACTTTCAGATTCTACAAAAAGAGGGTTTCCAAACTGCTCTATCAAAAGAGAGGTTCAACTCTGTGAGTTGAACGCACGCATCAAAAAGATGTTTCTGAGAATGCTTCTGTGTAGTTTTTATGTGAAGATTTTTCCTTTTTCACCATGGGCCTCAAAGTGCTCCAAATGTCACTTTGCAGAATCTACAAAAAGAGTGTTTCAAAATTGCTTTATCAAAAGAAAAGTTCAACATTGTGGGTTGAATGCACACATCACAAAGAAGTTTCTGAGATTGCTCCTGTTTAGTTTTTGTGAAGATATCCCTTTTCCAATGAAGGCTTCAAATCGGTCCAAATATCCACTTGCAAATTCTACAAAAAGAGTGTTTCAAAACGGCACTATGAAAAGGAATGTTCAACGCTGTGAGTTGAAAGCAAACAACACAAAGAAGTTTCTAAGAATGCATCAGTGTAGTTTTATGTGAAGATAGTTCCTCTTTCACCTTTAGCCTCAAAGCTCTCCAAATATCCATTTACAGATTCTACAAAAAGAGGGTTTCCAAGGTGCTCTATCAAAAGAGAGGTTCAACTCTGTGTGTTGAATGCATACATCACAAAGTAGTTCCTGAGAATGCTTTGTGTGTTTTTATGTGAAAATATTTCCTTTTTCACCATAGGCCTCAAAGCGCTCCAAATGCCCACTTGCAGATTCTACAAAAAGAGTGTTTCAAAGCTGCTCTATCAAAAGAAAGGTTCAACTCTGTGAGTTGAATGTACACATCACAAAGAAGTTCCTGAGAATTTACCCGTCTAGTGTTTTGAAGATATCCCGTTTCCAATGAAGGCCTCAAAGCAGTCCAAAGATCCACTTACAAATTCTACAAAAAGAGTGTTTCAAAACTGCTCTATTAAAAGGAATGTTCAACTCTGTGAATGGAAAGCAAACATCACAAAGGAGTTTCTGAGAATGCTTCTGTGTAGTTTCTTTGTGAAGATATTTCCTTTTTCACCGCAGGCCTCAAAGCGCTCCCAATGTCCACTTGCAGATTCTGCATAAAGAGTTTTTCAAAACTGCTCTATCAAAAGAAATGTTCAACCCTATGAGTTGAATCCACACATCACAAAGTGGATTCTGAGATGCTTCTGTGTAGTTTCTGTGACGATATCCCGTTTCCAAGGAAGGCCTCAAAGTGGTCCAAATATCCACTTGCAAATTCTGCAATAAGAGTATTACAAAACTGCTCTAAGAAAAGGAATGTTCAACTCTGTGAGTTGAAAGCAAACAACAGAAAGAAGTTTCTGAGAATGCTTCTGTGTAGTTTTTATGTGTAGATATTTCCTTTTTCACCATAGGCCTCAAAGCGCTCCAAATATTCATTTGCAGATCCTCCAAAAACAGGGTTTCAAAACTGCTCTATCAAAAGAGAGGTTCAAATCTGTGAGTTGAATGCCCCCATAACAAAGAAGTTTCTGAGAATGCTTCTGTGTAGTTTTGATGTGAAGATATTTCCTTTTTCACCATAGGCCTCAAAGCGCTCCTAATGTCCAGTGTCAGGTTCTACAAAAAGAGTGTTTCAAAACTGCTCAATCAAAAGAAATATTCAACTCTGTGAGTTGAATGCAGACATGAAAAAGAAGTTTCTGAGAATGCTTCTGTATAGCTTCTGTGAAGATATCCCTTTTCCAACGAAGGCCTCAAAACAGTCCAAATATCCACTTGCAAATTCTACAAGAAGAGTGTTTCTAAACTGATCTGTCAAAAGAAAGATTCAACTCTGTGAGTTGAATGCACACATCACAAAGAGGTTTCGGAAAATGCTGCTGTCTAGTTTTTATGTGGAGATATTTCCTTTTTCATCATAGGCCTCAAAGCGCTACAGAAGTCCAATTACAGATTCTACAAAAAGTGTTTTTCATAACTGCTCTTTCGAAAGAAAGGTTCAACTCTGTGAGTTCAATGCACACATCACAAAGAACTTGCTGAGAATGTTTCTATCCAGTTTTTGTGAAGACATCTCTTTTCTAACGAAGGCCTCAAAGTGGTCCAAATATCCACTTGCGAATTCTACAAAAAGAGTATTTCAAAATTGCTCTGTGAAAAGTAAACTTCAACTCTGTGGGTTGAAAGTAAACATCACAAAGAAGTTTCTGTGAATGCTTCTGTCTAGTTTATGTGAAGATATACCTTTTCCAATGAAGGCCTCAGAGCGGTCAAAACATCCAATTGCAAATTCTACAAAAAAAGTGTTTCAAAACTGCTCTATGAAAAGGAATGTTCAACTCTGAGTTGAAAGCAAACAACACAAAGTAGTTTCAGAGAATGCTTCTGTGTAGTTTTTATGTGAAGATATTGTCTTTTTCACCATAGGCCTCAAAGTGCTCCAAATGTCCAGTTGCAGATTCTTCAAAAAGAGAGTTTCAGAACTGCTCTATCAAAAGAGAGGTTCACCTCTGTGAGTTGAATGCACACATCACAAAGAAGTTTATGAGAATGCTTTTGTGTAGTTTTTATGTGAAGATATTTCCTCTTGCACGGTAGGCCTCAAAGCGCTTCAAATATCCAGTTGCAGATTCTACAAAAAGAGGCTTTCAAAACTGCTCTTTCAAAAGAGAGCTTCAACTCTGTGAGTTGAATGCACACTTCACAAAGAAGTTCCTGAGAATGCTTCTGTGTTGTTTATATATGAAGATATTTCTTTTCACCGTAGTCCTCAAAGTGCTCCAAATGCTCACTTGCAGATTCTACAAAAAGAGTGCTTCAAAACACCTCTATCAAAAGAATGATTCAAATCTGTGAGTTGATTGCACACATCACAAAGAAGTTTCTGAGACTGTTTCTGCGTAGTTTTTAGGTGAAGATATTTCCTTTTTCACCACTGGCCTCAAAGGAGTCCAAATTTCCACTAGCAGATTCTACAAAAAGTGTGTTACAAAACTGCACTATTAAAAGAAAGGTTCCACTCTGTGAGTTGAAGGCACTCATCACAAAGAGGTTTCTGAGAAAGCTCCTGTCTAGTTTTTATGTGAAGGTATTTCCTTTTTCACCATAGGCCTCAAAGTGCTACAAATGTCCACTTGCAGATTCTACAAAAAGAGTGTTTCAAAACTGCTCCATCAAAAGAAATGTTCAACTCTGTGAGTTGAATGCACACATCAGAGAGAAGTTTCTGAGAATGCTTCTGTAGAGTTTTTGTGAAGACATCCCATTTCCAACGAAGGCCTCAGAGCGGTCAAAATATCCAATTACAAATTCTACAAAAAGAGTGTTTCAAAACTGCTCTATGAAAAGGAATGTTCAACTCTGTGATTTGAAAGCAAACATTGCAGTGAAGTTTCTGAGAATGCTTCTGTGTAGTTTCGTTGTGAAGATATTTCCTTTTTCACCACAGACCTCAAAGCTCTCCAAATGTGCACTTGGAGATTCAACAAAAAGAGTGTTTCAAAACTGCTCTATCAAAAGAAATATTCATTCCCGTGAGTTGAATGCAGACATCACAAAGAAGTTTCTGAGAATGCTTCTGTCTAGTTTTTATGTGAAGATATTTCCTTTTTCACCATAGGCCTCAAAACACTCCAAATATCCATTTACAGATTCTACAAAAAGAGGGTTTCAAAACTGCTCTATCAAAAGAGAGGTTCAACCCTGTGAGTTGAATGCAGACATCATAAAGAAGTTTCTGAGACTGCTTCTGTGCAGTTTTTATGTGAAGACATTTCCTTTTCAGCATAGGCCTCAAACTGCTCCTAATGTCCAGTGGCATGTTCCACAAAAGGAGTGTTTCAAAACTGTTCTATCAAAAGACATATTCATCCCTGTGAGTTGAATGCAGACATCACAAAGAAGTTTCTGAGAATGCTTCTGTCTAGTTTCTGTGAAGTTATCCTGTTTCTAACGAAGGCCTCAAATCCATCCAAATATCCACTTGCAGATTCTACAAAAAGAGTGTTTCAAAACTGCTCTATCAAAAGACAGTTTCAGCTCAGTGAGTTGAGTGCACATATCACAAAGAAGTTTCTGAGAATGCTTCTGTCTAGTTTTTATGTGAAGATATATCCTTTTTCCCAATAGGCCCCAAAGCGCTCCAAATGTCCACTTGCAGGATCCACAAAAAGAGTGTTTAAAAACTGCTTTATCAAAAGAAAGGTTCAACTCTGTGAGTTGAATGCACACATCACAAGGAAGTTTCTGAGAACGCTTCTGTCTATTTTTTGTGAAGATATCCCTTTTCCAATGAAGGCCTCAAAGCGGTCCAAATATCCACTTGCAAAATTACAAAAAGATTATTTCAAAACTGCTCTATGAAAAGGAATGTTCAACTCTGTGAGTGGAAAGCAAACAACAAAAAGAAGTTTCTGAGAATGCTTCTGTGTCGTTTTTATGTGAAGATATTTCCTTTTTCACCATAAGCCTCAAAGCGCTCCAAATGTCCAGTTGCAGATTGGACAAAAAGAGGGTTTCCAAGGTGCTCTATCAAAAGAGAGGTTCAACTCTGTGAGTTGAATGCACACATAACAAAGAAGTTTCTGAGAATGCTTTTGTGTAGTTTTCATGTGAAGATATTTCCTTTTCCACCGTAGGCCTCAAAGCGCTCCAAACTTCCAGATGCAGATTGTACAAAAAGAGGGTTTCAAAACTGCTCTATCAAAAGAGAGGTTCAACTCTGTGAGTTGAGTGCACACATCACAAAGAAGTTCCAGAGAATGTTTCTGTGTTTTTTATATATGAAGATATTTCCTTTTTCACCGTAGGCCTCAAAGTGCTCCAAATGCCCAATTGCAGATTCTACAAAAAGTGTGTTTCAAAACAGCTCTATCAAAAGAACCGTTGAACTCGGTGAGTTGAATGCACACACCACAAAGAAGTTTCTGAGAATGATTCTGTGTAGTTTTTAAGACAAGATAGTTCCTTTTTCACCATATACCTCAAAGAGCTCCAAATGTCCACTTGTAGACTCTACGAATACAGTGTTTCAAACTGCTCCATGAAAAAGAATGCTGAACTCTATGAGTTGAAAGCAAACATCACAATGAAGTTCCTGAGAATGCTTCTGTGTAGTTTTTATTTGAAGATATTTCCTTTTTTACCATAGGCCTCAAAGCACTCCAAATGTCAACTTGCAGATTCTACAAAAAGTGTGTTTCAAAACTGCTCTATCAAAAGAAATGTTCATCTCTGTGAGTTGAATGCACACATCACAAAGAAGTTTCTGATAATGCTTCTCTCTAGTTTTTATGTGAAGATATTTCCTTTTTCACCATAGGCCTCAAAGTGCTGTAAATGTCACCTTGCAGATTCTACAAAAAGAATGTTTCAAAACTGTTTCAACAAAAGAAACGTTCAACTCTTAGAGCTGAATGCACACATCACAAAGAAGTTTCTGAGAATGCTTCTGTCTAGTTTTTATGTGAAGATATACCGTTTCCTACGAAGGCCTCAAGGCGGTCCAAATATCCCCTTGCAAATTCTACAAAAAGAATGTTTCAAATATGCTCTATGTAAAGGAATGTTCAACTCTGTTAGTTGAAAACAAACATCAAAAAGACGTTTCTGAGAATGCTTCTGTGTAGTTTTTATGTGAAGATATTTCCTTTTTCACCATAGGCCTCAAAGTGCTCCAAAAGTCCACTTTCAGATTCCACAAAAAAGAGTGTTTCAAAACTGCTCTATCAAAAGAAAGGTTCAACTCTGTGAGTTGAATGCATACAAAACAAAGAAGTTCTTGAGAATGCTTTTGTGTTGTTTTTATATGAAGATATTTCCTTTTTCACCCTAGGCCTCAAAGCGCTCCAAATATCCATTTACAGATTCTACAAAAAGAGGGTTTCAAAACCGCTCTATCAAAAGAGAGGTTCAACTCTGTGAGTTGAATGCAGACATCATAAAGAAGTTTCTGAGACTGCTTCTGTGTAATTTTTATGTTAAGATATTTCCTTTTTTAGCATAGGCCTCAAAGTGCTCCTAATGTCCAGTGGCATGTTCCACAAAAGGAGTGTTTCAAAACTGTTCTATCAAAAGAAATATTCATCCCTGTGAGTTGAATGCAGACATCACAAAGAAGTTTCTGAGAATGCTTCTGTCTAGTTTCTGTGAAATTATCCCTTTCCTAACGAAGGCTTCAAATCCGTCCAAATATCCACTTGCAGATCTACAAAAAGAGTGCTTCAAAACTGCTCTATCAAAAGACATTTTCAACTCTGTGAGTTGAGTGCACGCATCACAAAGAAGTTTCTGAGAATGCTTCTGTCTAGTTTTTATGTGAAGATATATCCTTTTTCGCTATTGGCCCCAAATGTCCACCTGCAGGATCTACAAAAAGAGTGTTTAAAAACTGCTTTATCAAAAGAAAGGTTCAACTCTGTGAGTTGAATGCACACATCACAAGGAAGTTTCTGAGAATGCTTCTATTTTTTGTGAAGATATCCCTTTTCCAACGAAGGCCTCAAAGCGTTCCAAATATCCACTTGCAAAATTACAAAAAGATTATTTCAAAACTGCTCTATGAAAAGGAATATTCAACTCTGTGATTTGAAAGCAAACAACAAAAAGAAGTTTCTGAGAATGCTTCAGTGTAGTTTTTATGTGAAGATATTTCCTTTTTCACCATAAGTCTCTAAGCGCTCCAACTGTCCACTTGCATGTTGTACAAAAAGAGGGTTTCAAAACTGCTCTATCAAAAGAGAGGTTCAACTCTGTGAGTTGAATGCACACATAACAAAGAAGTTTCTGAGAATGCTTTTGTGTAGTTTTTATTTAATGATATTTCCTTTTCCACCATAGGCCTCAAAGTGTTCCAAATGCACACTTGCAGATTCTACAAAAAGTGTGTTTCAAAACAGCTCTATCAAAAGTACCGTTCAACTCTGTGAGTTGAATGCACACATCACAAAGAAGTTTCTGAGAATGATTCTGTGTAGTTTTCATGACAAGATAGTTCCTTTGTCAACATAGGCCTCAAAGAGCCCCAAATGTCCACTTGTAGATTCTACGAATACAGTGTTTCAAAACTGTTCCATGAAAAGGAATGTTGAACTCCGTGAGTTGAAAGCCAACATCACAATGAAGTTTCTGAGAATGCTTCTGTGTAGTTTTTATTTGAAGATATTTCCTTTTTCACCATAGGCCTCAAAGCACTCCAAATATCCACTTTCAGATTCTACAAAAAGAATGTTTCAAAACTGCTCCTCAAAAGAAAGGTTCAACTCTCTGAGTTGAATGCACACATCACAAAGTAGTTTCTGTGAGTGCTTCTGCCTAGTTTTTACGTGAAGATATTCCATTTCCAACGAAGGCCTCAAAGAGGTCCAAATATCCTCTTGCGAATTCTAAAAAAAGAGTGTTTCAAAACTGCTCTATGAAAAGGAATGTTAAACTCTGTGTGTTGAAAGGAAACATCACAAAGACGTTTCTAAGAATGCTGCTTTGTAGTTTTTATGTGAAGACATAGCCTTTTTCACTGTAGGCATCAAAGCACTCCAAGTGTCCACTTGCAGATTCTACAAAAAGTGTTTTTTAAAACTGCTCTATTAAAGGAAAGGTTCATCTCTGAGAGCTGAATGCACACATCACTAAGAAGTTGCTGAGAATGCTTCTGTATATTTTTTATGTGAAGATATACCATTTCCAATGAAGGCCTCGATGTGGTCCAAATATCGACTTGCAAATTCTACAAAAACAGTGTTTAAAACCAGCTGTATGAAAAGGAATGTTCAACCCTGTGAGTTGAATGCACACATCACAAAGAAGTTTCAGAGAATGCTTCTTTGTAGTTTTTATGTGAAGATATTTCCTTTTTCAACATAGGCCTCAACGCACTCCAAATGTCCACTTTCAGATTCTACAAAAAGACTGTTTCAAAACTGCTCTATAAAAAGAAATGTTCAACTCTGTGAGTTGAATGCACACATCACAAAGAAATTTCTGATAATGCTTCTCTCTAGTTTTAATGTGAAGATACTTCCTTTTTCACCATAGGCCTCAAAGCGCTGTAAATGTCACCTTGTAGATTCTAAAAAAAGAGTGTTTCAAACTGTTTCAACAAAAGAAACTTTCAACTCTTAGAGTTGAATGCACACATCACAAAGAAGTTTCTGAGAATGCTTCTCTCTAGTTTCTATGTGAAGATATACCTTTTCCTATGAAGGCCTCAAGGCGGTCCAAATATCCACTTGCAAATTGTACAAAAAGAGTGTTTCAAATCTGCTCTATGAAAAGGAATGTTCAACTCTGTTAGTTGAAAGAAAACATCACAAAGACGTTTCTGAGAATGCTTCTGTGTAGTTTTTATGTGAAGATATTTTCTTTTTCACCATAGGACTCAAAGTGCTCCAAAAGTCCACTTTCAGATTCCACTAAAAAGAGTGTTTCAAAACTGCTCTATCAAAAGAAAGGTTCAACTCTCTGAGTTGAATGCATACATAACAAAGAAGTTCCTGAGAATGCTTTTGTGTTATTTTTGTATGAAGATAATTGCTTTTTCACCATAGGCCTCAAAGCGCTCCAAAGGCCCAATTGCAGATTTTACAAAAAGAGTGTTTCAAAACTGCTCTATCAAAACAAATGTTCAACTCTGTGAGTTGAATCCACACATCACAATGTGATTTCTGAGAATGCTTCTGTCTAATTTTTATGTGAAGATATTTCCTTTTTCATCATCGGCCTCAAAGTGTTACAAATGTCCACTTGCAGATTCTACAAAAAGAGTGTTTCAAAACTGCTCTATCAAAGATAGGTTCAACTCTGTGAGTTGAATGGACATATCAAAAAAGGTTTCTCAGGGAGCGGCTGTGTTGTTTTTATGTGAAGATATTAGCTTTTCCACAATAGTCTTCAGAGCCCTCCAAATATCCACTTGCAAATTCCATAAAAAAGTGTTTAAAAATTGCTCAATCAAAAGGAAGCTTCAACTCTGTGAGATGAATGCACACATCGCAAAGAGGTTTCTCGGAATGCTTCTGTGTAGTTTTTATGTGAAGATATTTCCTTTTCCACAATAGGCCCCAAAGCGCTCCAAATATCCACCTACCAATGCTACAAAAACCGTGTTTCAAATCTGCTCAATCAAAAGAAAGTTTCAACTCTTTGAGTTGAATACACACATCACAAAGAAGTTTCTCAGAATACTTCTGTGTAGTTTTTATGTGAAGATATTTCCTTTTCCACAGTAGGCCAGAAAGCGCTCCAAACAGACTCTTGCAGATTATATAAAAAGAGTGTTTCAAAACTGCTCAAACAAAAGAAAGGTTCAACTATGTGAGATGAATGCACACATCACAAAGAAGTTTCTCAGAATGCTTCTGTGTAGTTTTTATGGAAGATATTTCCTGTTCCAAAATAGGCCACAAAGGGCTCCAAATATCCACTTGCAGATTCTACAAACGAGAGATTCAAAACTGCTCAATCAAAAGGTAGGTTCAGTTCTATGAGTTGAATACATACAACACAAAGATGTTTCTCAGAATGCTTCTGTGTAGTTTTTATGTGAAGATATTTCCTTTCTCATCATAGGCCCTAAAGCGCTCCAAATATCCACTTGCAGATTCTACAAAAAGAGTGTTTCAAAACTGCTCTATCAAAACAAAGTTTCAAATCTGTGAGGTGAATGCACACATCGCAGAAAAGTTTATCAGAATGCTTCTGTGTAGTTTTTATGTGAAGATATTTCCTTTTCCACAATTGCCCTCAAATCACTCCAAATATCCACTTGCAGACCCTATAAAAAGAGTGTTTCAAAACTGCTCAGTCTGCAGAATGTTTCAATTCTGTGAGATGAATGCACACATCACAAAGAAATTTCTCAGAATGCTTCTGTGTAGTTTTTATGTGAAGATATTTCTTTTTCCAAAATTGATCGCAAAGGTCTCCAAATATCCAATTCCAGATTGGACGAAAAGAGAGATTCAAAAGTGCTGAATCAAAAGATAGATTCAACTCTGTGAGTTGAATGCACACATCACAAAGAAGTTTCTCAGAATGTTTCTGGGTAGTTTTTATGAGAAGATACATCCTTTCCCAAAATAGGCCGCAAATGACTCCAAATATCCCCTTGCAGATACTACAAAACGAGGGATTCAAAACTGCTCAATCAAAAGATAGTTTCAATTCTATGAGTTGAATACACATATCACAAAGAAGTTCCTCAGAATGCTTCTGCGTAGTTTTTATGTGAAGATATTTCCTTTTCCATCATAGGCCCCAAAGTGCTCCAAATATCCACTTGTAGACTCTATAAAAATAGTGTTTCAAAACTGCTCAATCTAAAGAAAGTTTCAGTTCTGTGAGATGAATGCACACATCACAAAGAAATTTCTCAGAATGCTTCTGTGTGTTTTTTATGTGAAGATATTTCTTTTTCCAAAATTGGTCACAAAGGTCTCCAAATATCCAATTCCAGATTCACCAAAAAGAGAGATTCAAAACTGCTCAATCAAAAGGTAGATTCAACTCTGTGAGTTGAATGCACACATCACAAAGAAATTTCTCAGAATGCTTCTGTGTAGATTTTATGTGAAGATATTTCCTTTTCCACCTTAGGCCATAATGGTCTCCAAATATCCACTTGCAGATTCTACAAAAAGAGAGTTTAAAAACTGCTCAATCAAAAGATAGGTTCAACTCTATGAGATGGATGCACACATCACAAAGAAGTTTCTGAGAATGCTTTTGTGTAGTTTTTATGTGAAGATATACTCTTTTCCACAATAGGCCTCAAAGCACTTCAAATATCCACTTCCAGATTCTACAAAAGGAGTGTTTCCAAACTGCTAAATCAAAAGAAATGTACAACTCTGTGAGATGAATGCACACATCACAAAGAAGTTTCTCAGAATGCTTCTGTGTAGTTTTTATGTGAAGATATTTCCTTTTCCACAATAGGCCTCAAAGCACTACAAATGTCCAGTTGCAAACTGTACAAAAAGAGGGTTTCAAATCTGCTAATCCAAAGAAACGTTCTACACTGTGAGATGAATGCAAACATCACAAGCAATTTCTCAGAATGCTTCTGTGTAGTTTTTATGTGAAGATATTTCTTTTTCCACAATAAGCCCCAATTCGTCTAAATATCCACTTGCAGATTCTACAAAAAAGTGTTTCAAAACTGCTCAATCAAAAGAAAGTTTCAACTCTGTGAGATGAATGTACACATCGCAAAGGTGTTTGTCAGAATGCTTCTGTGTAGTTTTTTTGTGAAGATATTTCCGTTTCAACCATAGGACCCAAAGCGCTCTAAATATCCAATTGCAGATTCTACAAGAAGAGTGCTTCAAAACTGCTCAAACAAAAGAAAGTTTCAACTATGTGAGAAGAATGCACACATCACAAATAAGTTTCTCAGAATGCTTCTTTGCAGTTTTTATGTGAAGATATTTCCTTTTCCACAATAAGCCTCAAAGCGCTTCAAATATCCACTTGCAGGTTTTTCGAAGAGTGTTTCAAAACTGCTCAAACAAAAGCGAGCTTCAGCTTTGTGAGATGAATGCACACATCACAAAGAAGTTTCTCAGAATGCTTCTGTGTAATTTTTATGTGAAGATATTTCCTTTCCACAACAGGCCTCAAAGTGCTTCAAATATCCACTTGCAGATTCTACAAAAAGAGTGGGTTTTTTTTGTTTTTTGTTTTCTCTAGAAATGATTTTATTCTTTTTACTTATTACAAATTGCCTCATGGCCTGACCAAACCTCCAGCGGAACACTTGCAAGAGGAAATTTAACTGTCAAATTTACCGTTACATTCATCCATTGAGTGATCAGTTTGAGTTACTTTATATTTGACATTTGTTTGATTTCTTTTTATAGTTTCTGGTTCTCTGCTAAAATTCTTGACCTTGTCATGGAATGCATTCAGCATATCATATACTAGTGGCCCAATATACGCAACTTATTTTGGTCTCTTTTTGTTGGCTGTTTTTTTCTCTCGATTTTGTATGTTTGGTTTTTGTTGATTGAAATCACAGTATGTTTAACACACTTAATATCTACATAGATTTAAATTGATACTTGCCCTACAGCATTTTAGAAGCAATTTTGGGCTCTGGAATAATTTTCACACTCCAGAGAGGATTTACTTCTTATTTTGCCAGAATGATATGCTAGGGCTGTGCCAAGTTAATGCCATAAAAGGAATGCACTGCTTTGGGCCTTGGTATCAGCATGGTGGTGCCTTGCTACTCCTGGTGCGTCTTCCTCCTGGTATGTTTCCCTAGCAAGATTTCACCTCAAGACCCCGGTATGTGTCAGGATCCCTCCTTTTCTGCAGTGGTTAGGGACAGTTTTTCACCTGTGGCCATATGAGATTTTTTCCAAGCTCTGCCGGACTCGAAGGCCTCTTGGCCCCTCCTTTCTTACAGATTTTCAGACCTGGGCCTCTATTTCTGAGCCTGCTTATGTCTCAAGGGACACTGAAGGCACAAAACTAGTGCTCACCTGTCTATGCTTTCCTGCTTTTCTTTTTCTTTATTTTTTAAATTTTATTATTATTATACTTTTAGTTTTAGGGTACATGTGCACAACGTGCGGGTTAGTTACATATGTATACATGTGCCATGCTGGTGTGCTGCACCCATTAACTCGTCATTTAGCATTAGGTATATCTCCTAAAGCTATACCTCCCTCCTCCCCCCACCCCGCCACAGTCCCCAGATTGTGATGTTCCCCTTCCTGTGTCCATGTGTTCTCATTGTTCAATTCCCACCTATGAGTGAGAATATGCGGTGTTCCTTTTTTTGTTCTTGCAATAGTTTACTGAGAATGATGATTTCCATTTTCATCCATGTCCCTACAAAGGACATGAACTCATCATTTTTTATGGCTGCATAGTATTCCATGGTGTATATGTGCCACATTTTCTTAATCCAGTCCATCATTGTTGGACAATTGGGTTGGTTCCCAGTCTTTGCTATTGTGAATAGTGCCACAATAAACAGACGTGTGCATGTGTCTTTATAGCAGCATGATTTATAGTCCTTTGGGTATGTACCCAGAAATGGGATGGCTGGGTCAAATGGTATTTCTAGTTCTAGATCCCTGAGGAATCGCCACACTGACTTCCATAATGGTTGAACTAGTTTCCAGTCCCACCAACAGTGTAAAAGTGTTCCTATTTCTCCACATCCTCTCCAGCACCTGTTGTTTCCTGACTTTTTAATGATTGCCATTCTAACTGGTGTGAGTTGATATCTCATTGTGGTTTTGATTTGCATTTCTCTGATGGCCAGTGATGGTGAGCATTTTCTCATGTGTTTTTTGGCTGCATAAATGTCTTCTTTTGAGAAGTGTCTGTTCATGTCCTTCGCCCACTTGTTGATGGGGTTGTTTATTTTTCTTGTAAATTTGTTTGTGTTCATTATAGATTCTGGATATTAGCTCTTTGTCAGATGAGTAGGTTGCGAAAATTTTCTCCCACTTTGTGGGTTGCCTGTTCACTCTGATGGTAGTTTCTTTTGCTGTGCAGAAGCTCTTTAGTTTAATTAGATCCCATTTGTCAATTTTGGCTTTTGTTGCCATTGCTTTTGGTGTTTTACACATGAAGTCCTTACCGTGCCTATGTCCTGAATGGTAATGCCTAGGTTTTCTTCTAGGGTTTTTATGGTTTTAGGTCTAACATGTAAGTCTTTAATCCATCTTGAATTGATTTTTGTATAAGGTGTAAGGAAGGAATCCAGTTTCAGCTTTCTACATATGGCTAGCCAGTTTTCCCAGCACCATTTATTAAATAGGGAATCCTTTCCCCATTGCTTGTTTTTCTCAGGTTTGTCAAAGATCAGATAGTTGTGTATATGCGGCATTATTTCTGAGGGCTCTGTTCTGTTCCATTGATCTATATCTCTGTTTTGATACCAGTACCATGCCGTTTTGGTTACTGTAGCCTTGTAGTACAGTTTGAAGTCAGGTAGCGTGATGCCTCCAGCTTTGTTCTTTTAGCTTAGGATTGACTTGGCAATGTGGGCTCTTTTTTGGTTCCATACAAACTTTAAAGTCGTTTTTCCAATTCTGTGAAGAAAGTCATTGGTAGCTTGATGGAGATGGCATTGAATCTATAAATTACCTTGGGCACTATGGCCGTTTTCATTATATTGATTCTTCCTACCCATAAGCATGGAATGTTCTTCCATTTGTTTGTATGCTCTTTTATTTCATTGACCAGTAGTTTGTAGTTCTCCTTGAAGAGGTCCTTCAAGTCCCTTGTAAGGTGGATTCCTAGGTATTTTATTCTCTTTGAAGCAATTCTGAATGGGAGTTCACTCATGATTTGGCTCTCTGTTTGTCTGTTGTTGGTGTATAAGAATGCTTGTGATTTTTGTACATTGATTTTGTATCCTGAGACTTTGCTGAAGTTGCTTATCAGCTTAAGGAGATTTTGGGCTGAGACAATGGGGTTTTCTAGATATACAATCATGTCATTTGCAAACAGGGACAATTTGACTTCCTCTTTTCCTAATTGAATACCCTTTATTTCCTTCTCCTGCCTAATTTCCCTTCCCAGAACTTCCAACACTATGTTGAATAGGAGTGGTGAGAGAGGGCATCCCTGTCTTGTGCCAGTTTTCAAAGGGAATGCTTCCAGTTTTTGCCCATTCAGTATGGTATTGGCTGTGGGTTTGTCATAGATAGCTCTTATTATTTTGAGATTTGTCCCATCAATACCTAATTTATTGAGAGTTTTTAGCATGAAGGGTTTTTGAATTTTGTCAAAGGCCTTTTCTGCATCTATTGAGATAATCATGTGGTTTTTGTCTTTGGTTCTGTTTACATGTTGGATTACATTTATTGATTTGCGTATATTGAACCAGCCTTGCATCCCAGGGATGCAGCCCACTTGATCATGGTGGATAAGCTTTTTGATGTGCTGCTGGATTTGGTTTGCCAGTATTTTATTGAGGAATTTTGCATCAATGTTCATCAAGGATATTGGTCTAAAATGCTCTTTTTGGTTGTGTCTCTGCCCGGCTTTGGTATCAGGATGATGCTGGCCTCATAAAATGAGTTAGGGAAGATTCACTCTTTTTCTATTGATTGGAATAGTTTCAGAAGGAATGGTACCAGTTCCTCCTTGTACCTCTGGTAGAATTTGGCTGTGAATCCATCTGGTCCTGGACTCTTTTTGGTTGGTAAGCTATTGATTATTGCCACAATTTCAGCTCCTGTTATTGGTCTATTCAGAGATTCAACTTCTTCCTGGTTTAGTCTTCAGAGGGTGTATGTGTCGAGGAATTTATTCATTTCTTCTAGATTTTCTAGTTTATTTCCATAGAGGTGTTCATAGTATTCTCTGATGGTAGTTTTTATTTCTGTGGGATCGGTGGTGATATCCCCTTTTTCATTTTTTATTGCGTCTATTTGATTCTTTTCTCTTTTTTTCTTTATTAGTCTTGCTAGCGGTCTATCAATTTTGTTGATCCTTTCAAAAAACCAGCTCCTGGATTCATTCGTTTTTTGAAGGGTTTTTTGTGTCTCTATTTCCTTCAGTTCTGCTCTGATTTTAGTTATTTCTTGTCTTCTGCTAGCTTTTGAATGTGCTTGCTCTTGCTTTTCTAGTTCTTTTAATTGTGATGTTAGGGTGTCAATTTTGGATCTTTCCTCCTTTCCCTTGTGGTCATTTAGTGCTATAAATTTCGCTCTACACACTGCTTTGAATGTGTTCCAGAGATTCTGGTATGTTGTGTCTTTGTTCTCATTGGTTTCAAAGAACATCTTTATTTCTGCCTTCATTTCGTTATCTACCCAGTAGTCGTTCAGGAACAGGTTGTTCAGTTTCCATGTAGTGGAGTGGTTTTGAGTGAGTTTCTTAATCCTGAGTTCTAGTTTGGTTGCACTGTGGTCTGAGAGATAGTTTGTTAAAATTTCTGATTCATAAAGCAAGTCCTGAGTGACTTACAAAGAGACTTAGACTCCCACACATTAATAATGGGAGACTTTAACGCCCCACTCTCAACATTAGACAGATCAACGAGACAGAAAGTCAACAAGGATACCCAGGAATTGAACTCAGCTCTGCACCAAGTGGACCTAATAGACATCTACAGAACTCTCCAACCCAAATCAACAGAACATACATTTTTTTCAGCACCACAACACACCTGTTCCAAAATTGGTTTGAGAGACAGTTTGTTATAAATTCTGTTCTTTTACTATTGTTGAGGAGAGCTTTACTTCCAACTATGGGGTCAATTTTGGAGTAGGTGTGGTGTGGTGCTGAAAAAAATGTATATTCTGTGGATTTGGGGTGGAGAGTTCTGTATATGTCTAGTAGGTCCGCTTGGTGCAGAGCTGAGTTCAATTCCTGGATATCCTTGTTAACTTTCTGTCTTGTAGATCTGTCTAATGTTGACAGTGGGGTGTTATAGTCTCCCACTATTATTGTGTGGGAGTCTAAGTCTCTTTGTAGGTCGTTCAGGACTTGCTTTATGAATCTGGGTGCTCCTGTATTGGGTGCATGTATATTTAGAATAGTTAGCTCTTCTTGTTGAATTGATCCCTTGACCATTATGTAATGGCCTTCTTTGTCTCTTTTGATCTTTGTTGGTTTAAAGTCTGTTTTATCAGAGACTAGGATTGCAACCCCTGCCTTTTTGTTTTCCATTTGCTTGGTAGATCTTCTTCCATCCTTTTATTTTGATCCTATGTGTGTCTCTGCATGTGAGATGGATTTCCTGAATACAGCACACTGATGGGTCTCGACTCTTTACCCAGTTTGCCAGTCTGTGTCTTTTAATTGGAGCATTTAGTCCATTTACATTTAAAGTTCATACTGTTAGGTGTGAATTTGATCCTGTCATTATGATGTTAGCTGGTTATTTTGCTCATTAGTTAATGCAGTTTCTTCCTAGCCTCGATGGTCTATACAATTTGGCATGATTTTGCAGTGGCTGGTACTGGTTGTTCCTTTCCATGTTTAGTGCTTCCTTCAGGAGCTCTTGTAGGGCAGGCCTGGTGGTGACGAAATCTCTCAGCATTTGCTTGTCTGTAAAGTATTTTATTTCTCTTTCACTTATGAAGCTTAGTTTGGCTGGATATGAAATTCTCGGTTGAAAATTCTTTTCCTTAAGAATGTTGAATATTGGCCCTCACTCTCTTCTGGCTTTTAGAGTTTCTGCCAAGAGATCCGCTGTTAGTCTGATGGGCTTCCCTTTGTGGGTAACCCGACCTTTCTCTCTGACTGTCCTTAATATTTTTTCCCTCATTTCCACTTTGAGGAATCTGACAATTATGTGTCTTGGAGTTGCTCTTCTCAAGGAGTATCTTTGTGGCATTCTCTGTATTTCCTGAATCTGAATGTTGGCCTGCCTTGCTAGATTGGGGAAGTTCTCCTGGATAATATCCTGCAGAGTGTTTTCCAACTTGGTTCCATTCTTCCCGTCACTTTCAGGTACACCAATCAGACGTAGATTTGGTCTTTTCCCATAGTCCCATATTTCTTGGAGGCTTTGTTCATTTCTTTTTATTCTTTTTTCTCTAAACTTCCCCACTCGCTTCATTTCATTCATTTCATCTTCCATCACTGATACCCTTTCTTCCACTTGATCATATCAGCTCCTGGGGTTTCTGCATTCTTCACGTAGTTCTTGAGCCTTGGCTTTCAGCTCCATCAGCTCCTTTAAGCACTTATCTATATTGGTTATTCTAGTTATACATTCATCTAAATTTTTTTCAAAGTTTTCAACTTCTTTGCCTTTGGTTTGAATTTCCTCCTGTAGCTCGGAGTAGTTTGATCATCTGAAGATTTCTTCTCTCAACTCGTCAAAGTCATTCTCCATCCACCTTTGTTCTGATGCTAGTGAGGAGCTGCGTTCCTTTGTAGGAGGAGAGATGCTCTGCTTTTTAGAGTTTCCAGTTTTTCTGCTCTGTTTTTTCCCCTTCTTTGTGGTTTTATCTACTTTTGGTCTTTGATGATGGTGATGTACAGATGGGTTTTTGGTGTGGATATCCTTTCTGTTTGTTAGTTTTCCTGCTAAAAGACAGGTCCCTCAGCTGCAGGTCTGTTGGAGTTTGCTAGAGGCCCACTCCAGACCCTGTTTGCCTGGGTACCAGCAGCTGTGGCTGCAGAACAGCAGATTTTTGTGAACCATGAATGCTGCTGTCTGATCGTTCCTCTGGAAGTTTTTTCTCAGAGGATTACCCGGCCGTGTGAGGTGTCATTCTACCCCTACTGCGGGGTGCCTCCCAGTTAGGCAGCTCAGGGGCCAGGGCTCGGGGACCCACTTGAGGAGGCAGTCTGCCCGTTCTCAGATCTCCAGCTGCATGCTGGGAGAACCACTGCTCTCTTCAAAGCTGTCAGACAGGGACATTTAAGTTTGCAGAAGTTACTGCTGTCTTTTTGTTTGTCTGTGCCCTGCCCCGAGAGGTGGAGCCTAGAGTGGCTGGCAGGCCTCCTTGAGCTGTGGTGGGCTCCACCTGGTTCAAGCTTCCCGCCTGCTTTGTTTACCTAAGCAAGCTTGGGAAATGGCAGGTGCCCCTCCACCAGCCTCTCTGCCACCTTCAGTTCGATCTCAGACTGCTGTGCTAGCAATCAGTGAGAATCCGTGGGCATAGGACCCTCTGAGCCAGGTGCAGGATATAACCTGCTGGTGTGCCGTTTTTTAAGCCCATTGGAAAAGCGTAGTATTAGGGTGGGAGTGACCCGAATTTGCAGGTGCTGTTTGTCACCACTTTCTTTGACTAGGAAAGGGAACTCAATGACCCCTTGTGCTTCCTGAGTGAGGCAATGTTTCACCCTGCTTCAGCTCGCACACAGTGCACCGCACCCACTGTCCTGTGCCCACTGTCTGGCAATCCCTAGTGAGACGAACAAAATACCTCAGGTGGAAATGCAGAAATCACCTGTCTTCTGCATCTCTTATGCTGGGAGCTGTAGACTGGAGCAATTCCTATTTGGCCATCTTGGCTCCAACCCCCTGTGTATTTCTTATGTGAAGATATTTCCTTTTCCACCATAGCCTCAAAGCGCTCCAAATTTTTCACTTCCAAATTCAACAAAAAGTGTGTTTCAAAACTGCTCAATCAAAAGAAAGGTTCAAATCTGTGAGATGAATGCACACATCACAAAGGAGTTTCTCAAAATGCTTCTGTGTAGTTTTTATGTGAAGATATTTCCATTTCCACTATAGGCCTGAAAGAGCTCCAAATATCCACTTGCAGATTCTACAAAAAGAAGGTTTCCAAAATGCTCCATCAAAAGAAAATTTCAACTCTGTGAGATAAATGCACACATAGCAAAGAAGTTTCTCAGAATGCTTCTGTGTAGGTTTTATGTGAAGATATTTCCATTTCCACAATATGCCTGAAAGAGCTCCAAATATCCACTTGCAGATACTATAAAAAGAGCGTTTCAAATCTGCTCCATCAAAAGAAATCTTCAACTGTGTTAGATGAATGCACACATCACAAAGAAGTTTCTCAGAATGCTTCAGTGTAGTTTTTATGGGAAGATATTTCCTTTTCCACAGTAGGCCCTAAAGGGCTCCCAATATCCACTTGTAGATTTCATGAAAAGAGTGTTTCAAAACTGCTCCATCAAAAGATATCTTCCACTCTGTGAGATGAATGCACATATCACAAAGAAGTTTCTCAGAATGCTTCTGTGTAGTTTTTATGTGAAGATATTTCCTTTTCCATTATAGGCCTCAAAGTGCTCCAAATATCCACTTGCAGATGCTACAAAAACAGTGTTTCAAAACTGCTCAATCAAAACAAAGGTTCAACTCTGTGAGTTGAATGTGCACATCTCAAAGTAGTTTCTCAGAATACTTCTGTGTAGTTTCTATGTGAATATATTACCTTTTCCACAATAGGCCTCAAAGCGCTCCAAATATCCACTCGCAGATGCTACAAAAAGAGTGTTTCAAAACTGGTCCATCAGAAGAAATATTCAACTTTGTGAGACGAATGCACACAATGCAAAGAAGTTTCTCAGAATGCTTCTGTGTAGTTTTTATGTGAAGATATTTCCTTTTCCACACTAGGCCCCAAAGTGCTCCAAATATCCACTTGCAGATTCTACAAAAAGATTGTTTCAAAACAGCTCAAACAAAAGAAAGATGCAACTCTGTGAGATGAATGCACACATCAAAAAGAAGTTTCTCAGAATTCTTCAGGTTAGTTTTTATGTGAAGATATTTCCTTTTCCAAAAGAGGCTGCAAACGCCTCCAAATATCCACTTGCAGATTCTTCAAAATGAGAGATTCAAAATGGTTCGATTGAAAGATAAGTTGAATTCTATGAGTTTAATATACACATCACAGAAAAGTTAACCAGAATGCTTCTGTGTAGTTTTTATGTGATGATATTTCCTTTTCCACTTTAGGCCAAAAAGGGCTCTAAATATCCTCTTGCAGATTCTAGAAAAAGAGTGTTTCAAAGCTGCTCAAATAAAAAAAATGTTCAACTCTGTGAGATGAATGCACACATCACAAAGAAGTTTCTCACAATGCTTCTGTGTAGTTTTTATGTGAAGATATTTCCATTTCTTCAATAGGCCTCAAAGAGCTCCAAATATCCACTTGCAGATGCTACAAAAACAGTGTTTCAAAACTGCCCAATCAAAAGAATGGCTCAACTCTTTACGTTGAATGCATACATCTCAGAATACTTCTGTGTAGTTTTCATGTGAAGATATTTCCTTTTCCACCATATGCAGCAAAGGGCTCCAAATATCCTATTGCAGATTCTACAAAAAGAGAGTTTCAAAACTGCTCAAACAAAAGATAAGTTCAATGCTATGAGCTGAATACACACATTGCAGAGAAGTTTTGCCGAACGCTTCTGTGTAGTTTTTATGTGAAGATATTTCCTTTTCCACCATAGGCCTCAAAGCCCTCCAAATATCCACTTGCAGATTCTAGAAAAAGAGTGGTTCAAACTGCTCAATCAAAACAAACTTTCAACACTGTGAGATGAAGGCACACATCCCTAAGAAGTTTTCAGAATGCTTCTGTGTAGTTTTTACCAGAAGATATTTTCTTTTCCACCGTAGGCCTCAAAACCCTACAAATATCCACTTGAGGATTCTACAAAAAGAGTGTTTCAAAACTGCTCCATCAGAAGAAACCTTCAACTTTGTGAGATGAATGCACACATTGCAAAGAAGTTTCTCAGAATGCTTCTGTGTAGTTTTTATGTGAAGATATTTCCTTTTCCACACTAGGCCCCAAAGGCTCACAAATATCCCTGTGCAGATTCTATGAAAAGACTGTTTCCAATCTGCTCAATCAATAGAAAGTTTCATCTCTGTGAGATGAATGCAGGCATCACAAAGAAGTTTCTTAGAATGCTGCTGTCTAGTTTTTATGTGTAGATATTTCTTTTTCACCATAGGCCTCACACAGCTCAGAAATATCCATTTGTAGATTGTACAAACAGTTTCCAAACTGGTCAATCAAGGACACGTTCAGCTCTTTGAGATGAGTGCACACATCACAAAGAAGTTTCTCAGAATGCTTCTGTCGAGTTTTTTTTAAAAGATATTTCCTCTTACACTACAGGCCGCAAGGCACTCCAAATATCCACTTGCACATTCTTTAAAAACAGTGTTTCAAAACTGCTCAATCAAAAGAAATGTTGAAATCTGTGCGATGAATGCACACATCAAAAAGAAGTTTCTCAGAATGATTCTGTCTAGTTTTCATGTGAAGATATTTCCTTTTTCACCATAGTCTTCAAAGCACTCCAAATATCATTTGCAGGTACTACAAAAAGACTGTTTCCAAACTGCTCAATCAAAAGAAAGGTTTAATTCTGTGAGTTGAATGCACACATCTCAAAGAAGTTTCTCAGAATGCTTCTGTCTAGTTTTTATGTGAGGATATTTCCTTTTCCACCATAGGCCTCAAAGCCCTCCAAATATCCCTTTGCAGATTCTACAAAAAGAGTGTTTCAAAACAGCTCAATCAATTAAAAGGAAGGTTCAACTCTGTGAGATGAATGTGCACATCACAAAGAAGTTTCTCAGAATGCTTCTGTCTAATTTTTATGTGAAGATATTTCCTTTTCCTCCATAGGCCTCAAAGCACTCCAAGTATCCCTTTGCAGATTCTACAAAAAGAGTGTTTCAAAACTGCTCAATCAAAAGAAAGGATCAATTATGTGAGTTTAATACACACATAACAAAGAAGTTTCTGAGAATGCTTCTGTCTAGTTTTTATGTGAAGATGTTTCCTTTTCCACCATAGGCCACGTAGCGCTCCAAATATCCACTTGCATATTATACAAAAAGAGTGTTTCAAAACTGCTCAAACAAAAGAAAGTTTCAACTCTCTGAGATGAATGCACACATCACAAAGAAGTTTCTCAGAATGCCTCTGTCTAGTTTTTATGGGAAGAAATTTACTTTTCCACCTTAAGCCTCAAAGCGCTCCTAATATCCATTTGCAGATACTACAAAGAGATGGTTTCCAAACTGCTCAATCAACAGAAATGTTTAACTCTCTGAGTTGAATTCACACATATCAAAGAAGTTTCTCAGAATGCTTCTGTTTAGTTTTTATGTGAAGATATTTCCTTTTCCACCATAGGCCTCAATGCTCTCGAAATATCCACATGTAGATTCTACAAAAGGAGTGTTTCACAACTGCTCAATCAAAAGAAATATTCAGCTCTGTGAGATGAATACACACATCACATAGAAGTTCCTCAGAAGGCTTCTGTCTAGTTTTTAAGTGAGGATATTTCCTTTTCCACTGCAGGCAGCAAAGCACTCCATATATCCACTAGCAGACTCTACAAAAAGAGTGTTTCAAAACTACTCAATTAAAAGAAAGTTTCGACACTTTGAGATGAATGCACACATCACAAAGAAGTTTCCCAGAATGCTTTTATCTAGTTCTTATTTGAAGATATTTCCTTTTCCACCATAGACCACAAATCGCTGGAAATACACTTTTGCAGATACTACAAAAAGACTGTTTCCAAACTGCTCAGTCAAAAGAAATGTTCAATTCTGTGAGTTGAATGCACACAAAGAAGTTTCTCAGAATGGTTCTGACTAGTTTTTATGGGAAGTTATTTCCTTTTCCAACATAGGTCTAAATGCGCTCCAAATATCCACTTGCAGATTCTACAAAAAGAGTATTTCAAAACTTCTCAATCAAAAGAAATGTTCAACTTTGTGAGATGAATGCACACATCACAAAGAAGTTTCTCAGAGGCTTCTGTGTAGTTTTTATGTGAAGATATTTCCTTTTCCATCATAGGCTTCAAAACGTAGCAAATATTCACCTGCAGATTATACAAAAAGAGTGTTTCAAAACTGCTCAATCAAAAGAAATGTTCAACTCTGTGAGATGAATGCACACATCACAAAGAAGTTTCTCAGAAGGCTTCTGTCTACTTTTCATGTGAAGATATTTCCCTTTTCACCATAGGCCTTAAACCGGTCACAAATATCCCTCTGCAGATAGTTCAAAAAGAATGTTTCCAAACTGCTCCATAAAAGAAAGTTTCAACTCCGTGAGATGAATGCACACAACACAAAGAAGTTTCTCAGAATACGTCTGAGTAGTTTTTATGTGAAGATATTTCCTTTTTCACCATAGGCCTTAAACCGGTCAGAAATATCCCTTTGCAGATACTCTACAAAGATTGTTTCCAAACTGTTCCAACAAAAGAAAGGTTCAACTCTGTGAGATGAATGCACACATCACAAAGAAGTGTGTCAGAACGCTTCTGTCTAGTTTTTATGTGAAGATATTTCCTATTTAACCATAGGCCATAAAAGGCTCACAAATATCCCTGTGCAGATTCTACGAAAAGACACTTTCCAAACTGCTCCATGAAAAGAAATGTTCAATTCTGTGAGATGAATGCACACATCACAAAGAAGTTTCTCAGAATTCTTCCATATCGTTTTTATGTGAAGATATTTCCTTTTTCACAATAATTGTCAAGGTGCTTCAAATATCCATTTGCAGATTCTACAAAAATACTGTTTCCAACCTGCTCAATGAAAAGAAAAGTTCAACTCTGTGAGATGAAAGCATTCATCACATCACAAGGAAGTTTCTCAGAAAACTTCTGTCTAGTTTTTATGTCATGATATTTCCTATTTCACCACAGGCCGTAAAGGGCTCACAAATATCCCTGTGCAGAATCTACGAAAAGACTCTTTCCAAACTGCTCAATCAAAAGAAAGTTTCGCCTCTGTGAGATGAATGCACATATCACAAAGAAGTTTCTCAGAATGTTTCTGTCTAGTTTTTAAGTGAAGATATTTCTTTTTCACAGTAGGTCTCAAACGGCTCGGAAATATCCCTTTGCACATTGTACAAAAAGACTGTTTCCAAACTGTTCAATCAAAAGAAAAGTTCAACCCTGTGAGATGAATAGAGGCTTCATAAAGAAGTTTATCAGAATGCTTCTGTTTAGTTTTTATGTGAAGATACTTCCTTTTTCACCGTAGGCCTCCAAGTGCTCCAAATATACATTTGCATATTCTACAAAAAGACTGTTTCCAAATTATTCAATCAAAAGAAAGGTTCACCTCAGTGAGATGAATGCACACATCACAAAGAAGTTTCTCAGAAATCTTCTGTCTAGTTTTTATGTGTAGATATTTCCTTTTTCACCATAGGTCTCAAAGTGCTCCAAATATCCATGTATAGATTGAACAAAAGGACTGTTTCGAAACTGCTCAGTCAAAAGAAAGGTTTAGCTCTTTGAGATGAATGCACACATCACAAAGAAGTTTGTCAGAATGCTTCTGTCTAGTTTTTATGTGAAGATATTTCCTTTTTCACCATATTCCTTAAACTGGTCACAAATATCACTCTGCAGATACACAGAAAGACTGTTTCCAAAGTACGCCATCAAAAGAAATGTTCAATTCTGTGAAATGAACACACACATGACAAGAATTTTTTCAGAATGCTTCTGTCTAGATTTTATGTGAAGATATTACCTTTTTCACCACAGACCTCAAAGCACACCAAATGTCCATTTGCAGATTATACAAAAAGACTTTTTCCAAACTGCTCAATCAAAAGGAAGGTTCAACTCTGTGAGATGAAAGCACACATCACAAAGAGGTTTCTCAGAAAACTTCTGTGTAGCATTTATGTGAAAATATTTACTGTTTCATTGTAGGCCTTAAAAGGCTCAAAAATATCCCAATGCAGATTCTACCAAAAGACTGTTTCCAAACTGCTCTATCAAAAGAAAGATTCACCTCTTTGTGATGAATGCACACATCATAAAGAAGTTTCTCAGAATGCCTCTGTCTAGTTTTTATGTGAAGATATTTCTTTTACACCATAGGCCTCAAACGGCTCGGAAATATCCCTTTGCAGATTGTACAAAAAGACTGTTTCCAAACTGCTCTATCAAAACAAAGTTTCAACTCTGTGAGATGAGTGCGCTCTTCACAAAGAAATTTCTCAGAATGCTTCTGACTAGTTTTTATGGGAAGATATTTCCTTTTCCACCATAGGCCACACAGTGCTCCATATATCCATTTGCAGTTTCTACAAAAAGAGTGTTTCCAACCTGCTCAGTCAAAAGAAAGGTTAAACTCAGCGAGATGAATGCACACATCCCAAAGAAGTTTCTCAGAATGCTTCTCTCTAGTTTTTATATGAAGATATTTCCTTTTTCACCATAGGCCTCAAAGTGCTCCAAATATGCATTTGCAGATTCTACAAAAAGAGTGTTTCCAACCTGCTGAATCAAACGAAAGGTTCAACTCTGTGAGATGAATGCACACATCACAAAGAAGTTTCTCAGAATGCTTCTGTCTAGTTTTCATGTGAAAATACTTCCTTTTTCACCATAGTCCTCAAAGCGCTCCAAATATGCATTTGCAGATACTAAAATACGACTGTTTCCAAACTGCTCAATGGAAAGAAGTGTTCAACTCTGTGAGATGAAAGCATACATCACAAAGTAGTTTATCACAAAGCTTCTGTTCAGTTTTTATATGAAGATATTTCCTATTTCACCATAGGTCATAAAGGGCTCACAAATATCCCTGTGCAGATTCTACGAAAAGAATGTTTCCTAACTGCTCAATCAATAGAAAGGTTCAACTCTGTGAGATGAATGCAGGCATCAGAAAGAAGTTTCTCAGAATGCTTCTGTCTAGTTTTTATGTGTAGATATATCTTTTTCACCATAGGCCTCAAAGGGCTCGGAAACATTCATTTGCAAATTGTACAAAAAGACAGTTTCCAAAGTGCTCAATAAAAGAAAGGTTCAACCGTGTGAGATGAATTCAGGCATCACAAAGAAGTTTCTCAGAATGCTTCTTTCTGGTTTTCATGTGAAGATATTTCCTTTTTCACTGTAGGCCTAAAAGGGCTCCAAATATCCTTTTGCAGATTCTTCAAAAACACTGTTTCCAAACTGCTCAATCAAAAGACAGGTTCAACTCTGAGAGATGAATGTACACATCACAAAGATGTTTCTCAGAATGCATCTGTCTAGTTTTTATGTGAAGATATTTCTTATTTCACAATAGGCCATAAAGGGCTCGCAAGTATCCCTGTGCAGATTCTACGAAAAGACTGTTTCCAAATTGCTCAATCAAAAGAAAGTTTCAACTCTGTGAGATGAATGCACACATCACAAATAACTTTATCTGAAAGCTTCTGTTTAGTCTTTATGGGAAGATATTTCCTTTTTCACCATAGGTCTCAAAGCGCTCCAAATATCTATTTGCAGATTCTACAAAAAGAGTGTTTCCAAACTGCTCAATCAGAAGAAAGATTCAACTCGGAGATGAATGCACACATCACAAAGAAGTTTCTAAGAATGTTTCTGTCTAGTTTTTATGTGAAGATATTTCCTTTTTCACCATAGTCCTTAAACAGGTCACAAATATCCCTTTGCAGATACTACAAAAAGACTCTTTCCAAAGTGTGCCATCAAAAGAAAGGTTCAACCCTGTGAGATGAATGCAGGCATCACAAAGAAGTTTCTCAGAATGCTTCTGTTTAGTTTGAATGTGAAGATATTTCCTTTTTAAATATAGGCTTCAAAGGGCTCCAAATATCCCTTTGCAGATTCTAAGAAAACACTGTTTCCAAACTGCTCAATCAAAAGAAAGGTTCAACTCTGTGAGATGAATACACACATCACAAAGAAATTTATCGAATGCTTCTGTCCAGTTTTTATGGGAAGATATTTCCTTTTTCACCATAGGCCTCAAAGCACCCCAAATATCCATGTGCAGATTCTACAAAAAGACTGTTTCCAAACTGCTCAATGAAAGGAAAGATTCAACTCTGTGAGATGAATGCTCACATCACAAAGAAGTTTCTAGGAATGCTTCTGTCTAGTTTTTATGTGAAGATATTTCCTTTTTCACTATAGGCCTTAAACCGGTCACAGATATCCCTCTGCAGATACTACAAAAAGACTGTTTCCAAAGTGCTCCATATAAAGAAAGGTTCACCTCTGTGAGATGAATGCACACATGACAAAGAAGTTTCTCAGAATGCTTCTGTCTACTTTTTATGGCAGGATATTTAATTTTTCACCACAGGCTTCAAAGCGAACCAAATATCCATTTGCAGAATCTACAAAAAGAACAGTCTTTTTGTTTCCAAACTGCTCAATCAAAAGAAAGTTTCAACTCTGTGAGATGAAAAAACACATCACAAAGAAGATTCTCAGAAAGCTTCTGTCTACTTTTTATGTGAAGATATTTCCTGTTTCACCATAGGCCTTACAGGGCTCACAAATATCCCTGTGCAGATTCTTCAATAAGACTGTTTCCAAACTGCTCAATCAAAAGAAAGTTTCAGCACTGTGAGTTGAATGCACACACCACAAAGAAGTTTCTCAGAATGCTTCCATCTAGTTTTTATGGGAAGACATTTCCTATTTCACAATAGGCTGTGAAGGGCTCACAAATATCCTTGTGCAGATACTATGAAAAGACTGTTTCCAAACTGCTCAATCAAAAGAAAGGTTCAACTCTGTTAGTTGAATGCACACATCACAAAGAAGTTTCTCACAAGGTTCTGTTTAGTTTTAAGGGGAAGATATTTCCTTTTTCACCATAGGCCTTAAACTGGTCAAAAATATCCCTCTGCAGATACTTCAAAAACACTGTTTCCAAACTGGTCCATCAAAGGAAGTTTCACTTCTGTGAGATGAATGAACACATCACAAAGAGGTTTCTCAGAACGCTTCTGTCTAGTTTTTATGTGAAGATATTTCCTTTTTCACCATAGGCCTGAAAGCACTCCAAATATCCATTTGCAGATTCTTCAGAAATAGTGATTCCAACCTGCTCAATCAAACGAAAGGTTCAGCTCTGTGAGATGAATGCTCACATCACAAAGACGTTGTGCAGAATGCTTCTGTCTAGTTTTTATGTGAAGATATTTCCTTTTTCACCATAGGCCTCAAAGCACTCCAAATATCCATTTATAGATTCTACAAAAACAGAGTTTCCAGCATGCTCAATCAAAAGAAAGGTTCAACTCTGTGAGATGAATGTGCACATCACAAGGAAGTTTCTCAGAAAGCTTCTGTCTAGTTTTTATGTGAAGATATTTACTTTTTCACTGTAGGCCCCAAAACGCTCAGAAATTTCTCTTTTAAGTATCTACAAAAAGACTGTGTCAAAACTGCTCAATCAAAAGAAAGATTCAACTCTGTGAGATAAATGCACACATCACAAAGAGGTGTCTCAGAAAGCTTCTGTCTAGTTTTTATGTTAAGAGATTTCCTTTTTCACCACAGGCCTCAAAGGGCTCCAAAACATCCCTTTGCAGATTCAGTGAAAACACTGTCTCCAAACTGCTGAATCAAAAGAAAGTTTGAAGTCTGTTAGATGAATGAACCCATCACAAAAAGTATCTCAGAAAGCTGCCATCTAGTTTTTACTTGAAGATATATCCTCTTTCAACATAGGCCTCAAAGGGCCCTCAAATACTCCTTTGCAGATTCCACAAAATGACTTTTTCCAAACCGCTCAATCAAAAGAAACTTTCAACTCTCTGAGATGAATGCACTCATGACAAATAAGTTTCACAGAAATCTTCCGTCTAGTTTTTTTGTGAAGATATGTCCTTTTTCACCATAGACTTCAAACCACTCAGAAATATCCCTTTGCAGATTCAACAAAAAGACTGTTTCCAAACTTTTCCATCAAAAGAAAGGTTCAACTCTGTGCGATGCATGCAGGCATCACAAAGAAGTTTCTCAGAATGCTTCTGTCTAGCTTTTATGGGAAGATATTTCCTTTTTCACCATCGGCCTCACAACGCTCCAAGTATGCATTTGTAGATTCTACAAAAAGTCTGTTTCCATACTGCTCAATGAAAAGAAATTTTCAACCCTGTGAGATGAATGCACACATCCCAAAAAGATTCTCAGAATGCTTCTGTCTAGTTTTTATGTGAAGATATTTCCTATTTCATCATAAACCATAAAAGGCTCACAAATATCCCTGTGCAGATTCTATGAAAAGACTTTACAAACTGTTCAACCAAAAGAAAGTTTCAACACTGTGAGATGAATGTACACATCACAAAGAGGTTTATCAGAACGCTTCTGTCTAGTTTTTATGTGAAGATATTTCCTTTTTCACATTAGGCTTCAATGCGCTCCAAATACCCCTTTGCAGATTCTACAAAAAGACTGTTTCCAAACTGCTCAATCAAAAGAAAATTTCAACTGTGTGAGATGAAAGCATACATCACAAAGATGTTTCTCATAAAACTTCAGTCTAGTTTTTATGTGAAGATATTTCCTATTTTACCATGGGCCAAAAAGGGCTCACAAATACCGCTGTGCAGATTCTACAAAAAGACTGTTTCCAAACTGCTCAATCAAAAGAAAACTTCAACTCTGTGAAATGAATGCACTCTTCATGAAGATGTTTCTCATAATGCTTCTGTCTACTTTTTATGGGAAGATATTTTCTTTTTCACCAAAAGGCCTTAAACTGGTCACAAATATCCCTCTGCAGATACTACAAAAAACTTTTTCCAAAGAAGGGTTCAACTCGGTGAGATGAATGCACACATCACAAAGAAGTTTCTCAGAAGGCTTCTGTGTAGTTTTTATGTGAAGATATTTCCTTTTCCATCATAGGCCTAGAAAGCGTAGCAAATATCCACTTGCAGATACTACAAAAAGACTGTTTCCAAACTGCTCAATCAAAAGAAAGGTTCAATTCTGTGAGTTGAATGCACACATAACAAAGAAGTTTCTCACAATGCTTCTGTCTAGTTTTTATGTGAAGATATTTCCTTTTCCCCCAAAGGCCACAAGGCACTCGAAATATCCACTTGCACATTCTTCAAAAACAGTGTTTCAATATTGTTCAATCAAAGGAAGGGTTCAAATCTGTGAGATGAATGCACACATCACAAAGAAGTTTCTCAGAATGCTTCTGTCTAGTTTTTATGTGAAGATATTTCCTTTTCCACCATAGGCCTCTAAGCCCTAGAAATATCCATTTGTAGATACTGCGAAAGACTGTTTCAAACTGCTCCATCAAAGGAAAGGTTCATCTCTGCGAGTTGAATACACATATTTCAGAGAAGTTTCTCAGAATGCTTTTCTGAAGTTTTTATGTGAAGATATTTCCTATTTCACCATAGGCCAAAAAGGGCTCACAAATATCCCTGCGCAGATTCTATGAAAAGACTTTTTCCAAGCTGCTCAATCAAAAGAAAGTTTCAGTTCTGTGAGATGAAAGCACACATCACAAAGAAGTTTCTCAGAATTCCTCTGTCTAGTTTTTATGTGTAGATATTTCCTTTTTCACCATAGGCCTTAATCCAGTCACAAATATTCCACTGCAGATACCACAAAAAGACTGTATCCAAAGTGCTCCATCAAAATAAAGGTTCAACTCTGTGAGATGAATGCAAAAATCACAAAGAAGTTTCTCAGAATGCTTCTGTCTAGTTTTTATGTGAAGATATTTCCTTTTTCAACATAGACCTCAAAGCGTTCCAAATATCCATTTGGAGATTCTACCAAACGAATATTTCCAAACTGCTCAATCAAATGTAAGGTTCAACTCTGTGAGATGAATGCACACATCACAAAGAAGTTTCTCAGAAAGCTTCTGTTTAGTTTTTACATGAAGATATTTCCTTTTTCAACATAGACCTCAAAGCATTCCAAATAACCATTTGGAGATTCTACCAAAAGAATGTTTCCAAACTGCTCCATCAAAAGAAAGTTCATCTCTGTGAGATTAAAGCACACATCACAAAGACGTTTCTCAGAATGCTACTGTCTAGTTTTTATGTGAAGATATTTCCTTTTTCACCATAGGCCTCAAAGAGATCCAAATATTCATTTGCAGATTCTACAGAAAAGTTGTTTCCAAAGTGCTCAATCACAAGAAAGTTTCAACTCTGTGAGATTAATGCACACATCACAAAGATGTTTCTCAGAATTCTTCTGACTAGTTTTCATGTGAATGTATTTCCTTTTTCACCGTATTCCCTAAAGTAGTCACAAATATCCCACTGCAGATACTGCAAAAAGACTGTTTCCAAAGTGCTCCATCAAAAGAAAGGTTCAACTCTGTGAGATGAATGCCCACATCACAAAAATGTTTCTCAGAATACTTCTGTCTAGTTTTTATGTGAAGATATTTCCTTTTTCACCATAGGCCTTAAACCGGTCACAAATATCCCTCTGCATATAATACAAAAAGACAGTTTCCAAAGTGCTCCATCAAAAGAAAGGTTCAATTCTGTGAGATGAATGCACACATCACAAATTAGTTTCTCAGAATGCTTCTGTCTAGTTTTTATGGGAAGATATTTCCTTTTTCACCATAGGCTTCAAAGCACTCCAAATATCCATTTGCAGATTCTAAAAAAAGAGTTTTTCCAAACTGCTCAATCAAAAGAAAGGTTCAACACTGTGAGATGAATGCACACATCACAAAGAAGTTTCTCAAAATGATTCTCTCTAGTTTTTATGTGAAGATATTTCCTATTTCACCAAAGGCCCTAAATGGCTCACAAATATCCCTGTGTAGGTTCTGCGAAAAGACTGTTTCCAAGCTGCTCAAACAAAAGAAAGTATCATCTCTGTGAGATGAATACACACATCACAAAGAAGTTTCTCAGAAGGCTTCTTTCTAGATTTTATGTGTAGATATTTCTTTTTCACCATAGTCCTCTAATGGCTCAGAAATATCCATTTGCATATTGTACAAAAAGACTGTTTCCAAACTGTTGAATCAAAAGAAAAGTTCAACACTGTGAGATGAATGTACACATCACAAAGAAGTTGCACCGAATGCTTCTGTCTAGTTTTTATGTGAGGACATTTCCTTTTTCACCATATGCCCCTAAGCACTCCAAATATCCATTTGCAGATTCTAAATAAAGAGTGTTTCCAACCTGCTCAATCAAAAGAGAGGTTCAACCCTGTGAGATGAATGCACAAATGACAAAGAAGTTTCTCAGAATGCTTCTGTCTGGTTTTTATGTGAAGACATTTCTTATTTCACCACAGGCCATAAAGTGCCCACAAATATCCCTGGGCAGATTCTACCAAAAGACTGTTTCCAAACTGCTCAATCAAAAGAAAGTTCAACTCCAAGAGATGAATGCACACATTCAAAGAAGTTTGTCAGAATTCTTCTCTCTAGTTTTTATGTGAAGATTTTTTTTCACCATAGGCCTCAAACAGCTCAGAAATATCCCTTTGCAGAATGTACAAAAAGACTGTATCCAAACTGCTCAATCAAGGGAAAGATTCAACTCAGTGAGATGAATGCAGGTATCACAGAGAAGTTTCTCAGAATGCTTCTGTCTAGTTTTTATGTGAAGATATTTCCTTTTTCGCCACAGGCCTCATGGCGCTCCAAATATCCTTTTGCAGATTCTACAAAAAGACTGTTTCCAAACTGCTCAATCAAAAAGAGGTTTCAACTCTGTGAGATGAATGCACACATCACAAAAAGTTTCTCAGAATGCTTCTGTCTAGTTTTTATGTGAAGATATTTCCGTTTTCACCATAGGCCTCAAAGCACTCCAAATATCCATTTGCAGATTCTACAAAAAGAGGGTTTCCAAACTGCTGAATCAAAAGAAAGGTTCAATTCTGTGAGATAAATGCACACATCATAAAAAGTTTCTCAGAATGCTCTGTCTAGTTTTTATGTGAAGATATTTCCTTTTTCACCGTAGGCCTCAAAGAGCTCCAAATGTCCACTTGCAGGTTCTATAAAAAGGGTGTTTCAAAACTGCTCTATGAAAAGAAAGTTTCAACTCTGTGAGTTGAATGCACACAACACAAAGAAGTTTCACAGAATGCTTCTGTCTAGTTTTTATGTGAAGATATTTCCTTTTTCGCCATAGGCCTCAAACCGCTCCAAATGTCCACTTGCAGGTTCTACAAAAAGACTGTGTCCAAACTGCTAAATCGAAAGAAAGGTTAAACTCTGTGAGGTGAATGCACACATCACAAAGAAGTTTCTCAGAAAGCTTCTGTCTAGTTTTTATGTGATGATATTTCCTTTTTCACCATGGGCCTCAAAAGGATTCCAAATATCCCTTTGCAGATTCTACAAAAATACTGTTTCCAAACTGCTCATTCAAAAGAAAAGTTCAACTCTGTGAGTTGAATGGACACATCAAAACGAAGTTCCTCAGAAAGCTTCTGTTTTGTTTTTATGTGAAGATATTTCCTTATTCACCATAGGCCTCAAAATACTCATAAATATCCCCTTGCAGATTCTATAAAAAGACAGTTTCCAAACAGCTCCATGGGAAGAAAAGTTCACCTCTGTGTGATGAATGCACACATCACAAAGAAATTTCTCAGAAAGCTTCTGTCTGGTTTTTATGTTAAGATATTTCCTTTTTCACTATAAGCCTCAAAGGGCTCCCAAATATCCCTTTGCAGATTCTACAAGAAGGCTGTTTCCAAATTGCTCAATCAAGAGAGATGTTCAACTCTGTGAGATGAAAACATACATCGCAAAGAAGTTTCTCAGAAATTTTCTGTATAGTTTTTATTTGAAGATAGTTCCTGTTTCACAACAGGCCATAAAGTGCTCACAAATATACCTAAGCAGATTCTACAAAAAGACTGTTTCCAAAACGCTCAAAAGAAAGATTAAACACTGTGAGATGAAGGCACACAGCACAAAGAGTTTTTCAGAATGCTTCTGTCTAGTTTTTATGTGAAGATATTTTCTTTTTCACCATAGGCCATAAACTGGTCACAAATATCAACCTGCAGATTCTTCAAAAAGACTGTGTCCAAACTGCTACATCAAAAGAAAGGTTCAAGTGTGTGAGATGAATGCAGGCACGACAGAGAAGTTTCTCAGAATGCGTCTGTCTAGTTTTTATGTGAAGATATTTCCTTTTTCACCTTAGGCCTCAAAGCACTCCAAATATCCATTTGCAGACTCTATAAAACACTGTTTCCAAAACTGCTCAATCAAAAGAAAGGTTTAACTCTGTGAGATGAATGCACACATTACAAAGAAGTTTCTCAGAATGCTTCTGTCAAGTTTTTATGTGAAGATATTTCCTTTTTCACCATAAACCTCAAGGCGCTCCAAATATAGACTTGCAGATTCTACAAAAACAGTGTTTCAAAACTGCTCCATCAAAGGAAAGGTTCAACTCTGTGAGATGAATGCACCCATCACAAAGAGGTTTCTCAGAATGCTTCTGTCTAGTTTTTATGTGAAGATATTTCCTATTTCATCATAAACCATAAAAGGCTCACAAATATCCCTGTGCAGATTCTATGAAAAGACTTTACAAACTGTTCAACCAAAAGAAAGTTTCAACACTGTGAGATGAATGTACACATCACAAAGAGGTTTATCAGAACGCTTCTGTCTAGTTTTTATGTGAAGATATTTCCTTTTTCACATTAGGCTTCAATGCGCTCCAAATACCCCTTTGCAGATTCTACAAAAAGACTGTTTCCAAACTGCTCAATCAAAAGAAAATTTCAACTGTGTGAGATGAAAGCATACATCACAAAGATGTTTCTCATAAAACTTCAGTCTAGTTTTTATGTGAAGATATTTCCTATTTTACCATGGGCCAAAAAGGGCTCACAAATACCGCTGTGCAGATTCTACAAAAAGACTGTTTCCAAACTGCTCAATCAAAAGAAAACTTCAACTCTGTGAAATGAATGCACTCTTCATGAAGATGTTTCTCATAATGCTTCTGTCTACTTTTTATGGGAAGATATTTTCTTTTTCACCAAAAGGCCTTAAACTGGTCACAAATATCCCTCTGCAGATACTACAAAAAACTTTTTCCAAAGAAGGGTTCAACTCGGTGAGATGAATGCACACATCACAAAGAAGTTTCTCAGAAGGCTTCTGTGTAGTTTTTATGTGAAGATATTTCCTTTTCCATCATAGGCCTAGAAAGCGTAGCAAATATCCACTTGCAGATACTACAAAAAGACTGTTTCCAAACTGCTCAATCAAAAGAAAGGTTCAATTCTGTGAGTTGAATGCACACATAACAAAGAAGTTTCTCACAATGCTTCTGTCTAGTTTTTATGTGAAGATATTTCCTTTTCCCCCAAAGGCCACAAGGCACTCGAAATATCCACTTGCACATTCTTCAAAAACAGTGTTTCAATATTGTTCAATCAAAGGAAGGGTTCAAATCTGTGAGATGAATGCACACATCACAAAGAAGTTTCTCAGAATGCTTCTGTCTAGTTTTTATGTGAAGATATTTCCTTTTCCACCATAGGCCTCTAAGCGCTAGAAACATCCCTTTGCAGATTCTACAAAAAGACTGTTTCCAAATTGCTCAATCAAAAGAAAGGTTCAGCTCTGAGAGATGAAAGCACACATCACACAGAAGTTTCTCAGAAAACTTCTGTCTAGTTTTTATATGAAGATATTTCCTTTTTCACCATAGGCCTCAAAGGGCACTCAAATATCCCCTTTCAGATTCCACAAAAAGACTTTTTCCAAACTGCTCAATAAAAAGAAAGTTTCAACTCTGTGAGATGAATACACTCATTTCAAAGAAATGTCTCAAAAACTTCTGTCTAGTTTTTATGTGAAGATATTTCCTCTTTCACCATAGGCCTCAAACCACTCAGAAATATCCCATTGCAGATTCTACGAAAAGACTGTTTCCAAACTGCTCAATCAAAAGAAAGATTCAACTCTGTGTGATAAATGCAGGCATCACAAAGAAGTTTCTCCGTAAGATTCTGGCTAGTTTTTATGTGAAGATATTTCTTTTTCACCATTGGCCTCAAAGGGCTCCCAAACATCCCTTTGCGGATTCTACAAAAAGATTATTTCCAAAATGCTCAATCAAAAGAAAGTTTGAACTCTGTGAGATGAATTCACGCATCATGAAGAAGTTTCTCAGAAAGTTTCTGTCTAGTTTTTATGTGAAGATATTTCCTTTTTCACCATAGACCTCAAAGGACCCTCAAATATCCCTTTGTAGATTCAACAAAAAAGACTGTTTCCAAATTGCTGAATCAAAAAAAAGGTTCAACTCTGTGAGGTGAATGCAAACACCACAAAGAAGTTTCTCAGAGATCTTCTGTCTAGTTTTTAGGTGAACATATTTACTTTTTCACCATAGGCCTCAAACTGCTCCGAAACACCTCTTGGCAGATTCTAGAAAAAGACTGTTTCCAAACACCTCAATCAAAAGAAAGGTTCAACTCTGTGAGATGAACGCACACATCACAAAGAAGTTTCTCAGAAAGACTCTGTCTACTTTTTAGGTGAAGATATTTACTTTTTCAACATAGGCCTCAAGGGGCTCCCAAATATCCGTTTGCAGATTCTACAAAAAGACTGTTTCCAAACTGCTCAATCAAATGAAAATTTCAAATCCGTGAGATGAATGCACACATCACAAAAAAAGTTTCTCAGAAAGGTTCTGTATAGTTTTTTTGTGAAGATATTTCATCTTCCACCATAGGCCTCAAAACGCCCCCAAGTCTCCCTTTGTAGATTCTACAAAAAGATAGTTTCCAACTGCTTAATTGAAGGAAAGTGTCAACTCTGTGAGATGAATGCATACATGACAAAGAAGTCTCTCAGAAAGCTTTTGTCTAGTTTTTATATGAAGATATTTTCTTTTTCAACATAGGCCTCAAACCACTCAAAAATATCCCTTTGCAGATTCTACAAAAAGGTTTTTTGCAAACTTCTCAATCAAAAGAAAGGTCCAAGTCTGTGAGATGAATGCACACATCACAAAGAAGTTTCTCAGAAAGATTCTACTTTTTAGGTGAAGATAATTCCTTTTTCAACGTAAGCCTCAGTTAGCTCCAAAATATCCCTTTGCAGATTCTAAAAAGGTTTCCAAGCTGCTCAGTCAAAAGAATGTTTGAACTTCATGAGATGAATGCACGCATCACAAAGAAGTTTCTAAGAAATATTCTCTCTACTTTTTAGGTGAAGATATTTCCTTTTTCAACGTAGGCCTCAAGGGGCTCTCAAATATCCCTTTGAAGATTCTACAAAAAGGCTATTTCCAAACTGCTCAATCAAAAGAAATTTTCAAATCTGTGAGATGTATGTAAGCATCACAACGAAGTTTCTCAGAGAGCTTCTGTGTAGTTTTTAAGTGAAGATATTTCCTTTTTCACCATAGGCCTCAAAGGGATCCCAAATATCCGTTTGCAAATTCTACAAAAATACTGTTTCCAAACTGCTCATTCAAAAGAAAAGTTCAACTCTGTAAGTTGAATGCATACATCACAAAGAAGTTTCTCACAAAGCTTCTCCCTAGTTTTTAGGTGAAGATATTTGCTTTTCCACCATGGGCCTCAATGGGATCCAAAATATCCCTTGCAGATTCTACAAAAATTCTGTTTCCAAACTGCTAAATCAAAACACAGTTTTAATCCTGTGATATGAATGCGCACATCACAAAGAAGTTTCTCAGAAAGATTCTGTCTAGTTTTTATATGAAGATATTCCCTTTTTCACCCTAGGCCTCAAACCACTCAGAAATATCCCTCTGCAGATACTATAAAAAGACTCTTTCCAAAGTGCTCCATCAAAAGAAAGTTTCAATTCTCTGAGATTAATGCACTCATCACATAGAAGTTTCTCAGAAACTTTCTGTCCAGTTTTTATGTGAAGATATTTCCTTTTTCACCATAAGCCTCAAAGCCCCCACATATATCCCTTTGCAGATTCCACAAAAAGTCTGGTTCCAAACTGCTCATTCAAAAGAAAGGTTCAACTCTGTGAGATGAATGCACTCATTACAAAGAAGTTTCTCAGAAATCTTCTGTCTACTTTTTATGTGAAGATATCTCCTTTTTCACCATAGTCCTCAAAGGGCTCCCAAATATCCCTTTGTAGATTCTAGAAGAAGACTGTTTCCAAACTGCCCAGTCAAAAGAAAGTTTCAACTCTGTGTGATGAATGCACGCATCACAAAGAAGTTTCTCAGAAAGCATCTGTCTAGTTTTTATGTGAAGATATTTCCTTTTCCACTGTAGGCCTTAAATCACCACCAAGTGTCCCTTTGCAGATTCTACAAAAACACTGTTTCCAAACTGCTCAGTCAAAAGAAAAATTCAACTCTGTGAGATGAATGCACACTTCAAAAAGAAGGTCCTCAGAAAGCTTCTGTCTTGTTTTTACGTGAAGATATTTCCTTATTCAACATAGGCCTCAAAATGCTCAGAAATATCCCGTTGTAGATTCTAGAAAAAGACAGTTTCCAAACTGCTCAGTCAAAAGAAAGGTTCAACTCTGTGAGATGAAGGCACACATCACAAAGAAGTTTCTCAGAAAGATTCTGTCTAGTTTTTATGTGAAGATATTTCCTTTTTCACCATAGGCTTCAAGGCGCTCAGAAATACCCCTTTGCAGTTTCCAGAAAAAGATTGTTTCCAAACTGTTCAATCAAAGGAAAGTTTCAACTCTGTGAGATGAATGCACACATCAAAATGAACTTTCTCAGAAAGCTTCTGTCGAGTTTTTAGGTGAACATATTTCCTTTTTCATCATAGGACTTAAACAGATCACAAATATCCCTCTGCAGATACTACAAAAAGACTGTTTCCAAAGTGATCCTTTAAAGAAAAGTTCAACTCTGTGAGATGAACACACACATCTCAAAGAAGTTTCTCAGAATGCTTCTGTCTAGTTTTTATGTGAAGATATTTTCTTTTTCACCCTAGGCCTTAAACTGGTCCCAAATATCCCTCTGCAGATACCTCAAAAAGACTGTTTCTAATGCTACATCAAAAGAAAGGTTCAGCTCTGTGAGATGAATGCACACATCAAAAAGATTTTTCTCAGAATGCTTCTGTCTATTTTTATGTGAAGATATTTCCCTTTTTACCTTAGGCCTTCATCAGGAAACAAATGTCCCTTTGCAGATACTGCAAAAAGACAGTTTCCAAACTGCTCCATGAAAAGAAAGGTTCAACTCTGTGAGATGAATGCACACATCAGAAAGAAGTTTCTCAGAATTCTTCTGTATAGTTTTTGTGTGAAGATATTTCCTTTTTCACCACAGGCCTCAAAGTGCTTCAAATATCCATTTGTAGATTTTACAAGAAGCCTGTTTCCAAACTGCTCAATCAAAAGAAAGTTTCAACTATGTGATATGAATGCACACATCAGAAAGAACTTTCTCAGAATGCTTCTGTTTAGTTTTTAAGAGAAGATATTTCCTTTTTCACCATAGGCCTCAAATCGCTCCAAATATCCATTTGCAGATTCTGAAAAAGAGTGTTTCCAACTTACTCAATCAAAAGAAAGGTTCGACTCCATGAGATGAATGCATGCATCCCAAAGAAGTTTCTCAGAATGCTTCTGTCTAATTTTAATGTGAAGATATTTCCTTTTTCACCATAGGCCTCAAAGCGCTCCAAATATCCATTTGCAGAGACTACAAAAAGTCTGTTTCCAAACTGCTCAATCAAAGAAAACAGTAAAATTCTGTGAGGTGAATGCACACATCACAAAGAAGTTTCTCAGACAGCTTCTGTTTAGCATTTATATGAAGATATATCATTTTTCACCATAGGCCTCAAAGCACTCCAAATATCCCTTTGCAGATTCTACAAGAAAAGTGCTTCCAAAGTGCTCAATCAAAAGAAAGGGAGATAAATGCACACATCAGAGAGAAGTTTCTCAGAAAGCTCTTGTCTAATTTTTATGTGTAGATATTTCCTATTTCACCATGGGATATAAAGGGCTCACAAATATCCCTGTGCAGATTCTGCAAAAAGACTGTTTCCAAACTGCTCAATCAACAGAAACGTTCTACTCTGTGAGATGAATGCACCCATCAAAAAGAAGTTTCTCAGAATGCTTCTGTCTAGTTTTTATGTGAAGATATTTCTTTTTCATGATAGGACTCAAACGGCTGGGAAATATCCCTTTGCCGATTGTACAAAAAGAATGTTTCCAAACTGCTCAGTCAAAATAAATATTCAACTCTGTTAGATGAATGCACTCATCACAAAGAAGTTTCTCAGAATGCTTCTGTCTAGTTTTTATGTGAAGATATTTCCTTTTTCACCATAGGCCTCAAATCCCTCCAAATATTCAATTGCAGATTCTTCAAAAAGACTGTTTCCAAGCTGCTCTATCAAAAGAAAGGTTCAACTCTGTGACAGGAATGCTCACATAACAAAGAATTTTCTCAGAATGCTTCTTTCTAATTTTTAAGAGAAGATATTTCCTTTTTCCCCATATGCCTCAAAGTGCTCCAAATATCCATTTGCAAATACTACAAAGAGAGTGTTTCCAACCTGCTCAATCAATAGAAAGGTTCAACTCTGTGAGATGAATGTATGCATCCTGAAGAAGTTTCTCAGAATGCTTCTGTCTAATTTTCGTGTGAAGTTATTTCCTTTTTCACCATAGGCCTCAAAACGTTCCAAATATCCATTTGCAGATACTGCAAAAAGAGTGTTTCCAAACTGCTCCATCAAAAGAAAGGTTCAACTCTGTGAGATGAATGCACACATAACAAATAAGTTTCTCAGAATATTTCTGCCTAGTTTTTATGTGAAGATACTTCCTTTATCAACATATTCCCTAAGATGCTTACAAATATCCCTCTGCAGATAGTACAAAAAGACTGTTTCCAAAGTGCTCCATTAAAAGAAAGGTTCAACCTTGTGAGATGAATGCACACATCACAAAGAAGTTTCTGAGAACACTTCTGTCTACTTTCTATGTGAAGATATTTCTTTTCCACCAGAACCCTCAAACGGCTTCGTAATATCCCTTTGCAGATTGTACAACAAGACTGTTTCCAAACTGCTCAATCAAATGATAGGTTCAACTCTTTGAGATGAATGGACACATCACAAAGAAGTTTCTCATAATTCTTCTATACAGTTTTTATGTGAAGATATTTCTTTTTCACCATAGGCCTCCAACAGCTCGGAAATATCCTTTTGCAGATTCTACAAAAAGAGTGTTTCCAAACTGCCCTATCAAAAGGAAGGTTCAACTCTGTGAGATGAATGGACACATCACGAAAACGTTTCTCAGAATGCTTCTGTCTAGTTTTCATAGGAAGATATTTCCTTTTTCACCATAGTCCTCACAGTGCTCCAAATATCCATTTGCAGATTCTACAAACAGAGTGTTTCCCACCTGCACAACCAAAAGAAAGGTTCAACTCTGTGAGATGAATGCACACATCACAAAGAAGTTTCTCAGAAGGCTTCTGTCTACTTTTCATGTGAAGATATTTCCCTTTTCACCATAGGCCTTAAACCGGTCACAAATATCCCTCTGCAGATAGTTCAAAAAGAATGTTTCCAAACTGCTCCATAAAAGAAAGTTTCAACTCCGTGAGATGAATGCACACAACACAAAGAAGTTTCTCAGAATACGTCTGAGTAGTTTTTATGTGAAGATATTTCCTTTTTCACCATAGGCCTTAAACCGGTCAGAAATATCCCTTTGCAGATACTCTACAAAGATTGTTTCCAAACTGTTCCAACAAAAGAAAGGTTCAACTCTGTGAGATGAATGCACACATCACAAAGAAGTGTGTCAGAACGCTTCTGTCTAGTTTTTATGTGAAGATATTTCCTATTTAACCATAGGCCATAAAAGGCTCACAAATATCCCTGTGCAGATTCTACGAAAAGACACTTTCCAAACTGCTCCATGAAAAGAAATGTTCAATTCTGTGAGATGAATGCACACATCACAAAGAAGTTTCTCAGAATTCTTCCATATCGTTTTTATGTGAAGATATTTCCTTTTTCACAATAATTGTCAAGGTGCTTCAAATATCCATTTGCAGATTCTACAAAAATACTGTTTCCAACCTGCTCAATGAAAAGAAAAGTTCAACTCTGTGAGATGAAAGCATTCATCACATCACAAGGAAGTTTCTCAGAAAACTTCTGTCTAGTTTTTATGTCATGATATTTCCTATTTCACCACAGGCCGTAAAGGGCTCACAAATATCCCTGTGCAGAATCTACGAAAAGACTCTTTCCAAACTGCTCAATCAAAAGAAAGTTTCGCCTCTGTGAGATGAATGCACATATCACAAAGAAGTTTCTCAGAATGTTTCTGTCTAGTTTTTAAGTGAAGATATTTCTTTTTCACAGTAGGTCTCAAACGGCTCGGAAATATCCCTTTGCACATTGTACAAAAAGACTGTTTCCAAACTGTTCAATCAAAAGAAAAGTTCAACCCTGTGAGATGAATAGAGGCTTCATAAAGAAGTTTATCAGAATGCTTCTGTTTAGTTTTTATGTGAAGATACTTCCTTTTTCACCGTAGGCCTCCAAGTGCTCCAAATATACATTTGCATATTCTACAAAAAGACTGTTTCCAAATTATTCAATCAAAAGAAAGGTTCACCTCAGTGAGATGAATGCACACATCACAAAGAAGTTTCTCAGAAATCTTCTGTCTAGTTTTTATGTGTAGATATTTCTTTTTCACCACAGGGCTCCAACGGCTTGGAAATATCCCTTTGTCGATTGTACAAAAGGACTATTTTGAAACTGCTCAGCCAAAAGAAAGGTTCAACTCTTTGAGATGAATGCACTCATCACAAAGAGGGTTCTCAGAATGATTCTGTCTAGTTTTTATAGGAAGATATTCCCTTTTTAACCGTAGTCCTCAAAGCACTCCAAATATCCATTTGCAGATTCTACAAATAGAGTTTTTCCAAACTGCTCAATCAAAAGAAAGGTTCACCCCTGTGAGATGAATGCAGGCATCACAAAGAAGTTTCTAAGAATGCTTCTGTCTTGTGTTTATGTGAAGATATTTCCTTTTTCACCGTAGGCCTCAAATGGCTCCAAATATCCATTTGCAGATTCTACAAAAACACGGTTTCCAAACTGCTCAATCAAAAGAAATGTTCAAATCTGTGAGAGGAATATACACGTCACAAAGAAGTTTCTCAGAATGCTTCTGTCTAGTTTTTATGGGAAGATATTTCCTATTTCACCATAGGCCATGAAGGGCTCCCAAAAGTCCCTGTTCAGATTGTACAAAAAGAATGTTTCCAAACTGCTCAATCAATAGAAAGATTCAACTCTGTGAGATGAATGCAGTCATCAAAAAGAAGTTTCTCAGAATGCTTCTGTCTAGTTTTTATGTGTAGATATATCTTTTTCACCATAGGCCTCAAAGGGCTCAGAAACATTCATTTGCAAATTGTACAAAAAGACAGTTTCCAAACTGCTCAATCAAAAGAAAGGTTCAACCGTGTGAGATGAATTCAGGCATCACAAAGAAGTTTCTCAGAATGCTTCTGTCTAGTTTTCATGTGAACACATTTCCTTTTTCACCGTAGGCCTAAAAGGGCTCCAAACATCCCTTTGCAGATTCTTCAAAAACACTGTTTCCAAACAGCTCAATCAAAAGAAAGGTTCAACTCTGAGGGATGAATGTACACATCACAAAAATGTTTCTCAGAATGCTTCTGTCTAGTTTTTATGTGAAGATATTTCCTATTTCACCATATGCCATAAAGGGCTCACAAATATCCCTGTGCAGATTCTATGAAAAGACTGTTTCCAAACTGCTCAATCAAAAGAAATGTTCAACTCTGTGAGATGAATGCACACATCACAAATAATTTTATCAGAAAGCTTCTGTTTAGTTTTTATGTGAAGATATTTCCTTTTTCACCATAGGTCTCAAAGTGCTCCAAATATCCATGTATAGATTGAACAAAAGGACTGTTTCGAAACTGCTCAGTCAAAAGAAAGGTTTAGCTCTTTGAGATGAATGCACACATCACAAAGAAGTTTGTCAGAATGCTTCTGTCTAGTTTTTATGTGAAGATATTTCCTTTTTCACCATATTCCTTAAACTGGTCACAAATATCACTCTGCAGATACACAGAAAGACTGTTTCCAAAGTACGCCATCAAAAGAAATGTTCAATTCTGTGAAATGAACACACACATGACAAGAATTTTTTCAGAATGCTTCTGTCTAGATTTTATGTGAAGATATTACCTTTTTCACCACAGACCTCAAAGCACACCAAATGTCCATTTGCAGATTATACAAAAAGACTTTTTCCAAACTGCTCAATCAAAAGGAAGGTTCAACTCTGTGAGATGAAAGCACACATCACAAAGAGGTTTCTCAGAAAACTTCTGTGTAGCATTTATGTGAAAATATTTACTGTTTCATTGTAGGCCTTAAAAGGCTCAAAAATATCCCAATGCAGATTCTACCAAAAGACTGTTTCCAAACTGCTCTATCAAAAGAAAGATTCACCTCTTTGTGATGAATGCACACATCATAAAGAAGTTTCTCAGAATGCCTCTGTCTAGTTTTTATGTGAAGATATTTCTTTTACACCATAGGCCTCAAACGGCTCGGAAATATCCCTTTGCAGATTGTACAAAAAGACTGTTTCCAAACTGCTCTATCAAAACAAAGTTTCAACTCTGTGAGATGAGTGCGCTCTTCACAAAGAAATTTCTCAGAATGCTTCTGACTAGTTTTTATGGGAAGATATTTCCTTTTCCACCATAGGCCACACAGTGCTCCATATATCCATTTGCAGTTTCTACAAAAAGAGTGTTTCCAACCTGCTCAGTCAAAAGAAAGGTTAAACTCAGCGAGATGAATGCACACATCCCAAAGAAGTTTCTCAGAATGCTTCTCTCTAGTTTTTATATGAAGATATTTCCTTTTTCACCATAGGCCTCAAAGTGCTCCAAATATGCATTTGCAGATTCTACAAAAAGAGTGTTTCCAACCTGCTGAATCAAACGAAAGGTTCAACTCTGTGAGATGAATGCACACATCACAAAGAAGTTTCTCAGAATGCTTCTGTCTAGTTTTCATGTGAAAATACTTCCTTTTTCACCATAGTCCTCAAAGCGCTCCAAATATGCATTTGCAGATACTAAAATACGACTGTTTCCAAACTGCTCAATGGAAAGAAGTGTTCAACTCTGTGAGATGAAAGCATACATCACAAAGTAGTTTATCACAAAGCTTCTGTTCAGTTTTTATATGAAGATATTTCCTATTTCACCATAGGTCATAAAGGGCTCACAAATATCCCTGTGCAGATTCTACGAAAAGAATGTTTCCTAACTGCTCAATCAATAGAAAGGTTCAACTCTGTGAGATGAATGCAGGCATCAGAAAGAAGTTTCTCAGAATGCTTCTGTCTAGTTTTTATGTGTAGATATATCTTTTTCACCATAGGCCTCAAAGGGCTCGGAAACATTCATTTGCAAATTGTACAAAAAGACAGTTTCCAAAGTGCTCAATAAAAGAAAGGTTCAACCGTGTGAGATGAATTCAGGCATCACAAAGAAGTTTCTCAGAATGCTTCTTTCTGGTTTTCATGTGAAGATATTTCCTTTTTCACTGTAGGCCTAAAAGGGCTCCAAATATCCTTTTGCAGATTCTTCAAAAACACTGTTTCCAAACTGCTCAATCAAAAGACAGGTTCAACTCTGAGAGATGAATGTACACATCACAAAGATGTTTCTCAGAATGCATCTGTCTAGTTTTTATGTGAAGATATTTCTTATTTCACAATAGGCCATAAAGGGCTCGCAAGTATCCCTGTGCAGATTCTACGAAAAGACTGTTTCCAAATTGCTCAATCAAAAGAAAGTTTCAACTCTGTGAGATGAATGCACACATCACAAATAACTTTATCTGAAAGCTTCTGTTTAGTCTTTATGGGAAGATATTTCCTTTTTCACCATAGGTCTCAAAGCGCTCCAAATATCTATTTGCAGATTCTACAAAAAGAGTGTTTCCAAACTGCTCAATCAGAAGAAAGATTCAACTCGGAGATGAATGCACACATCACAAAGAAGTTTCTAAGAATGTTTCTGTCTAGTTTTTATGTGAAGATATTTCCTTTTTCACCATAGTCCTTAAACAGGTCACAAATATCCCTTTGCAGATACTACAAAAAGACTCTTTCCAAAGTGTGCCATCAAAAGAAAGGTTCAACCCTGTGAGATGAATGCAGGCATCACAAAGAAGTTTCTCAGAATGCTTCTGTTTAGTTTGAATGTGAAGATATTTCCTTTTTAAATATAGGCTTCAAAGGGCTCCAAATATCCCTTTGCAGATTCTAAGAAAACACTGTTTCCAAACTGCTCAATCAAAAGAAAGGTTCAACTCTGTGAGATGAATACACACATCACAAAGAAATTTATCGAATGCTTCTGTCCAGTTTTTATGGGAAGATATTTCCTTTTTCACCATAGGCCTCAAAGCACCCCAAATATCCATGTGCAGATTCTACAAAAAGACTGTTTCCAAACTGCTCAATGAAAGGAAAGATTCAACTCTGTGAGATGAATGCTCACATCACAAAGAAGTTTCTAGGAATGCTTCTGTCTAGTTTTTATGTGAAGATATTTCCTTTTTCACTATAGGCCTTAAACCGGTCACAGATATCCCTCTGCAGATACTACAAAAAGACTGTTTCCAAAGTGCTCCATATAAAGAAAGGTTCACCTCTGTGAGATGAATGCACACATGACAAAGAAGTTTCTCAGAATGCTTCTGTCTACTTTTTATGGCAGGATATTTAATTTTTCACCACAGGCTTCAAAGCGAACCAAATATCCATTTGCAGAATCTACAAAAAGAACAGTCTTTTTGTTTCCAAACTGCTCAATCAAAAGAAAGTTTCAACTCTGTGAGATGAAAAAACACATCACAAAGAAGATTCTCAGAAAGCTTCTGTCTACTTTTTATGTGAAGATATTTCCTGTTTCACCATAGGCCTTACAGGGCTCACAAATATCCCTGTGCAGATTCTTCAATAAGACTGTTTCCAAACTGCTCAATCAAAAGAAAGTTTCAGCACTGTGAGTTGAATGCACACACCACAAAGAAGTTTCTCAGAATGCTTCCATCTAGTTTTTATGGGAAGACATTTCCTATTTCACAATAGGCTGTGAAGGGCTCACAAATATCCTTGTGCAGATACTATGAAAAGACTGTTTCCAAACTGCTCAATCAAAAGAAAGGTTCAACTCTGTTAGTTGAATGCACACATCACAAAGAAGTTTCTCACAAGGTTCTGTTTAGTTTTAAGGGGAAGATATTTCCTTTTTCACCATAGGCCTTAAACTGGTCAAAAATATCCCTCTGCAGATACTTCAAAAACACTGTTTCCAAACTGGTCCATCAAAGGAAGTTTCACTTCTGTGAGATGAATGAACACATCACAAAGAGGTTTCTCAGAACGCTTCTGTCTAGTTTTTATGTGAAGATATTTCCTTTTTCACCATAGGCCTGAAAGCACTCCAAATATCCATTTGCAGATTCTTCAGAAATAGTGATTCCAACCTGCTCAATCAAACGAAAGGTTCAGCTCTGTGAGATGAATGCTCACATCACAAAGACGTTGTGCAGAATGCTTCTGTCTAGTTTTTATGTGAAGATATTTCCTTTTTCACCATAGGCCTCAAAGCACTCCAAATATCCATTTATAGATTCTACAAAAACAGAGTTTCCAGCATGCTCAATCAAAAGAAAGGTTCAACTCTGTGAGATGAATGTGCACATCACAAGGAAGTTTCTCAGAAAGCTTCTGTCTAGTTTTTATGTGAAGATATTTACTTTTTCACTGTAGGCCCCAAAACGCTCAGAAATTTCTCTTTTAAGTATCTACAAAAAGACTGTGTCAAAACTGCTCAATCAAAAGAAAGATTCAACTCTGTGAGATAAATGCACACATCACAAAGAGGTGTCTCAGAAAGCTTCTGTCTAGTTTTTATGTTAAGAGATTTCCTTTTTCACCACAGGCCTCAAAGGGCTCCAAAACATCCCTTTGCAGATTCAGTGAAAACACTGTCTCCAAACTGCTGAATCAAAAGAAAGTTTGAAGTCTGTTAGATGAATGAACCCATCACAAAAAGTATCTCAGAAAGCTGCCATCTAGTTTTTACTTGAAGATATATCCTCTTTCAACATAGGCCTCAAAGGGCCCTCAAATACTCCTTTGCAGATTCCACAAAATGACTTTTTCCAAACCGCTCAATCAAAAGAAACTTTCAACTCTCTGAGATGAATGCACTCATGACAAATAAGTTTCACAGAAATCTTCCGTCTAGTTTTTTTGTGAAGATATGTCCTTTTTCACCATAGACTTCAAACCACTCAGAAATATCCCTTTGCAGATTCAACAAAAAGACTGTTTCCAAACTTTTCCATCAAAAGAAAGGTTCAACTCTGTGCGATGCATGCAGGCATCACAAAGAAGTTTCTCAGAATGCTTCTGTCTAGCTTTTATGGGAAGATATTTCCTTTTTCACCATCGGCCTCACAACGCTCCAAGTATGCATTTGTAGATTCTACAAAAAGTCTGTTTCCATACTGCTCAATGAAAAGAAATTTTCAACCCTGTGAGATGAATGCACACATCCCAAAAAGATTCTCAGAATGCTTCTGTCTAGTTTTTATGTGAAGATATTTCCTTTTTCACCATAGGCCTCAAATCACTCCAAATATCCATTTGCAGATTATACAAAAAGAGTGTTTCAAACCTGCTCAATCAGAAGAAAAGTTTAACTCTGTGAGATGAATGCACACATCACAAAGGCGTTTCTCACAATGCTTCTGTCTAGTTTTTATGTGAAGATATTTCCTTTTTCACCATAGGCCTTAAACCGGTAATAAATATCCCTCTCCAGATACTACAAAAAACTGTTTCCAAAGTGCTCTATCAAAAGAAAGTTTCAACTCTGTGAAATGAATGCACACATCATGAAGAAGTTTCTCAGAATGCTTCTGTGTAGTTTTTATGAGAAGGTATTTCCTTTTTCACCATAGGCCTCAAAGTGCTGCAAATATCCTTTTGAAGATTCTATGAAAACACTGTTTCCAAACTGCTGAATCAAAAAAAAAAGGTTGAACTCTGTGAGATAAAAGGATACATCACAAAGAAGTTTCTCAGAAAGCTTCTGTCTAGTATTTATGTGAAGATATTTTCTATTTCACCATAGGCCTCAAAGGGCTCAGAAATATCCATTTGCAGATTGTACAATAAGATTGTTCCCGAACTGCTCAATCAAAAGAAAGGTTCAACTCTGTGAGATGAATGAAGGCATCACAAAGAAGTTTCTCAGAAAGGTTCTGTCTAGTTTTTATGTGAAGATATTTCGTTTTTCACCATTGGCCTTAAACCAGTCACAAATATCCCTCTGCAGATACTACAAGAAGACTATTTCCAAAGTGTTCCACTAAAAGAAATATTCATCTAGTGTTTTTATGGTTTTAGTTCTAACGTTTAAGTCTTTAATCCATCTTGAATTAATTTTTGTATAAGTTGTAAGGAAGGGATCCAATTTCAACTTTCTACATATGGCTAGCCAGTTTTCCAGCACCATTTATTAAATAGTGGATCCTTTCCCCATTGCTTGTTTTTCCCAGGTTTGTCAAGGTCAGATAGTTGTAGATATGTGGCGTTATTTCTGAGGGCTCTGTTCTGTTCCATTGATCTATATCTCTGTTCTGGTACCAGTACCATGCTGTTTTGGTTATTGTAGCCTTGTAGTATAGTTTGAAGTCAGGTAGCATGATGCCTCCATCTGTACTCTTTTGGCTTGCGATTGGCTTGGCGATGAGGGCTCTTTTTTGGTTCCATATGAACTTTAAAGTAGTTTTTTCCAATTCTGTGAAGAAAGTCATTGGTAGCTTGATGGGAATGGCATTGAATCTATAAATTACCTTGGGCATTATGGCCATTTTCATGATATTGATTCTTCCTACCCATGAGCATGGAATGCTCTTCCATTTGTTTGTATCCTCTTTTATTTCCTTGAGCAGTGGTTTATAGTTCTCCTTGAAGAGGTCCTTCACGTCCCTTGTAAGTTGGATTCCTGGGTATTTTATTCTCTTTGAAGCAATTGTGAATGGGAGTTCACTCATGATTTGGCTCTCTGTTTGTCTGTTATTGGTGTATAAGAATGCTTGTGATTTTTGTACATTGATTTTGTATCCTGAGATTTGCTGAAGTTGCTTATCAGCTTAAGGAGATTTTGGGCTGAGACAATGGGGTTTTCTACATATACAATCATGTCATCTGCAAACAGGGACAATTTGACTTCCTCTTTTCCTAATTGAATACCCTTTATTTCCTTCTCCTGCCTAACTGCCCTAGCCAGAACTTCCAACTCTATGTTGAATAGGAGTGGTGAGAGAGGGCATCCCTATCTTGTGCCAGTTTTCAAAGGGAATGCTTCCAGTTTTTGCCCATTCAGTATGATATTGGCTGAGGGTTTGTCATAGATAGCTCTTATTATTTTGAGATGCGCCCCATCAATACCTAATTTATTGAGAGTTTTTAGCATGAAGGGTTGTTGAATTTTGTCAAAGGCCTTTTCTGCATCTATTCAGATAATCATGTGGTTTTTGTCTTTGGTTCTGTTTATATGCTGGATTACATTTATTGATTTGCGTATATTGAACCAGCCTTGCATCCCAGGGATGAAGCCCCCTTAATCGTGGTGGATAAGCTTTTTGATGTGCTGCTGGATTCGGTTTGCCAGTATTTTATTGAGGGTTTTTGGAACAATGTTCATCAAGGATATTGGTCTCAAATTCTCTTTTTTGGTTGTGTCTCTGCCCGGCTTTGGTATCAGGATGATGCTGGCCTCATAAAATGAGTTAGGGAGGATTCACTCTTTTTCTGTTGATTGGAATAGTTTCAGAAGGAATGGTACCAGTTCCTCCTTGTACCTCTGGTAGAATTCGACTGTGAATCCATCTGCTTTGTAGAGACATGGATGAAATTGGAAATCATCATTCTCAGTAAACTATCGCAAGGACAAATAACCAAACACCGCATGTTCTCACTCATAGGTGGGAATTGAACAATGAGAGCACATGGACACAGGAAGGGGAGCAGCACACTCTGGGGACTGTTGTGGGGTGGGAGGAGGGGGGAGGGATAGCGTTAGGAGATATACCTAATGCTAAATGACGAGTTAATGGGTGCAGCACACCAGCATGGCACATGCATACAAATGTAACTAACCTGCACATTGTGCACATGTACCCTAAAACTTAAAGTATAATCATAATAAAATAAAAAAAATAAATGTTCAAATTGTGTGATGAATGCGCACATCACAAAGAAGTTTCTCAGAATGCTTCTGTCTAGTTTTTATGTGAAGATATTTCCTTTTTCACCATTGGCCTAGAAGGGATCCCAAATATCCCTTGGCAGACTCTACAAAAATATTGTTTCCAAACTGCTCATTCAAAAGAAAATTTCGACTCTGTTAGTTGAATGCACACATCACAAAGAAGTTTCTCAGAGTGATTCTGCCTAGTATTTATTTGAACATGTTTCCTTATTCACCGTATGCCTCACAATGTTCAGAAAAATCCCCTTGCAGATTATAGAAAAAGACTGTTTCCAAACTGCTCAATCAAAAGAAAAATTCACCTCTGTTAGATGAATGCACACATCAAAAAGAAGTTCCTAAGAAAGCTTCTGTCTAGTTTTTATGTGAAGATATTTCCGTTTTCACCATAGGCCTCGAAGGGCTCCCAAATATCCCTTTGCAGATTCTACGAAAAGACTGTTTCCAAACTGCTCAATCAAAAGAAAGTTTCAAAACTGTGCAATAAATGCATGCATCACAAAGAAATTTCTCAGAAAGCTTCTGTCTAGTTTTTATGTGAAGATATTTCATTTTTCACCATAGGCCTCAAAGGACTCCCAAATATCCCTTTGCAGATTCTACAGAAAGACTGTCTCCAAACTGCTCAATCAAAGGAAAGTAAGTTTGAACTCCATGAGATGAATGCACACATCACAAAGAAGTTTCCCAGAAAGCTTCTGTCTAGTTGTTATGTGAAGATATTTCCTTTTTCATCATAGGCCTCAAATGGCACTCAAATATCCCTTTGCAGGTTCCACAAAAAGACTGTTTCCTAAATGCTCAATGAAAAGAAAGGTTTAGCTCTATGATAAAAATGCACACATTACAAAGAAGTTTCTCAGTAATCTTCTGTCTACTTTTTAGGTGAACATATTTCCTTTTTCACCATAGGCCTCAAAAAGCTCAGAAATATCCCTTTGCAGATTCTAGAAAAAGACTGTTTCCAAACTGCTCAATCAAAAGGAAGTTTCCACTCTGTGAGATGAATGCCTGCAGCAGAAAGAAGTTTCTCAGAAAATTTCTGTGTAGTTTTTATATGAAGATATTTCCATTTTCACTATAGGCTTCAAAGCACTCGGAAATATCCATTTGCAGATTCTAGAAAAAGACTGTTTCCAAACTGCTCAATCAAAAGAAAGTTTCCACTCTGTGAGATGAATGCACACAACGCAAAGAAGTTTCTCAAAAAGTTTCTGTTTAGTTTTTATATGAAGATGTTTCCTTTTTCACCAGGGGCCTCAAACCACTCAGAAATATCCATTTGCAGATTCTAGAAAAAGACGGTTTCCAAACTGCTCAATCAAAAGAAAAGTTCAACTCTGTGAGATAAATGCACACATGACAAAGAAGTTTCTCAGAATGCTTCTGTCTAGTTTTTACAGGAATATATTTTCTTTTACACTATAGGACTCAAGCTGCTCAGAAACATCCCTGTGCAGATTCTACGAAAACACTGCTTCCAAACCTTTCAATCAAAAGAAATTTCAACTCTGTGAGATGAATGCACACATCACAAGGAAGTTTCAGAGAAAGCCTCTGTCTAGTTTTTATGTGAAGGTATCTCCTTTTACACCATAAGCCTCAAAGAGCTCCGAAATATCCCTTTGCAGATTCTGCAAAAACACTGTTTCCAAACTGCTCAATCAAAGGAAAGTTTCACCTCTGCGAGATGAATGCACACATCAGAAAGAAGTTGCTCAGAAAGCTTTGTCTATTTTTTTATATGAAGATATTTCCTTTATCACCATAGGCCTCCAACCGCTCAGAAATACCCCTTTGCAGATTCTAGAAAAAGACTGTTTCCAAACTGATCAATCAAAAGCAGGGTTCAACTCTGTGAGATGAATGCACACATCACAATGAAGTTTCTCAGAAAGTTTCTGTCTAGTTTTTATACGAAGATATTTCCTTTTTCAACATAGGCCTCAAAGCGCTGTCAAATATCCCTTTGCAGATTCTACAAAAAGACCGTTTACAAACTGCTCAATCAAAGGAAAGTTTCAACTGTGTGAGATGAATGCACACATCACAAAGAATTTTCTCAGAAAGCTTCTGTCTAGTTTTTATGTGAAGATGTTTCCTATTTCACCATAGGAATCAATGGGTTAAGAAATATACCTTTGCAGATTCTACAAACAGACTGTTTCCAAACTGCTCAATCAAAAGAAATGTTCAACTCTCTGGTTGCAGGCACCCATCACAAAGAAGTTTCTCAGAACGCATCTGTCTAATTTTTATGTGAAGGTATTTCCTATTTCACCATAGGCCTAAAAAGGCTCAAAAATATCCCTTTGCAGATTCTCCAAAAAGACTATTTCCAAACTGCTCAATGAAAACAAAGGTTCAATTCTGTGAGATGAAAGCACACGTCACAAAGAAGTCTCTCAGAAACATTCTGTCTTGTTTTTATGTGAAGATATTTCCTTTTTTACCATAGGAATCAAAGGGCTCAGGAATATCCCTTTGCAGTTTCTACAAAAAGGCTGTTTCAAAACTGCTCAATCAAAAGAAAGGTTCAATTCTGTGAGATGAAATCACACATCACAAAGAAGTTTCTCAGAATGCTTCTGTCTATTTTTCATATGAAGATATTTCCTTTTTCACCATAGGCCTGAAATCGCTCACAAATGTCCCTCTGCAGATTTTACAAAAAGACTGTTTCCAAACTGCTCAATCAAAAGAAAGGTTCAATTCTGTGAGATGAATGCACACATCAGAAAGAAATTTCTGAGAAAGCTTCTATCTAGTTTTTATGTGAAGATACTTCCTTTTTCACCATAGGCCTCGAAGAGCTCCAAATATCCATTTTCAGATTCTACAAGAACACTATTTCCAAACTGCTCAATCAAAAGAAAGGTTCAACTCTGTGAGATGAAGGCACTCATCACTAAGTGGTTTCTCAGAAAGCTTCTCTCTGGTTTTCATGTGAAGATATTTCCTGTTTCACCATAGGCCTCACAAATAACCTTTTGTAAATTCTACAAAAGGACTGTTTCCAACCTGCCCAATCAAAAGAAAGTTTCAACTCTGTGAGATGAATGCATGCATCACAGAGAAGTTTCTCACAATGCCTCTGTCTAGTTTTCATGTGAAGATATTTCCTTTTTCACCATAGGCCTCAAACCGCTCACAAATATCACATTGCAGATTCTACAAAAGGAATGTTTCCAAACTGCTCACTCAAAAGAAAGGTTCAATTCTGTGAGATGAATGCACACATCACAATGAAGTTTCTCAGAATGCTTCTGTCTAGTTTTTATGTGAAGATATTTCCTTTTTCACCATAGGCCTCAAAGCGCTCCAAATATCCCTTTTCAGATTCTACAAAAACACAGTTTCCAAACTGCTCAATAAAAAGAAACGTTCAAATCTGCGAGAAGAAGGCACACATCACAAAGAAGTTTCTCAGAAAGCTTCTGTCTAGTTTTTATGTGAAGATATTTCCTATTTCAGCATCAGCCTCAAATGGCTCAAAAATATCCCTTGGTAGATACTACTAAAAGACTGTTTCCAAACTGCTCAATCAAAAGAAAGGTTAAACTCTGTCAGATGAATGCACACATCACCAAGAAATTTCGCAGAATGCTTCTGCCTAGTTTTTATGTGAAGATATTTCCTTTTTCACCGTAGGCCTCAAACCGCTCAGAAATATCCCTCTGCCAATTCTACAAAAAGACTGGTTCCAAACTGCTCAACGAGAAGAAAGTTTCAACTCTTTGAGATGAAAGCGCACATCACAAAGAAGTTTCTCAGAAAGTTTCTGTCTAATTTTTATGTGTAGATATTTCCTTTTTCACCATAGGCCTCAAAGCCCTCAAAACATCCATTTGCAGATTCTACAAAAAGACTGTTTTCAAACTGCTCTATCAAAAGTAAATTTTAACTATGGGAGATGAACGCACGAATAACAAAGAAGTTTCTCAGAAAGTTTCAGTCTAGTTTTTGTTTGATGATATTTCCTTTTTCACCATAGGCCTCGAAGTGCTCCAAATGTCCATTTGCAGTTTCTACATAAAAACTGTTTACAAACTGTTCAATCAAAAATAAGGTTCAAATCTGTGAGATGAAATCACCCATCATAAAGAAATTTCTCAGACAGCTCTGTTTAGTTTTTATGTGAATGTATTTCCTATTTCACCATAGGCCTAAAAAGGCTCAAAAATATCCCTTCACAGACACTACTAAAGTCTGTTTCCAAATTCCTCAATCAAAAGTTCAACTTTGTGAGACGAATGCAGACATCACAAAGGAGTTTCTCAGAATGCTTCTGTCTAGTTTTTATGTGACGATATTTCCTATTTCACCATAGGTCTCAATGGACTCACAAATATCCCTTTGCAGATTTTACAAAACGAGTGTTTCCAAACTGCTCAATCAAAAGGAAGGTTCAACTCTGTGAGATGAATGCACCCATCACAAAGAAGTTTCTCAGAACGCTTCTCTCCAGTTTTTATGTGAAGATATTTTCTTTTTCACCATAGTCGTCAAACCATTGAAGAATATCCATCTGCAGATTCTACAAAAAGACTGTTTCCAAACAGCATTATCAAAAGAAAGATTCAACTCTGAGATGAATGCATGCATCAAAAAGCAGTTTCTCAGAAAGCTTCTCTCTAGTGTTTATGTGAAAATATATCCTATTTCACCATTGGCCTCAATTGGCTCACAAATGTATCTTTGCAGATTCAAAATATAGACTGTTTCCAAACTGCTCAATCAAAACAAAAGTTCCACTCTGTGAGACGCATGCACCCATCACAAAGAAGATTCTCAGAATGCTTCTGTCTAGTTTTTATGTGAAGATATTTCTTATTTCACCATAGACATCAAAGGGCTCAAAAATATCACTTTGCAGAATCTACAAAAAGACTGTTTCCAAACTGATCAATCAAAAGAAAGGTTCAACGCTGTCAGATGAATGCACCCATCACAAAGTATTTTCTCAGAATGATTCTGTCTAGTTTTTATGTGAAGTTGTTTCCTTTTTCACTGTAGGCCTCAAACCGCACAAAAGTATCCCTCTGCTGATTCTACAAAAAGACTGTTTCCAAACTGCTTAATGAAAACAATGGTTCAACTCTGTGAGATGAAAGCACACATCACAAAGAACTTTCTCAGAAACCTTCTGTCTATTTTTTATGTGAAGATATTTCCTATTTCAGCATAGGCCTCAATGGGCTCAGGCATATCCCTTTGCAGTTTCTACAAAAACACTTTTTCCAAACTCAAACTGCTCAATCAAAAGAAAGTTTCAATTCTGTGAGATGAATGCACAAATCACACAGAAGTTTCTCAGAATGCTTCTGTTTTGTTTTTATGTGAAGATATTTCCTTTTTCACCATAGGCCTCAATGCACTCAAAATATCCATTTGCAGATTCTACAAAAAGACATTTTTCAAACTGGTCAATCAAAAGAAATTTTCAAAACTGTGAGATGAAAGCACACATCACAAAGAAGTTTCTCAGAAAGCTTATGTCTAGTTTTTATGTGAAGATATTTCCTATTTCACCATAGGCCTCTAATGGCCCAAAATTATACCTTTGCAGATACTACTAAAAGACTGCTTCCAAACTGCTCAATCAAAAGAAACGTACAACACAGTGAGATGAAAGCACACATCACAAAGAAGTTTCTCAGAAAGCTTCTGTCTAATTTTTATATGATGATATTTCCTTTTTCACCATGGGCCTCAAATCACTCACAAATATCCCTCGGCCAAATGTACAAAAATACTGTTTCCAAACTGCTCAATCAAAAGAAATTTTCAACTCTGTGTGATGAATGCACACATCACAAGGATCTTTCTCACAAAGATTCTGTCTAGTTTTTATGAGAAGATATTTCCTATTTCACCATGGGCCTCAAAGCACTAAAAATATCCATTTGCAGATTCTACAAAAAGACAGTTTCCAAACTACTCAATCAAAAGAGTCAGCTCTGTGAGATGAAAGCACACATTACAAATAAGTTTCTAAGAAAACTTCTGTCTAGTTTTTATGAGAAGATATTTTATTTTTCACCATGGGTCTCAAAGCAGTCTAAATATAAATTTGCACATTCTACAAAACCACTGTTCTCAAACTACTCAATCAAAAGAATGGTTCAGCTCTGTGACATGAAAGCACACATCACAAAGAAGTTTCTCAGTAAGCTTCTGTCTAGTTTTTATTTGAAAATATTTCCTATCTCACCACAGGCCTCAAATGGCTCAAAAACATCCCTTTGCAGATACTTCTAAAAGACTGTTTGCAAGCTGCTCAATCAAAAGAAAGTTTCGACTCTGTGAGATGAAACCACACATCAAAAAGAAGTTTCTCAGAAAGCTTCTGTCTAGTTTTTATTTGAAGATATATTTCCTATTTCACCATGGGCCTCAGGGGGCTCACAAATATCTCTTTGCAGATTCTTCAGAAAGACTGTTACCAAACTGCTAAATCAAAAGAAATGTTCAACTCTGTGAGATGAATGCACACATCACAATGAAGTTTCTCAGAATGCTTCTGTCTGGTTTTTATTTGAAGATATTTCCTATTTCACCATGGGCCTCAAATGGCTAAAAAGTATCCTTTCGCAGATACTACTAAAAGTCTGTTTCCAAACTGCTCAATCAAAAGAATGATTCAACTCTGTGAGATGAATACATCACAAAGAAGTTTGTCAGAACATTATTGTCGAGTTTTTATGTGAAGATATTTCCTTTTTCACCATAGGCCTCAAACCGTTCAAAAATATCCGTCTGCAGATTCTACAAAAAAACTGTTTCCAAACTACTCAATCAAAAGAAAGGTTCAACTCTGTGAGATGAATGCATGCATCACAAAGAAGTTTCTCAGAAAGCTTCTGTCTAGTTTTTATGTGAATATATATCTTATTTCACCATAGGTCTCAACGGGCTCACAAATATACCTTTGCAGATTCTACAAAAAGACTGTTTCCAAACTGCTCAATCAAAAGAAAGGTTCAACTCTGTCAGATGAACGCACTCATCAAAAAGAAGTTTCCCAGAATGCTTCTGTCTAGTTCCTATGTGAAGATATTTCCTTTTTCACCATAGGCCTCAAACCGCTCACAAATATCCCTCTGCTGATTCTACAAAAAGACTGTTTCCAAACTTCTCAAACAAAAGAAAGATTCACCTCTGTGAGATGAATGCACATATCAGAAAGAAGTTTTTCAGAAAGCTTGTGTCTAGTTTTTATGTGAAGTTATTACCTTTTTCACCACAGGCCTCAAACCGCTCGAAAATATTCGTCTGCGGATTCTACAAAAAGACTGCTTCCAAACTGCCCAATCAAAAGAAAGGTTCATCTCCGTGAGATGAATGCACACATCATGAAGAAGTTTCTCAGAACGTTTCTGTCTAGTTTTTTTGTAAATGTATGTGCTATTTCACCATAGGCCTCAATGGGCTCACAAATATACCTTTACAGATTCTCCAAAAAGAAAGACTGTTTCCAAACTGCTCACTCAAAAGAAAAGTTTAACTCCATGAGATGAAAGCAGCCATCACAAAGGAGTTTCTCAGAATGCTTCTGTCTAGTTTTTATGTGAAGATATTTTCTTTTTCACCATAGGCCTCACACTGCTCACAAATATCCCTCTGCAGATTCTACAAAAAGACTGTTTCCAAACTGCTCAATCAAAAGAAAGGTTCAATTCTGTGAGATGAATGCGCACATCAGAAAGAAGTTTCTGAGAAAGCTTCTGTCCAGTTTTTATGTGAAGATATTTCCTTTTTCATCATAGGCCTCAATAAGCTCCAAATATCCATTTGCAGATTCTGCAAAAAGACTGTTTCCAAACTGCTCAATCAGAAGAAATGTTCAACTCTGTCAGATGAACGCATGCATCAAAAAGAAGTTTCCCAGAATGCTTCTGTCTAGTCCTTATGTGAAGATATTTCCTTTTTCACCATAGGCCTCAAACCGCTCACAAATATCCTTCTGCCGATTCTACAAAAAGAGTGTTTCCAAACTGCTCAAAAAAAAGACAGATTCACCTCTGTGAGATGAATGCACACATCAGAAATAAGTTTCTCAGAAAGCTTGTGTCTAGTTTTTATGTGAAGTTATTACATTTTTCACCACAGGCCTCAAACCACTCAAAAATATTCGTCTGCAGATTCTACAAAAAGACTGCTTCCAAACTGCCCAATCAAAAGAAAGGTTCATCTCTGTGAGATGAATGCATGCATCACAAAGAAGTTTCTCGGAACGTTTCTGTCTAGTTTTTTTGTGAATATAAATGCTATCTCACCATAGACCTCAATGAGCTCACAAATATACCTTTACAGAATCTCCAAAAAGACTGTTTCCAAACTGCTCACTCAAAAGAAAAGTTCAACTCCGTGAGATGAAAGCACCCATCACAAAGGAGTTTCTCAGAATGCTTCTGTCTAGTTTTTATGTGAAGATATTTCCTTTTTCTTTTTTTTTTTTTTTTAGAAAATAAGAAGCCATAAAATTTTATTTTTTATTTTCAAAAAGATATTTCTTTTTTTTATTTTTTTTTAATGTTAATTGTTTTTTTTTATTTTTATTTTTTTTTATTTTTAATGTTTTTTTTTTTTATTATACTCTAAGTTTTAGGGTACATGTGCACATTGTGCAGGTTAGTTACATATGTATACATGTGCCATGCTGGTGTGCTGCACCCACTAACGTGTCATCTAGCATTAGGTATATCTCCCAATGCTATCCCTCCCCCCTCCCCCGACCCCTCCACAGTCCCCAGAGTGTGATATTCCCCTTCCTGTGTCCATGTGATCTCATTGTTCAATTCCCACCTATGAGTGAGAATATGCGGTGTTTGGTTTTTTGTTCTTGCGATAGTTTACTGAGAATGATGGTTTCCAATTTCATCCATGTCCCTACAAAGGACATGAACTCATCATTTTTTATGGCTGGATAGTATTCCATGGTGTATATGTGCCACATTTTCTTAATCCAGTCTATCATTGTTGGACATTTGGGTTGGTTCCAAGTCTTTGCTATTGTGAATAGTGCTGCAATAAACATACGTGTGCATGTGTCTTTATAGCAGCATGATTTATAGTCCTTTGGGTATATACCCAGTAATGGGATGGCTGGGTCAAATGGTATTTCTAGTTCTAGATCCCTGAGGAATCGCCACACTGACTTCCACAATGGTTGAACTAGTTTACAGTCCCACCAACAGTGTAAAAGTGTTCCTATTTCTCCACATCCTCTCCAGCACCTGTTGTTTCCTGACTTTTTAATGATTGCCATTCTAACTGGTGTGAGATGATATCTCATAGTGGTTTTGATTTGCATTTCTCTGATGGCCAGTGATGATGAGCATTTCTTCATGTGTTTTTTGGCTGCATAAATGTCTTCTTTTGAGAAGTGTCTGTTCATGTCCTTCGCCCACTTTTTGATGGGGTTGTTTGTTTTTTTCTTGTAAATTTGTTTGAGTTCATTGTAGATTCTGGATATTAGCCCTTTGTCAGATGAGTAGGTTGCGAAAATTTTCTCCCATGTTGTAGGTTGCCTGTTCACTCTGATGGTAGTTTCTTTTGCTGTGCAGAAGCTCTTTAGTTTAATTAGATCCCATTTGTCAATTTTGGCTTTTGTTGCCATTGCTTTTGGTGTTTTGGACATGAAGTCCTTGCCCACGTTCCTTTTTCATCATAGGCCTCAATGAGCTCCAAATATCCATTTGCAGATTCTACAAAAAGACTGTTTCCAAACTGCTCAATCAAAAGAAAGGTTCAACTCTGTGAGACAAAAGCACACATCACAAAGAAGTTGCTCAAGAAGATTCCATCTAGTTTTTATGTGAAGATATTTCCTTTTTCATCATAGGCCTCAAAGAGCTCCAATATCCATTTGCAAATTCTACAAAAAGACTTTTTCCAAACTGCTCAATCAATAGAAAGGTTCAACTCTGTGAGATGAAAGCACACATCACAAAGAACTTTCTCAGAATGCTTCTGTCTAGTTTTTATGTGAAGATATTTCCTTTTTCACCATAGGCCTCAAACTGCTCACAAATATCCAATTGCAGATTCTACAAAAAGACTGTTTCCAAACTGCTTAATCAAAAGAAAAGTTCAATTCTGTGAGATGAATGAAAGCATCACAAAGAAGTTTCTCAGAAAGCTTCTGTCTAGTTTAAACGTGAATATATATCCAATTTCACCATAGGCCTCAATGGACTCACATATATACCATTGCAGATTCTACAAAAGGACTGTTTCCAAAATGCTCAAACAAAAGAAAAGTTCAACTCTGTGAGATGAATGCGCCCTTCACAAAGAAGTTACTCAGAATGCTTCTGTCTAGTTCTTATGTGAAGATATTTCCTTTTTAACCATAGGCCTCAGACCGCTCAAAAATATCCATCTGCAGGTTCTTCATAAAGACTGTTTCTAAACTTGTCAACCAAAAGAAATATTCAACACTGTCAGATGAATAGACGAATCACAAAGAAGTTTCTCAGAAACTTCTGTCTAGTTTTTATGTGAATATATATTGTATTTCACAGTATTCCTCAATGGGCTCACATATGTACATTTGCAGATTCTACAAAAAGACTGCTTCCAAACTGCTCAATGAAAAGTTCAACTCTGTGAGATGAATGCACCCATCACAAAGAAGTTACTCAGAATGCTTCTTTCTAGTTTTTCTGTGAGTATATTTCCTTTTTCACTATAGGCTTCAAACCGCTCACAAATATCCCTCTGCAGATTCTACAAAAAGTCTGTTTCCAAACTGCTCAATCAAAAGAAAGGTTCAGCTCTCTGAGATGAAAGGATACATCAAAAAAAGTTTCTCAGAAAGCTTCTGTCTAGTTTTTATGTGAAGATATTTGCTATTTCACCATAGGAATCAATGGGCTCAAAAATATACCATTGAAGTTTCTACAGAAAGACTGTTTCCAAACTGCTCAATCAAAAGAAACGTTCAACTCTGGGAGATGAATGCACACATCACAACGAAGTTTCTCAGAATGCCTTTGTCTAGTTTTTATGTGACGATATTTCCTTTTTCACCATAGGCCTCAAACAGCTCACAAATATCCCTCTTCAAAGTCTAAAAAAGACTGTTCCTAAACTGCTCAATCAAAAGAAAATTTCAGTTCTGTGAGATGTAAGCACACATCACAAATAAGATTCTCAGAAATTGCCTATCTAGTTTTTATGTGAAGATAATTCCTTTTTCACCACAGGCCTCAAAGCGCTCCAAATATCCATTTGCACATTCTACAAAAAGACTGTTTCCAAACTGCTCAATCAAAAGAAAGGCTCAACTCTGTGATATGAAATCACACATCACAAAGAAGTTTCTCAGAATGCTTCTGTCTAGTTTTTGTGTGAAGATATTTCTTTTTCACCTTAGGCCTCAAAACGCTCAGAAACATCCCTTTGCAGATTGTACAAAAAGACTGCTTCGAAACTGATGAATGAAAAGCAATGTTCAACTATGTGAGATGAATGCAAACATCACAAGGAAGTTTCTGATAAAGATTCTGTCTAGTTTTTATGTGAACATATTTCCTTTTCACCAAAGGCCTCAAACTGCTCCCAAATATCCCTTTGCAGACTCTACAAAAAGACGTTTCCAAACTGCTCAATCATAAGAAAGGTTCAACTTTGTGAGATGAAAGCACACATCATAAAGAAGTTTCTCAGAAAGCTTCTGTCTAGTTTTTACATGAAGATATTTCAGTTTTCACCATAGGCCTCAAAGGGCTCACAAATATCCCTTCGCAGATTCTACAAAAAGGCTATTTCCAAAGTGCTCAATCTAGAGAAAGTTTCACCTCTTGAGATGAAAGGACATATCACAAAGAAGTTTCTCAGAAGTTTCTGTCTGGTGTTAAAGTGAAGAAATTTCCTATTTCAACATAGGCCTCAATGGGTTCTCAAATATCCCTTTGCAGATTCTACAAAAAGACTCTTTCCAAACTACACAATCAAAAGAAAGCTTCTACTCTGTGAGATGAATGGACACAACATGAAGAAGTTTCTAAGAATTCTTCTGTCTAGTTTTTATGTTTAGATATTTCCTTTTTCTTTATAGGCCTCAAACTGCTCACAAATATCCCTCTGCAGATTATACAAAAAGACTATGTCCAAACTGCTCAATAAAAAGAAAACTTCAACTCTGTGAGATGAATGCACACATCCCTAAGAAGTTTCTAAGAAAACTTCTGTATAGTTTTTATGTGAAGATATTTCCTTTTTCACCATAGGAAGCAAAGCGCTTCAAATACCCTTTTTCAGATTCTCCAAAAAGACTGTTTCCATACTGCTCAATGAAAAGAAAGGTTCAACTCTGTGAGATGAATGCACACATCACAAAGAAGTTTCTCAAAAAGCTTCTCTCTGGTTATTATGTGAAGATATTTTCTTTTTCACCATAGGCCTCAAACCGCTCACAAATAGCCCTCTGCAGATTATACAAAAAGACTGTTTCCAAACTGCTCAAAAGAAAGGTTCAACTCTGTGAGATGAATGCGCACATCAAAAATAAGTTTCTTAGAATGCTTCCATCTAGTTTTTATTTGAAGCTATTTCCTTTTTCACCATAGGCCTCTATCCACTTACAAATATCCCTCCACAGATTCTACAAAAAGACTGTTTCCATACTGCTCAATGAAAAGAAAGTTTCATCTCTATGAGATGAATGCACACATCACAAAGAAGTTTCTCAGAAAGCTTCTGTCTAGTTTTCATGTGAAGATATTTTCTTTTTCACCATAGACCCCAAAGCACTCACAAATATCACTTTACAGATTCTACAAGAACAGAGTTCCCAATCTGCTCAATGAAAAGAAATGTTTACCTCTGTGAGATGTATGCACACATCACAAAGCAGTTTCTTAGAAACCTTCTGTCTAGTTATTATGTGAAGATATTTCCTTTTTCAGCATAGGCCTCGAAATGCTCACAAATTTCCCTTTGCGGATTCTACAAATAGACTGTTTCCAATCTGCTCAATGAAAAGAAATTTTTACCTCTGTGTGATGAATGCACTCATCACAAAGCAGTTTCTCAGAAACCTTCTATCTAGTGTTTATGTGAAGATATTTCCTTTTCACCCTAGACCTCAAAGTGCAAAGGAAATATCTTCAAAATAAAACTAGACAGAAGGTTTCTGAGAAACTTGTTTGTGATGTGTGCATTCATCTCACAGGGTTGAAATTTTCTTTTGATTGAGCACTTTGGAGACAGTCTTTCTGTGGAATCTACAAAGGGATATTTTTGACCCCTTTGAGGCCTATGGTGAAAAAGGAAATATCTTCCCATAAAAGCTAGATAGAAGCCTTATGAGAAACTTCTTTGTGATGTGTGCATTCATGTGACAGAGTTGAAAATTTCTTTTGAATGTGCAGTTTGCAGTCTGCCTTCTTATATAATCTGCAAAGGGATATTTCTGACCCATTTGAGGCCTGTGGTAAAAAAGGAAATATCTTCACATAAAAACTAGACAGAAACGTTCTGAGAAAATATTTTGTGAGCACTTTGAGGCCTACGGTGAAAACGGAAATATCTTCACGTAAAAACTAGACAGAAGCTTTCTGAGAAAATATTTTGTTTCGTGTGCATTTGTCTCACAGAGAAGACCCTTTCTGTTGATTGAGGAGTTTGGAAACAGTCTGTTTGTAGAATCTGCAAAGGGATATTTGTGAGCACATTGAGGCCTATGGTGAAAATGAAATATCTTCACATAAACACTAGACAGAAAGTTACTGAGAAACTGCTTTCTGATTAGTGCATTCCTCACACAGAGGTAACATTTCTTTTCCTTGAGCAGATTGGAAACAGTCTATCTGTAGAATCTACAAAGGGATATTTGTGAGCATTTTGAGGCCTATGCTGAAAAAGGGCATATCTTCACCTAATAACTAGAAAGAATGTTTCTGAGAAACTGCTTTGTGATGGGTTCATTCATCTCACAGAGTTGAAACTTTCCTTTGAGCAGATTGGAAATAGTCTTTTTGTAGAATGTGCAAGGGGCCGTTTGTGAGCCCTTTGAGGCTTATGGTGAAAAAGGAAAAATCTTCAAAAAAAAACTAGACAGAACATTTCTGAGAAACTGCTTTGTAATGTCTGCATTCATCTCACAGAGTTAAACGTTTCTTTTCAATGAGTAGATTGGAAAATCTGTTCATTTAGAATCTGCAAAGTGATATTTGTGAGGATTTTGTGGCCTATGGTGAAAAAGGCAGTATCTTCACATAAAAACCAGACAGAAGCTTTCTGAGAAACTTTCCTCTGATGTGTGCATTCACCTCACAGAGTTTAACCTTTCTTTTGAGAAGTTTGGAAACACTCTTTTTGTAGAATCTGCCAAGGGGTATTTGTGAGCAATTTCAGGCCTATGGCAAAAAAGGAAATATCTTCACATAAAAGCTAGACAGAAGCTTTCTAGGAAACTTCTTTGTGATGTGTGTGCTCATGTCACAGAGTTGACCCTTTCTTTTGATTGAGAAGTTTGGAAACAGTCTTTTTGTAGAATCTGCAAAGGGATATTTGTGAGCACTTTGAGGCCTATGGTGAAAAAGGAAGTATCTTCACATAAATACTAGACAGAAGGTTTCTGAGAAACTGTTTTGTGATGTTTCCATTCATCTCACAGAAGTAAACGTTTCTTTTCATTGAGCAGATTGGAAACTCTGTTCTTCTAGAATCTGCCATGGGATATTTGTGAGTGCTTTGAGGTCTATGTTGAAAAAGGCAATTTCTTCACATAGAAAGTAGACAGAAGCTCTCTGTGATACTTCTTTGTGATGTGTGCATTCATCTCACAGAATTGAACCTTTCTTTTGATCGAGGAGTGTGGAAACAGTCTTTCTGAATCTTTATTGGATTGAGCAGTTTGAAAACAGTATTTTTGTAGAATCTGGATAGGGATAATTGTGAATCCTTTGAGGCCTGTGGTGAAAAAGGATATATATTCACAAAAAAAAGTAGACAGAAATATTCTTAGAAACTTCTTTGTGATGTCTGCATTCAACTCACAGATTTGAACATTTCTTTTGATTGAAGAGTTTGGAAACAGTCTTTTGGTAGAATCTGCAAAGGGATATTTGTGAGTGATTTGCAGCGTATGGTGAAAAAGGAAATATCTTCACATAGAAACCAGACAGAAGCTTTCTGAGAAGTTGCTTTGAGAAGTGTGCATTCACCTCACCGAGTCGAACCTTTCTTTTGATTGAGCAGTTTGGAAGCAGTCTTTTTGGAGAATCTGCCGTGGGATATTTCTGAACTCTTCGAGGCCTAAGATGAAATAGGAAATATCTTCACATAACAACTAGACAGAAGCTTTCTGAGAAACTTCTTTGTGATGTGTGCACTCATCTCACAGAGTTAAACATTTCTTTTCATTGAGCAGAATGGAAACTCTGTTCTTATAGAATATGCAAGGGGATATTTGTGAGTGATTTGAGGTCTATGGTGAAAAAGGAAATATCTTCACATAAAAACTAGACAGAAGCTTTCTGAGAAACTTCTTTCTGATGTGTGCTTTCATCACACAGGGATGAAACTTTCTTTTTATTGTGCAGTTTGGAATCAGTCTTTTTGGAGAACCTGCAAAAGGATATTTTGAGCGCTTTGAGGCCTATGGTGAAAAAGGAAATAACTTTAAATAAAAACTTGACAGAAGCTTTCTGAGAAACTACTTTCTGATCTGTGCTTTCATCTAACAGAGCTGAACCTTTATTTTGATTGAGCAGTTTGGAAACATTCTTTTTGTAGAATATGCAGAGAGATATTAGCAGTTTGAGGCCCATGGTGAAAAAGGAAATATCCTCATGAAAAAACTAGACAGAAGATTTGTGAGAAACTACTTTGTGAAGTTTGCATTCATCTCACAGAGTTGAACCTTTCTTTTCATTGAGCAGTTTGGAAACAGTCCTTTTGTAGAGTCTGCAAATGGGTATCAGGAGCGCTTTGAGGCCTATGGTGAAAAAGGATATATCTTCACATAAAAATTAGACAGAAGCTTTCTGAGAAATTTCTTTGTGATGTGTGTATTCATCTCACAGGGTCGGTCCTTTCTTTTGAGTGAGTTGTTTGAAAACAGTCTTTTTGTAGAATCTGCATAGGGCTATTTGTGAGCTTTTTGAGGCCTACGGTGAAAAGGAAATATCTTCATATAAAAAGTAGATAGAAGCTTTCTGAGAAATTTCTTTGTGATTTGTGCTTTCATCTCACAGAGTTGAACCTTTCTATTGATTGAGCAGTTTGGAAACAGTCTTATTGTAGAATCTGCAAATGGATATTTGGAGTGCTTTTAGGACTACGGTGAAAAAGGAAATATCTTCACATGAAAACTAGACAGAAGCTTTCTGAGAAACTTCTTTGTGATGTGTGCATTCATCTCATGGAGATGAAACTTTCTTTTCATTGAGCAGTATGGAAACAGTCTTTTTGTAGAATCTGTGGAGGGATATTTGTAAGTGGATAGAGGCCTATGGTGAAAAAGGAAATAGCTTCAAATAAAAACTAGATAGAAGCATTCTAAGAAACTTATTTTTGATGTGCGCATTCATCTCACAGAGTTGAACCTTTCTTTTGAGCAGTTTGGAAACAGTCTTTTTGTATAATCTGCAGAGGGCTATTTGTGAGCGGTTTGAGGCCAATGGTGAAAAAGAAAATATCTTCACATAATAACCAGAGAGAAGCTCTTTGAGAAACTTCTTTGTGATGTGTGCATTCATCTCACAGAGTTGAACCTTTCTTTTGATTGAGCAGTTTGGAAACAGTCTTTTTGAAGAATCTAGAAATGGATATTTGGAACGCTTGGAGGCCTATGGTGAAAAAGGAAATATCTTCACATAAAAACGAAACAGAAAGTTTCCAAGAAACTTCTTAGTGATGTTTTCTTTCACCTCACAGAGTTGAAACTTTCTTCTGATTGAGCAGTTTGAAAAGGGTCTTTTTGTAGAATCTGCAGAGAGATATTTGTGAGCGGTTTGAGGCCTGTGGTGAAAAAGGAAATATCTTCACATAAAATCTAGACAGAAGGTTTTTGAGAAATTTCTTTGTGATGTTTGCACTCATCTCACAGAGGTTAACCTTTCTTTTCATTGAGCAGTTTGGAAACAGTCTTTTTGGAGAATCTGCAAAAGGGTATTTGAAGCGCTTTGCTTCCTATTGTGAAAAAGGAAATGTCTTCATTTAAAAACTATACAGAAGTTTTCTTAGAAACTTCTTAGGGATGTGTGCATTCATCTCACAGAGTTGAAGTTTTCTTTTTATTGAGCAGTTTGGAAATAGTCTTTTTGTATAATCTGCAGAGGGATATTTGTGAGCAGTTTGAGGCCTATAAAGAAAAAGGAAATATCTAAACATAAAAACTAGACAGAAGAATTCTTAGAAACTTCTTCATGTTGTGTCCATTCATCTCACAGAGTAGAAGCTTTCTTTTGATTGTGCAGTTTGGAAAGAGTCTTTTTGTAGAATCTGCAAAGGGATATTTGAGAACCCATTGAGGCCTATGTTGAAATAGGAAATTTCTTCACTTTAACACCAGACAGAAACTTCTGAGAAACTTCTTTGTGATATGTCCTTTCATCTCAAGAGGTGAAACTTTCTCTAGATTGAGCACTTTGGAAATAGCCTTTTTGTAGAATCTGCGAAGGGATATTTGTGAGCCCTTTGAGGCCTATGGTGAAAACTGAAATATCTTCATGTAAAAACTAGACAGAAGCTTTCTGAGAAACTTCTTTATGATGTGTGCTTTCATCTCACAAAGTTGAACCTTTCTTATGATTGAGCAGTTTGGAAACGTCTTTTTGTAGAGTCTGCAAAGGGATATTTTTCTCCCAGTGCAGACTCTGCAGACAGACTCTTTCCAAACTCCTCAATCAACAGAAAGGGTCTTCTCTGTGAGATGCATGCACACATCACAAAATATTTTCTCAGAACGTTTCTGTCTAGTTTTTATGTGAAGATATTTCCTTTTTTACCACAGACCTCAAATGGGTCAGAAATATCTCTTTGAGGATTATATAAGAAGACAGACTGCAAACTGCACATTCAAAAGAAATTTTCAACTCTGTGACATGAATGCACACATCACAAAGAAGTTTCTCATAAGGCTTCTGTCTAGCTTTTATGGGAAGATATTTCCCTTTTCACCATAGACCGCAAAGGGGTCACAAATATCCCTTTGTAGATTCCACAGAAAGACTGTCTCCAAACTGTTCAACCAAAAGAAATTTTCAACTCTGGGAGATGAATGCACACAGCACAAACAAGTTTCTCAGAAACCTTCTGTCTAGTTTTTTTTTGAAGATATTTCCTTTTCAACCATAGGCCTCAAACTGCTCACAAATATCCGTTTGCAGATTCTACAAAAAGACTGTTTCCAAACTGCTCAATCAAAAGAAAGGTTCAACTCTGTGAGATGAATGCACACATCACAAAGAAGTTTCACAAAAAGCTTCTGTCTAGTTTTTATGTGAAGACATTTCCTTTTTCACCATACCCCTAAAATCGCCCACAAATATCCCGTTGAAGTTTCTACAAAAAGACTATTTCCAAACTACTCAATCAAAGAAAGGTTCGACTCGGTGAGATGAATGCACACATCACAAAGAAGGTTCTCAGAAGTCTTCTGTCTATTTTTTAAGTGATGGTATGTCCAGTTTCACCTTAGGCCTCAAAGTGCTCACAAATATCCCTTTGTAGATTCTACATGAACTGTTTTCAATCTGCTGAATGAAAAGCAATGTTTACCACTGGGAGATGAATGCACACAGCACAAAGAAGTTTCTCAGAAAGCTTCTGTCTAGTTTTTTTTGTTAAGATATTTCCTTTTTCACCATAGGACTCAAAGCACTCACAAATGTCCCTTTGCAGATTCTACATGAACAGAGTTTCCAATCTGCTCAATGAAAAGAAACTTTTACCTCTGTGAGTTGAATTCACACATCACAAAGCAGTTTCTCAGAAAACTTCCATCTATTTTTTACGTGAAGATGTTTCCTTTTTCAGCATAGGCCTCAAAGGGCTCACAAATGTCCCTTTGCAGGTTCTGCAATGACAGAGATTCCAATCTGCTCAATGAAAAGAGACGTTAACCTCTGTGAGATGAAAGCACACAACACAATGAAGTCTCTCATAAATCTTCTGTCTAGTTTTTAAGTGAAGATATTTCCTTTTTCACCATTGGCCTCAAAACACTCAGAAATATCCCTTTGCAGATTTTATGAAAAGACTGTTTCCAAACTGCTCAATCAAAAGAAAGTTTCATATCAGTGAGATGAATGCACCCATCACAAAGAAGTTTCTCAGAAAGCTTCTTTCTAGTTTTTATGTGAAGATATTTCCTTTTTCACCATAATCCTCAAACCGCTCACAAATATCCCTTTGCAGAGTCCACAAAAAGACTGTTCCCAAACACCTCTATCAAAAGAAAAGTTCAACTCTGTGACATGAATGCACACATCACAAAGAACATTCTCAGAAAGCTTCTGTCTAGTTTTTATGTGAAGATATTTCCTTTTTTAACATAGGGCTCAATGGGCTCACAAAAATACTTTTACTGATGCCAAAAGAAGAAATTCTCCAATCTGCTCAATTAAAAGAAACGTTTACCTCTGTGAGATGAATGCACACATCACAAATCAGTTTCTCAGAATCCTTCTGTATAGTTTTCACGTGAAGATATTTCCTTTTTCACCATAGGCCTAAAAGCGCCCCAAACATACATTTGCAGATTCTACGAAAAGACTGTTTCCAAACTGCACAATCAAAAGAATGGTTCAACTCTGTGAGATGAAAGCACACATCACAAAGAAGTTTCTCAGAAAGCTACTGTCTAGTTTTTATGTGAAGAGATTTCCTTTTTCACCATAGGTCTCAAACAACTCACAAATATACCTTGGCAGATAGTACAAAAAGACTATTTCCAAACTTCTCAATAAAAAGAAATGCTCAACTCTGTGAGATGAACGCACGCAACACAAAGAAGTTTCTCAGAAACCGTCTGTCTAGTATTTATAAGAAGATATTTTAATTTCCACCGTAGTCCTTAAAGCGCTCAGAAATATCCCTTTGCAGATTCTACAGGAAGAGAGGTTTCAATCTGCTCAATGAAAAGAAATGTTTACCTCTGTGAGATGATTGCACACATCATAAAGCAGTATCTGAGAAACCTCCTGTCTAATTGTTATGTGAAGATATTTCCTTTTTCACCATAGTTCTCAAACTGCTCACAAATATCCCTTTGCAGAGTCTACCAGCAGACTGTTCCCAAACAGCTCACCCAAAAGAAAGGTTGAACTCTGTGACCTGAAGGCACCCATCACAAATAAGTTTCTCAGAAAGCTTCTGTCTAGTCTTTATGTGAAGAAATTTCCTTTTACACTACAGGCCTCAAAGCACTCACAAATATCCCTTTGCAGATTCTACAAGAACAAAGTTTCCAATCTGCTCAATGTAAAGAAACGTTTAACTCTGTGAGATAAATTCACACATCACAAAGCAGTTTCTCAGAGACCTTCTGTATAGTTTTTCTGTGAAGATATTTCCTTTTTCACCATAGGCCTCAAAGGGCTCAAAAATATCCTTTTGCAGATTCTACAAAGAGTGTTTCCAAACTCCTCAATCAAAAGAAAGGTTCAACTCTCTGAGATGAATACACACATCACAAAACAGTACCTCAGAAAGCTTCTGTCTAATTTTTATGTGAAGATATTTTTTTTTCACCACAGGCCTCAAACAGCTCACAAATATCCATTTGCAGATTCTGCAAAAAGACTGTTTCCAAACTGCTCAATCAAAAGAAAGGTTCAACTCTGTGGGATGAATGCACACAAAATGGAGAAGTTTCTCAGAAAGTTTCTGTGTCATTTTTATATAAAGATATTTCATTTTTCACATTTTTCACCACAGTCCTCAAACTGCTCACAAGAGTCACTTTGCAGAGTCCACCAGAAGACTGTTCCCAAACACCCCAATCAAAAGAAAGTTTCAACTCTGTGACATGAATGCACACATCACAAAGAAGATACTCAGAAAGCTTCTGCCTAGTTTTTATGTGAAGATATTTCCTTTTTTTACCATAGCATACCAAGCACTCACAAATATCCCTTTGCAGATTCCACAAGAACAAATTCTCCAATCTGCTCAATGAAAAGAAATGTTTACTTCTCTGAGATGAATGTGCACATCACAAAGCAGTTTCTCAGAAAACACTCCTCAATCAAAAGAAAGGTTCACCTCTTTGAGATGAATGCACACATCACAAAGAAGTATCACAGAAAGCTTCTGTGTAGTTTTTATGTGAAGATATATCCTTTTTCACCATAGGCCTCAAAGCACTCACAAATATCCCTTTGCAGAATCCACAAAAATAATGTGTCCAAACTGCTCAATCAGAAGAAAGTTTCCACAATGATAGACTGAATTAAGAAAATGTGGCACATATACACCATGGAATACTATGCAGCCATAAGAAATGATGAGTTCATGTCCTTTGTAGGGGCATGGATGAAATTGGAAATCATCATTCTCAGTTAACTATAGCAAGGACAAAAAACCAAACACTGCATGTTCTCATTCATAGGTGGGAATTGAACAATGAGAACACATGGACACAGGAAGGGGAACATCACACTCTGGGGACTGTTTGCGGTGGGGGGTGGGGGGAGGGATAGCATTAGGAGATATACCTCATGCTAAATGATGAGTTAATGGGTGCAGCACACCAGCATGGCACATGTATACATATGTAACCAACCTGCACATTGTGCTCATGTACCCTAAAACTTAAAGTCTAATAATAATAAAATATGCTTTGGAAAAAAGAAAAAGATGCAACAGAAAGAAACGAGGTGCACATCTCCCTCCTCCTCTAAGACAGAAAGGAAAGGAGAGAGGGTGGGTTAAAATAAAACTATTTTAAACTGGAAAGCAAGGAATTTGAGGACTGTTATAAGACAAATATCCTTTAAATTAGTGGACATAATAGTTATAAATGAATGTGAAAGCAGAACAAATTTTCATAGAATTTACATTAAAAAAAGAAAGTTTCCAGTTTTCGTCCATTCAGTATGATATTGGCTGTGGGTTTGTCATAGATATCTCTTATTATTTTGAGATACGACCCATGAATACCTAATTTATTGAAAGTTTTTAACATGAAGAGTGGTTGAATTTTATCAAAGGCCTTTTCTGCATCTATTGAGATAATCATGTGCTTTTTGTCTTTGGTTCTGTTTATATCCAGGATTACATTTATTGATTTGCGTATGTTGAACCAGCCTTGCATCCCAGGGATGAAGCCCACTTGATCATGGTGGATAAGTTTCTTGATGTGCTGCTGGATTTGGTTTGCCAGTATTTTATTGATGATTCCCTTTGAAAACTGGCACAAGACAGGGATGCCCTCTCTCACCACTCCTATTCAACATAGTGTTGGAAGTTCTGGCCAGGGAAATTAGGCAGAAGGAAATAAAGGGTATTCAATTAGGAAAAGAGGAAGTCAAATTGTCCCTGTTTGCAGATGACATGATTGTATAGCTAGAAAACCCCATTGTCTGAGCCTGAAATCTCCTTAAGCTGATAAGCAACTTCAGCAAAGTCTCAGGATACAAAATCAATGTGCAAAAATCACAAGCATTCTTATACACCAATAACAGACAAACAGAGAGCCAAATCATGAGTGAACTCCCATTCACAAATGCTTCAAAGAAAATAAAATACCTGGAAATCCAACTTACAAGGGATGTGAAGCACCTCTTCAAGGAGAAATACAAACCACCGCTCAATGAAATAAAAGAGGATAAAAACAAATGGAAGAACATCCCATGCTTAAGGGTAGGAAGAATCGATATAATGAAAATGGCCATACTGTCAAAGGTAATTTATAGATTCAATGCCATCCCCATGAAGGTACCAATGACTTTCTTCACAGAACTGGAAAAAACGACTTTAAAGTTTGTATGGAACCAGAAAAGAGCCCGCATTGCCAAGTCAATCCTAAGCCAAAAGAACAAAGCTGGAGGCATCAAGCTACCTGACTTCAAACTATACTACAAGGCTACAGAAACCAAAACAGCATGGTACTGGTACCAAAACAGAGATATAGATCAATGGAACATAGCAGAGCCTTCAGAAATAATGCCACATATCTACAACTATCTGATCTTTGACAAACCTGAAAAAAACAAGCAATAGGGAAAGGATTCCCTATTTAATAAATGGTGCTGGGAAAACTGGCTAGCCATATGTAGAAAGCTGAAACTGGATCCCTTCCTTACACCTTATACAAAAATTAATTCGAGATGGATTAAAGACTTACATGCTAGACCTAAAACCATAAAAACCCTAGAAGAAAAACCTAGGCATTACCATTCAGGACATAGGTATGAGCAAGAACTTCATGTCTAAATCACCAAAAGCAATGGCAACAGAAGCCAAAATTGACAAATGATTTCCAATTAAACTAAAGAACTCCTGCACAGCAAAAGAAACTGCCATCAGAGTGAACAGGCAACCTACAATATGGGAGAAAATTTTCGCCACCTACTCATCTGACAAAGGGCTAATATCCAGAATCTACAATGAACACAAACAAGTTTACAAGAAAAAAACAAACAACCCATTCAAAAAGTGTGGGAAGAATATGAACAGACACGTCTCAAAAGAAGACATTTATGCAGCCAAAAAGCACATGAATAAATGCTCATAATCACTGGCAATCAGAGAAATGCAAATGAAAACCACAATGAGATATCATCTCACACCAGTTAGAATGGCAATCATTAAAAAGGCAGGAAACAACAGGTGCTGGAGAGGATGTGGAGAAATAGGAACAGTTTTACACTGTTGGTGGCACTGTAAACTAGTTCAACCATTGTGGAAGTCAGTGTGGCGATTCCTCAGGGATCTAGAACTAGAAATACCATTTGACCCAGCCATCCCATTACTGGGTTATACTCAAAGGATTATAAATCATGCTGCTGTACAGACACATGTACGCATATGTTTATAGCGGCACTATTCACAATAGCAAAGACTTGGAACCAACCGAAATGTCCAACAATGATAGACTGGATTAAGAAAATGTGGCATGTATAAACCACGATATACTATGCAGCCATAAAAAATGAAGAGTTCATGCCATTTATGGGGACATGGATGAAACTGGAAACCATCATTATCAGCAAACTATCACAAGGAGAAAAAACCAAACACCACATGTTCTCACTCATAGGTGGGAATTGAACAATGAGAACACATGGACACAGGAAGGGGAACATCACACTCTGGGGACTGTTGTCGGATGGGGGGGAGGGGGGAAGGATAGAATTAGGAGATATACCTAATGCTAAATGACGAGTTAATGGGTGCAGCACACCAACATGGCACATGTATACATATGTAACAAACCTGCACATTGTGCACATGTACCCTAAAACTTAAAGTATAATAATAATAATAAAGAAAATTTCAACTCTTTGAGATGAATGCACACATCGCAAAGAAGTTTCTCAGAAAGCTTCTGTCCAGTTTTTATGTGAAGATATTTCCTTGATCGCATTAGGCCTCAAACCACTCACAAATATCCCTTTGCAGACTCCACAAAAACACTGTTTCCAAACTGTTCAATCAAAAGAAAGGTTCAACTCTGTGAGATGAATGCCCACATCACAAATAACTTTCACAGAAACCTTCTGTCTAGTTTGTATGTGAAGATATTTCTTTTTTCACCGTAGACCTCAAAGCACTCACAAATATCCTTTTGCAGATTCTACAAAAAGACTGTTTCCTAATAGCTCAATGAAAAGAAAGGTTCAGTTCTGTGAGGCAAATGCACGCATAACAGAGAAGTTTCTAAGAAAACTTCTTTCTAGTTTTTATGAAGATAGTTCCTTTTTCACCATAGGCCTCAAGCCGCTCACAAATATCCCTTTGCAGATTCTACAAAAAGATGGTTTCCAAACTGCTTAATCAAACAAAGGTTCAAACCTGTGAGGTGAATGTGGACATCACAAAGAAGTTTCTCAGAACACTTCAGTCTACTTTTTGTGTTAAGATATTTCCTTTTTCACCACAGGCCTCAAAGTGCTCAAAAATATCCCATTGCAGATTCTACAAGAAGACTCTCCAAACTGCTTAATCAAAAGAAAGCTTCAACTCTGTTAAGTGAATGCACACATCATAAGGAAGTTTCTCAGAAAGCTTCTGTCTCATTTTTATGTGAAGATATTTCCTTTTACACCATAGTCCTCAAACCACTCAGAAATATCCCTTTGCAAATTCTACAAAAAAACTGTTTCCAAACTGCTCAATCAAAAGAAAGGTTCAACTATGAGAAATGAATGAACACATCACAAAGAAGTTTCTCATAATGCTTCTGTCTAATTTTTATGTGACAATATTTCCTTTTTCACAATAGTGCTCAAAGAGCTCACAAGTATCCCTTTGTAGATTCTACAAGAACAGAGGTTCCAATCTGCTCAATGCAAAGAAACTTTTACCACTGTGACATGAATGCACACTTCACAAACAGTTTCTCAGAAACCTTCTGTCTAGTTTTTATGTGAAGATATTTCCTTTTTCACCATAGGCCTCAAAGGGACTACAAATATCTCTTTTGAGATTCTACAAAAAGAATGCCTCGAAACTGCTCAATCAAAAGAAAGGTTCAACTTTGTGAGGTGAATGCACACATCACAAAGAAGTTTCTCAGAATCTTCTGTCTCATTTTTATGTGAAGATATTTCCTTTTTCACCATAGGCCTCAAAGGGCTCACAAATATCCCTTTGCAGATTCTCCAAAAAGACTCTTTCCAAACTGCTTAATCAGAAGAAATCTTCAACTCTGTGAGGTGAATGCACACATCATAAAGAAGTGTTTCAGAAAGCTTCTGTCCTGTTTTTATGTGAAGATATTTCCTGTTTCACCATAGGCCTCAAACCGCTCACAAATATCCATTTGCAAATGCTACAAGAAGACTGTTTCCAAACTGCTCAATCAAAAGAAAAGTTCAACTCTGAGAGATGAATACACACAACACAAAGAGGTTTCTCAGAAAGCTTCTGTTTAGTTTTCCTGTGAGGATGTTTCCTTTTACACCATGGGTATCAAAGCACTCACAAATATCCCATTGCAGATTGCACAAGAAAAAAGATGCCAATCTCCTCAATCAGAGGAAACGTTTATCTCTGTGAGATGAATGCACACATCACAAATCATTTTCTCTGAATCCTTCTGTCTGGTTTTTGTGGGAAGATATTTCCTTTTTCACTGTAGGCCTCAAATGGCTCAAAAATATCTCTGTAGATTCTACAAGAAGAGAGGTTCCAGTCAGCTCAAGGAAAAGAAACTTTTACCACTGTGGCATGAATGCGCACATCACAAATAATTTCTCAGAAACCTTCTGTCTAATTTTTATGTGAAGATATCTCCTTTTTCACCATAGGCCTCAAAGGGTTCACAAATATCCCATTGCAGATTCTACAAAAAGAATGTTTCCAAACTGCTGAATCAAAAGAAAGATTCAATTCTTTGATATGAATTGACACATCACAAAGAAATATCTCAGAAATTTTCTGTCTAGTTTTTACGTGAAGATATTTCCTTTTCCAGCATAGGCCTCAAAGCGCTCACAAATATTCCTTTCAGATTCTCCAAGATGAGAGTTTTCAACCTGCTCAAAGAAAAGGAGCGTTTACCTCTTTCAGATGAATGAGCACATCACAAAGAAGTTTCTCAGAAAGCTTCTATTTAGTTTTTATGTGAAGATATTTCCTTTTTCACCATAGGCTTCAAGGGGCTCACAAATATCCCTTTGCAGATTCTCCACAAAGACTGTTTCCATACTGCTCAATCAAGAGAAAGGTTCAACTCTGTGAGATGAATGCACACATCACAAAGAAGTTTCTCAGAATGCTTCTGTCTACTTTTTATGTGAGGATATTTCCTTTTTCACCATAGGCCTCAAAGCACTCACAAACATCCCTTTGCAGATTCTACAAGAACAGAGTTTCCAATCTGCTCCATAAAGAGCAACATTTACCTCTTTGAGATGAATCCACACATCACAAAGCAGCTTCTCAGAAACCTTCTGTGTAGTTTTTATGTGAAGATACTTCCTTTTTCATCATAGGCCTCAAAGGTCTCACAAATATCCATTTGCAGATTCTACTAAAAGACCGTTTCCAAACTGCTCAATCAAAAGAAAACTTCAACTCTGTGAGATGAATGCACCCATCACAAAGAAGTTTCTGAGAACGCTTCTGTCTAGTTTTTACGTGAAGATATTTCCTATTTCACCATAGGCCTCAAAGGGCTCACAAATATCCCTTTGCAGATTCTACAAAATGACTGTTTCTAATCTGCTCAATGAAAAGAAAGTTTCACCCCTGTGAGATGCATGCACACATCAGAAAGAAGTTTCTCAACTGCTCCTTTCTAGTTTTTATGTGAAGATATTCCCTTTTTCACCATACGCCTCAAAGCGCCCACAATTATCCCTTTGCAGATTCTACAAACAGACTGTTTTCAAACTGCTCAATCAAAAGAAATTTTCAACTCTGTTAGATGAATGCACACATCACAAAGAAATGTCTCAGAAAGCTTCTGTCTAGCTTTTTTTGTGAAGACATTTCCTTTTTCACCATCGGCCTCAAAGCACTCACAGATATCCCTTTGCAGATTCCACAAGAACAGAGTTTCCAATCTGCTCAATGAAAAGAAACCTTTACCTCTGTGAGGTGTAGGCATACATCACAAAATAATTTCTCAGAAACCTTCTGTCTAGTTTTTATTTGAAGATATTTATTTTTTCACCATAGGCTTCAAAGTGCTCACAAATATCCCTTTTCAGATTGTACAAAAAAACTGTTTCCAAACTGCTCAAACAAAGGAAAAGTTCAACTCTGTGAGATGCATGCATACATCACAAAGAAGTTTCTCAGAAAGCTTCTGTCTAGTTTTTATGTGAAGATATTTCCTTTCTCACCATAGGCCTCAAATCACTCATAAATATCCTTTGCAGATTCCACAAAAAGACTGTTTCCAACCTACTCAATCAAAAGAAGTGTTCAACTCTGTGAGCTGAATGCACACATCAAAAAGAAGTTTCTCAGAAAGCCTCTGTCTAATTTTCTTGTGAAGATATTTCCTTTTCCACCATAGGCCTCAAAGTGCCCACAATTATCCCTTTACAGGTTCCACAAAAAGACTTATTTTAAGTTGCTCAATAAAAAGAAAGGTTCAACTCTGTGAGATGCATGAACACATCACAAAGAAGTTTCTCAGAAAGCATCTATCTAGTTTTTATGTGAAGATACTTCCTTTTTCACCATAGGCCTCAAAGCGCTCTCCAATATCCCTTTGCAAATTCTACAAAAAGACTGTTTCTAAACTGCTCGATCAAAAGAAAATTTCAACTCTGTGAGATGAAAGCACACAACACAAAGAAGTCTCTCAGAATGTTTCTGTCTAGTTTTTATGTGAAGATATTTCCTTTTTCTCCATAGGCCTCAAAGCGCCCACAATTATCCGTTTGCAGATTGTGCAAACGGACTGTTTTCAAACTGCTCAATCAAAAGAAAGGTTCAGCCCTATCAGATGAATGCACACATTGCAAAGAAATTTCTCAGAAAGTTTCTGTCTGGTTTTTATGTGAAGATATTTCCTTTTTCACTGTAGGCATCAAAGCGTTCACAGATATCCCTTTGCACATTCTACAAAAAGACTGTTTCCAAACTACTCAATCCAAAGAAGTGTTCAACTCTGTGAGACGAATGCACACATAAGAAAGATGTTTCTCAGAAAGTTTCTGTCTAGTTTTCTTGTGAAGATATTTCTTTTTTCACCATAGACCTCAAAGCGCCCACAATTATCCCTTTGCAGATTCCACAAAAAGACTGGTTCTAAACTGCTCAATAAAAAGAAAGGTTCAACTCTCTGAGATGCATGCTCACATCACAAAGAAGTGTCTCAGAAAGCATCTGTCTAGTTTTTATTTGAAGATACTTCCTTTTTCACCATAGGCCTCAAAGCGCTCTCAAATATCCCTTTTGCAGATTGTATGAAAAGACTGTTTCCAAACTATTCAATCAAAAGACATGTGTAGCTCTGTGAGATGAATGCACACATCACAAAGAAGTTTCTCAGAAAGCGTCTGTCTAGTTTTTTTGTGAAGATATTTCATTTTTTATGGTAGGCATCAAAGAGCTCACAAATATCCCTTTTCAGATTCTACAAAAAGACTGTTTCCAAAGTGGTCAACCAAAAGAAAGGTTCAACACTGTGAGATGCATGCACACATCACAAAGAAGTTTCTCAGAAAGCTTCTGTCTAGTTTTTATGTGAAGATTTTTCCTTTTTCACCATAGGCCTCAAATGGCTCACAAATATCCCTCTGCAGATTCTACAAGAATAGAATTTCCAAACTGCTCAATGAAAAGACACGTTTACCTCTGTGAGATGAATTCACATATCACAAAGCAGTTTCTCAGAAACCTTCTGTCTAGTTTTTATGTGAAGATATTTTCTTTTTCACCATAGGCCTCAATGGGCTCACAAATATCCCTTTGCAGATTCTACAAAAAGACTGTTTCCAAACTGCTCAGTCAAAGAAATGTTAATCTCTGTGAGATGAATGCACACATCACACAGAAGTTTCTCAGAAAGCTTCTGTCTAATTTTTAGGTTAAGATATTTCCTTTTTCACCACACACCACAAAGCGCTGACAAATATCCCTTTGCTGATTCCAAAAAAAGACTGTTTCCAAACTGCTCAATTAAAAGAAAGTTTCAACTTTGTGAGATGAATGCACACATCATAAAGAGATTTCTCAGAAACCTTCTGTCTAGTTAATATGTGAAGATATTTCCTTTTTCACCATAGGCCACAATGGGCTCAAATATCCCTTTGCAGATTCTACAAAAAGACTGTTTCCAAACTGCTCAATCAAAGAAAGGTTCACCTCTGTGAGATGAATGCACACATCACACAGAAGGTTCTCAGAAAGCTTCTGTCTAATTTTTCTGTTAAGATATTTCCTTTTTCACCGCACGCCTCAAATCACTGACAAATATCCCTTTGCTGATTCCAAAAAAAGACTGTTTCCAAACTGCTCAATTAAAAGAAAGTTCAACTTTGTGAGATGAATGCACACATCATAAGGAGATTTCTCAGAAAGCTTCTGTCTAGTTAATATGTGAAGATATTTCCTTTTTCACCATAGGTCTCAAAGCGCTCACAAATATCCCTTTGCAGATTCTACAAAAAGACAATTTCCAACCTGCTCAAACAGAAAAAAGTTTCAACACTGTGACATACATGCACACATCACAAAGAAGTTTCTCAGAAAGCTTCTGTGTAGTTCCTATGTGAAGACATTTCCTTTTTCATCATGGGCCTCAAAGCGCTCACAAATATCCCATTGCAGGTTCTACAAGAACAGTTTCCAGTGTGCTCTATGACAGCACACATCACAAAACAGTACCTCAGAAACTTTCTGTCTAGTTTTTCTTTGAAGATATTTCCTTTTTAGCACAGGCCGCAAAGGGCTCACAAATATCCCTTTGCAGATTCTACCAAAGATTGTTTCCAAACTGCTCAATCAAAAGGAACGTTAAACTCTTTGAGATGAATGCGCACATCATAAAGACGTTTCTCAAACTCTTGTGTCTAGTTTTTAGGTGAAGATATTTACTTTTTCACCATAGGCCTCAAAGCGCTCACAAATATCCCTTTGCAGATTCTACAAAAAGACGGGTTCTAAACTGCTCTATCAAAAGAAATGTTCAACTCTTTGAGCTGAATGCACACATCACAAAAAAGATTCTCAGAAAGCTTCTGTCTAGTTTCTATGTGAAGATTTTACCTTTTTCACCACAGGCTTCGAAGTGCTCTCAAATGCCCCTTTGAAGATTCTACAAGAACGGATTTTCCAATCTGCTCAATGAGAAGAAATTTTTACCTCTGTGAGATGAATGCACACATCACAAAGCAGTTTCTGAGAAACCTTCTGTCTAGTTTTTATGTGAAGATATTTCCTTTTTCACCATAGGCCTCAAAGGGGTCACTAATATCTCTTTGCAGATTCTACAAAAAGACTGTTTCCAAGCTCCTCAATCAAAAGAAAGTTTCAACTCTGTGATATGCATGCAGACATCACAAAGAAGTTTCTCTGAAAGCTTCTTTCTAGTTTTTATGTGAAGATATTTCCTTTTTCACCATAGGCCTCAAAGCGCTCACAAATATCCCTTTGCAGATTCTACAAAAAGACTGGTTCCAAACTGCTCAGTCAAAAGAAACGTTCTACTCTTTGAGATGAATGCATAAATCACAAAGAAGTTTCTCAGAAAACTTCTGTCAACTTTTTATATGAAGATATTTGCTTTTTCACCATATGCCTCAAAGCGCTCACAAGTATCCCTTTGCAGATTCTACAAAATGTCTGTTTCCAAATTGCTCAATCAAAAGAAAGGTTCCCCTCTGTGAGATGCACACACACATCACAAATAACTTTCTCAGAATGATTCCGTATAGTTTCTATGTGAAGATATTTCCTTTTTCACCATAGGCCTCAAACCACTCACAAAGATCTCTTTCCAAATTCTACAAAAAGACTGTTTCCAAACTACTCAATCAAAAGAATGGTTCAACTCTGTGAGATGAATGCACACATCATGAAGAAGTTTCTCAGAAGGCTTCTGTCTAGTTTTTATGTGAAGATATTTCCTTTTTCACCATAGGCCTCAAAGGGCTCTCAAATATCCCTTTGCAGATTCTACAAAAACACTGTTTCCAATCTGCTGAATCAAAAGAGTGGTTCAAATTTCTGAGATGAATGCATACATCACAAAGAAGTGTCTCAGAGAGCTTCTGTCTAGTTTTTATGTGATGATATTTCCTTTTTCAGGATAGGCCTCAATGCACTCACAAATATCCCTTTGCAGACTCTACAAGAACAGAAATTCGAAACTGCTCAATGAAAAGAAACGTTTACTGTATTGAGTCCCCCTGAAACTATTGCTATGGAATAAAAGATGAAGTGCTCCTGATTATTGTAAATACAAAATTGTATGCAGGATTGTATAAAGACAATGCCAAGTTAGACTGCCATAACGAGCCAACGGCACATGATGTGCTTCCCCCTGCAGCGAGCCTCTGAAAGGACGGGCATTCAGGGAGGTTTCACATCACCAGGATTCTTATCCCAGAAAAGCAGATGTTTATAGCTCTGGGAATGGAATGTGACCCTTGTGGAAAGCCTATAAACAGTTGCATGTTGGGCGCCTGTCCTTATGGATAAGATGGGGCTATAAATGCCCTCATCTTGCCACGGCTCTTCTAGGCCTCTTTAGGTTTAAGGCATACTCCCTTCTGAGAATTTCTGGTCTAACCAGTTGCCTAGCTTCACGTCCTCTTTCCATGGATTGTTTGTAACCAGCTTTTGTGGCAAATGTTACTGTTGATTAATATTTTGTTAATCATAGTTTATGGAAAGGTTGTGTTTCTGTTCTAAGGCTCTGTTAGAAATTACTGACACACACACTATATTGTAAATTCTTATCTCTGTATACTGTACTTCTATATACAAATGTACTGTACTTCTACATACAAATGTTATGTTAAAGAAGTACTTCATCCCCATGTGACCATCTCACCTCATAATCAAATGACCCTAAATCCCTCACTAACCTACCCCCGCCCTCACTAAACTTAATAATAAATGCTGGTGTATCCAGTGCATTGTTGGCACTGTGGGACCAGAAGGCAGAGACCCCCATGGACCCAACTTTCACTATCTTTTGTGTGTCTTTTATTTCTCAACCTGTTGATCTGCCTAGGAACAAAGAGAGATCCCTGTTGCATTGAGGGCTGCTGGCCGGATCCCGCAATAGGGGCCTATGTTGAAAAAGGAAATATCTTCACATAAAACCTGGACAGAAACATTCTGAGAAACTTCTTTGTGATGTGTGGATTCATCTCACAGAAATGAACCATTCTTTTGATTTAGCAGTTTGGAAACAGTCTTTTTGTAGAACCTGCAAAGGGATATTTGGGAGTGCTTTGAGGCCTATGGTGAAAAAGGAAATATCTTCACATAAAAACTGGACAGAAGCTTTCTGAGTAACTTCTTTGTGATGTGTGCATTCATCTCACAGAGTTGAACCATTCTTTTGATTGAGCAGTTTGGAAACAGTCTTTTGGTAGAATCTGCAAAGGATATTTGGGAGCACATTAATGCCTATGTTGAAAAAGGAAATATCCTCACATATAAACCAGAAAGAAGCTTTCTGAGAAACTGCTTTGCGATACATGCATTCGTCTCACAAAGTTAAACTTTTCTTTTCATTGAGCTGTTTGGAAACACAGTTTTGGTAGTATCTGTCGACGGAGATTTCGGAGTACATTGAGGCTTATGGTTAAAAATGATATATCTTCCAATACACACTAGAAAGAAAGTTTCTGAGAATTTTTTTGTGATATGTGCATTCATCTAACATAGTTAAAGCATTCTTTTGATTGAGCAGCTTGGAAACACAGTGTTTGTAAAATCCGCAAAGGGATATTTGGATTTGCGTTGAGGACCATGTTATAAAAGGAAATATCTTCCAGTACAAATTAGACAGAATAATTCTGAGAAACTGATTTCTGTTGTGTGCATTCATCATACAGAGTTAAACCATTCTTTGGATTCAGCAGTTTGGAAACAATGTTTGTCCATTCTGCAAATGGACATTTGGGAGTTCATTTAGGCCAATGGTGTAAAAGCGAATATCCAAGGATAAAAACTAGAAGCATGTTATCTGAGAAACCAATTTGTGATGTGCGTATTCAACTCTCAGAGTTAAACCTTTCTTTTCATCCAGCAGTGTGGAAAAACTCTTTTGTAGAATCTGTGAAAGGATATTTGGCTGTGCATTGAGGTCTACAGTGAAAAAGGAGTTATATATAGATAAAAACAATAAAGAAGCTTTCTGAGAAACTGCTTTGTGATGTGTTCATTCATCTCATAGAGGTAAAGCTTTCTTTGCGTTCAGCAGTTTGGAAACACTGTTTTTGCTCATTATTCCAGTGGACATTTGGGAGCTAATTGAGGCCAACTGCAAAAAAGCGAATATCCCAGGATAAAAACTAGAAGCACGTTATTTGATAAACCAATTTGTGATGTGTGCATTCATCTCACAGAATTAAACTTTGCTTTTCAATCAGCAATTTGGAAACACTGTTTTCTTAGAATCTGCAAAGGGATATTTGGCAGCACATTGTGGCCCGTTGTGAAAAAGGAAATATCTTCAGATAAAAACTAGAAGGAAGCTTTCTGAGAAACTGCTTTGTGATTTGTTCATCCATCTTACAGAGTTAATCCTTTCTTTGGATTCAGCAGCTTGGAAAAACTGTTTTGGTCCATTCCGCAAAGAGGCCTTTTGGAGTTCTTTGAAGCCAATGGTGAAAAAGCAAATATCCCAGGATAAAAACTGGAAGCAGGTGGTCTGAGAAATTGATTTGTGATGTGTGCATTCATCTCACAGAGTTAAACCTTTGTTTTCATTCATCAGTTTCAAAACACTGTTTTCTTAGGACATGCGAAGAGATATATGGTAGTGCAATGAAGCCTGAGGTGAAAAAGGAAATATTTTCAGATAAAAACTAGAAGGAAGCTTAATGAGAAATGACTTTGGGATGTGTGCATTCAACACACAGAGTTAATCCTTCCTTGGATTCATCAGCTTAGTAACACTGTTTTTGTCCTTTCTGTGAATGGACATTTGGGAGCTCATTGATGCCAGTGGCAAAAAAGTGACTATCCCAGGATAAAAACTAAAAGGAAGCTCTCTGAGAAGCTGCTCTGTGATATGTGCATTCATCTCACAGAGTTAAACCTTTCTTTTCATTTAGCAGTTTGGATTCACTGTTTAGGTACGACCTTAGAAGGGATATTTGCAATGCATTGAGGCCTATGGCAAAAAAGGAAATATCTAAGGATAAACACTAGAAGGTAGGTTTCCGAGAAACTGCTTTGTGATGTGTTCATTCATCTCTGAGAATTAAACCTTTCTTTGGATTCAGCAGTTTGGTAGCACTGTTTTTGTCCGTTCTGCGAATGGACATTTGGGAGCTCATTGAGGCCAATGGCGAAAAAGGGAATATTCCAGGATAAAATCTAGAAGGAATCTCTGAGAAACCTCTTTGTGATGTATGCATTCATCTCACAGAGTTAAACCCTTCTTTTCATTCAGCAGTTAGGAAACACTGTTTTTGTAGAATCTGCAAAGAGATATTTGGCAGTGAATTGAGGCCTATTGTGAAAAAGGAAATATCTTCAGATAAATACTAGAAAGAAACTTTCTTGGAAACTAGTTTGTGATGTATTCGTTCACCTGACAGAGTGAAACCTTTTTTTGCATTCAGCAGTTTGGTAACACTGTTTTTTTCCATTATGGAAATGGACGTTTGGGAGCTCAATGAGGCCAATGGCCAAAAAGTGAATATACCAGGAAAAAAACTAAAAGGAAGATATCTGAGAAAATGCCTTGTGACGTGTGCATTCACCTGACAGTTTTAAATTTTCTTTTCATTCAGCACGTTGGAAACACCGTTTTTGTAGAATCTCTGAAGGGATATTTGGGAGCATATTGAGGCCAATGGTGAAAAAGTGAATATCCCTGGATAAAAACTATAAGGAAGATATCTGAGAAACTGCTTTGTGATGTGCTCATTCATCTCACAGAGTTAAACCTTTCTTTGTATTCAGCAGTTTGGTAACACTGTTTTTGTCCATTCTGCTAAAGGACATTAAGGGGCTCATTGATGCAAATGGCAAAAAAGTGAATATTCCACGATAAAAACTAGAAGGAAGAAATATGAGAATCCACTCTGTGTTGTATGCATTCATCTCACAGAGTTAAACCTTTCTTTTCATTCAACTGTTTGGAAACATTGTTTTTGTAGAATCTGAGAAGGGATATTGGAGCACTTTGAGGCCTATGATGAAAAAGGGAATATATTTGGGTAAAAAATAGAAAGAAGCTTTCTGAGAAACTGCTTAGTCATGTGTTCATTCATTTTACAGAGTTAAAACTTTCTTTGGATTCAGCAGTTTGGGAACACTGTTTTTGTCCATTCTGTGAATGAACATTTGGGAGTTAATAGAGGCCAAATGCGAAAAAGTGAATATCGCAGGATAAAAACTAGAAGCACGTTGTCTGTGAAATTGATTTGTGATATGTGCATTCATCTCACAGAGTTAAACCTTTCTTTTTCATTCAGCAGTTTGCAAACACTGTTTTCTTAGAATATGTGAAAGGATATTTCACAGCACACTGAGGCCTATGGTGAAAAAGGAAATACCTTCAGAAAAAAAATAGAAATAAGATTTTTGAGTAACTGCTTTGTCATGAGTTCATTTGTCTTATGGAGTTAAATCTAACTTTGGATTCAGCAGTTTGGAAACACTGTTTTTGTCCATTCTGCAACTGTACATTTTGGAGCTCTTTGAGGCCAATGGTGAAAAAGCAAATATCCCAGTATAAAAACTAGAAGCACGTTATCTGAGAAACCGATTTGTGATGTGTGCATTCATCTCACAGAATTAAACATTTCTTTTCATCTAGCAGTTTTGAAACACTGTTTTCTTGGAAAGTGTGAAGAGATATTTGGTGGTGCAATGAGGCCTAGGGTGAAAAAGGAAATATTTTCAGATAAAATCTAGAAAGAAGTTTAATGAGAAACTGCTTTGGCATGTGTTCATTCAACACACAGAGTTAATCTGTCCTTGGATTTATCAGTTTGGTAACACTGTTTGTGTCCATTCTGCAAATGGACATTTGGAAGCTCATTGATGCCATTGGCGAAAAAGCGATTATCCCAGGATATACACTAGAAGGAAGTTATCTGAGAAACTGATTTGTGATGTGTGCACTCATCTCACAGAGTTAAACCCCTTTTTTCATTCAGCAGATTGGAAACACTGTTTTCTTAGAATCTGTGAAGAGATATTTTGTAGCACAAAGAGGACTAAGGTGAAAAATAAAATAATTTCAGATTAAAAAGAGAAAGAAGCTTTCCGAGAAACTGCTTTGTGATGTGTGCATTCATCTTACAGAGTTAAACATTTCTTTGGATTCAGCAGTTTGGTAACATGGTTTTTGTACACTCTTCAAATGGACACTAGGGAGCTTATTGAGACCAATGATGAAAAAGAGAATATCCCAGGATAAAAACTAGAAGGAAGCTCTCTGAGAAACCACTTTGTGATGTATGCATTTATCTCACAGGGTTAAACCTTTCTTTTCATTCAGCAGTTTTGAAACACTGTTTTAGTATAATCTGAGAAGGGAAATTTGGAAGCGCATTGAGGCCTGTGGTGAAAAAGGAAATATATCTTCGATAAAAACTAGAAAGCAGCTTTCTGAGAAACTGCTTTGTAATGTGTTCATTAGTCTCAGAGAGTTAAACCTTTCTTTGCATTCAGCAGTTTGGTAACACCATTTTTGTACATTCTTCAAATGGACACTAGGGAGCTTATTGAGGCCAGTGGTGAAAAAGCCAATATCCCAGGGTAAAAACTAGAAGGAAGGTATCGGAGAAACTGCTCTGTGTTGTGTGCATTCATCTGGCACAGTTAAACCTTTCTTTTCATTCAGCAGTTTGGAAACATTGTTTTTGTAGTATCTGCGAAGGGATATTTAGGAGCACATTGAGGCTCGTGGTGAAAAAGAGATTATATTCAGGTAAAAACTAGAAAGAAGCTTTCTGAGAAACAGTGATTTGTTCATTTATCTTACAGAGTTAAAAATTTCTTTGGATTCAGCTGTTTTGAAACACTGTTTTTGTCCATTCTGTGAAAGAAGAGATTAGGGAGCTCATTGAGGCCAATGGTGAAAAAGCAGACATCACAGAATAAAAACCAGAAGCATGTTATCTGAGAAATCGACTTGTGATGTGTGCATTAATTGCAAAGAGTTAATTTTTCTTTTCATTCAGCAGTTTGGAAACACTGTTTTCTTGGAATTTGCAAAGGGATATTTGCTAGTGCATATCCGAAGACAAAAACTAGAAGGAAGCCCTCCAGGAAACAGCTTTGTGATGTATGCATTCATCTTGCAGAGTTAAAACTGTCTTTTCATTCAGCAGTTTGGAAACAGTCTTTTTGTAGCATCTGTGAAGGGATATTTGGCAGTGCATTGAGGCCTATTGTGAAAAAGGAAATATCTTGAGACCAGAACTAGAAAAAAGCTTTCTGAGAAATTGTTTTGTGATTTGCTAATTCATCTCACATAGTTAAACCTTTCTTTGGATTCAGCAGTGTGTAACACTGTTTTTGTCTATTCTGCAAATGGACATTTTGGAGCTCATTGAAGCCAATGGCGGAAAAGCAAATATCCCAGAATAAAAACTAGAAGGAAGTTGTCTGAGAAACCAATTTCTGACGTGTTCATTCACCTCACAGATTTAAATCTTTCTTTTCATTCAACAGTTTGGAAACACTGTTTTCTTAGAATCTGCAAAGAGATATTTTGTAGGGCAAAGGGGTCTTTGGTGAAAAAGAAAATAACTTCAGATTAAAACTAGACAGAAGATTTCTGAGAAACTGCTTTGTGACGTGTGCATTAATCTCACAGAGTTAAACCTTTCTTTGGATTCAGCAGTTTGGTAACTCTGTTTTTGTCCATTCTTCGAATGGACATTAGGGAGCTCATTGAGGCCAAAGGTGAAAATGTAAATATCCCAGGATAAAAACTAGAAGCACATTATCTGAGAGATCAATTTGTGATGTGTGCATTCATCTCACAGAGTGAAACGTTTCTTTTCATTCAGCAGTTTGGAAACACTGTTTTCTTAGAATCTGTTAAGAGATATTTGGTAGCATCTTGAGGCCTATGGTGAAAAAGGAAATATCTTCAGATGGAAACTGAAAGAAGCTTTCTGAGAAACAGATTTGTGATGTGTGCATGCATCTCACAGAGTTAAACTTTTCTTTTCATTCAGCATTTTTGAAACACTGTTTTTTTAGAATCTGCAAAGAGATATTTGGTAGGGTATTGAGGCTTATGGTGAAAAGGAAAATATCTTCAGATAAAAACTAGGAAGAAGCTCAATGAGAAACTGCTTTGGGATGTGTGCATTCATCTCACAGAGTTAAACCTTTCTTTGGATTTAGCTGTTTGGAAACATTGTTTTTGTTCATTCTGTGAATGGACATGTGGGAGCTTATTGTGGCCAATGGTGATAATGTTAATATTCCAGGATAAAAACTAGAAGGAAGATATATGAGAAACTGCTCTGTGTTGTGTGCATTCATCTGACAGTGTTAAACCTTTCTTTTCATTCAGCAGTGTGGCAACATTGCTTTTGTAGAATCTGCGAAAGGATATTTGGGAACGCATTGAAGCCTATGGTGAAAAAGTGAACATAGTCAGAAAGTCAGATAAAAACTAGAAATAAGCTTTCTGAGAAACTCCTTGGTGATGTGTTCATCCATCTCACAGAGTTAAACCTTTCTTTGGGTTCAGCTGTTTGGAAGCATTGTTTTTGTCCATTCTATGAATGGACATTTGGGAGCTCTTTGAAGCCAATGGCAAAAAATGAATATGCCAGGGTAAAAATTAGAAGGAAGTTATCTGAGAAATCGACTTGTGATGTGTGCATTCTTCTCACAGAGTTAAATTTTTCTTTTCATTCAGCAGTTTGGAAACAATGTTTTCCTAGAATCTGCGAAGAGATATTTGGTAGTGCAATGAGGCCTATGGTGAAAAAGGAAATATTTTCAGATAAATACTAAGAAGAACTTTTCTGAGAGACTACTTTTTGATGTGTGGACAGAGTTAAACCTTTCCTTGTGATCAGCAGTTTGCACAAAGAGTTTTTGTCCATTCTGCAAGTGGACATTTGGGACCTCATTGAAGCCAATGGCGAAAAAGTGAATATCCCAGGATAAAAACTAGAAGGAAGTGATCTGAGATACCAATTTGTGATGTGTGCATTCATCTCACAGAATTAAAACTTTCTCTTCATTCAGCAGTGTGGAACTACTATTTTCTTAGAATCTGTGAAGAGATATTTGGTAGCACATTGAGGTCTATGGTGAGAAAGGAAATATCTTCAGATTAAAACTTAAAGAAGCTTAATGAGAAACTGCTTTGGGATGTGTGCATTCATCTCACAGAGTTAAATCTTTCTTTGGATTCAGCAGTTTCATAACACTGTTTTTGTCCATGCTGCAAATGAACATTTGGGAGCTCATTGGGGCCAAAGGCGAAAAAGCTAATATCCCAGGATAAAAACAAGAACAAAGCTATATGAGAAACTGCTTTGTGATGTGTGCACTCATCTCGCAGATTTCAACCTTTCTTTTCATTCAGCAGTTTGGAAACACTGTTTTTGTAGAATCTCTCAAGGGATATTTGGGAACACATTTAGGTCTATGGTGAAAAAGGAAATATCTTCAGATAAAAACTAGAAAGAAGCTTTCTGAGAAACTGCTTTTTGATGTGTGCATTCATCCAGCTGAGTTAAATATTTCTTTTCATTCTGCAGTTTGGAAACACTGTTTTTGTAGAATCTCTGAAGGGAAATTTGGGAGCACATTCAGGCCTAAGTGAAAAAGGAAATATCTTCATAAAAAAATTAGAAAGATTCTTTCTGAAAAACTGCTTTGTGATGTGTGCCTTCATCCAGGGTGAAAGCTTTGGAGTCAGGATTTTGGAAAGAGTTTTTGTCCATGTTGCAAAATTGACATTTGGGATCTCATTGAGGACAAGGCAAAAAAGTGAATATTCCAAAACTGTTTTTTTCCTTTCTGCGAATGTACATTTGGGAGCTCATTGAGGCCAATGGCAAAAAAGTCAATATCTCAGGATAACAACTAGAAGGAAGCTATCTGAGAAACAGTTTTGTGATGTGTGCATTCATCTAGCAACGTTAAAACTTTCTTTTCATCCAGTAGTTTGGAAAAACTGTTTTCATAGAATCCATGAAGGGATATTTGGGAGTGCATTGAATCCTACAGTGAACATTAAATACCTTCAATTGCAAATAAGAAACAAGCTTTGTGAGAAACTGCTTTGTGGTGTGTGCATTCATATCACAGTTTTAAAGCATTCTGAATGTCCCAGGTTAGAAACAAGAAGGTAGCTATCTGAGAAACAGCTTTGTGATATGTGCATTCAACACACAGTATTAAACATTTCTTTTCATTCAACAGTTGGGAAACACAGTTTTTGTAGAATCTCTGACGGGATATTTGGGAGCACCAAGTGGCCTATGGTGAAAAAGGAAAAACTTCAGATAAAAACTAGAAAGAATCTTTCTGAGAAACTGGTTTGTGATGAATGTATTCATCTCACAGAGTTAAACTTTCTTTGGATTAAGCAGTTTCAAAACACCGTTTTTGTCCATTCTGCAAATTTACATTTGGGAGCTCTTTGAGGTCAACAGCAAAAAAGCAAATATCACAGGATAAAAACTATAAGGAAGTTATCTGAGAAATCGTTTTGTGATGTGTGCATTCTTCTGAGAGAGTTAAAACTTTCTTTCCATTCAGCAGTTAGGAAACACTGTTTTCTTAAAATTTGCAAAGAGATATGTTGTAACACATTGAGGCCTACGGTGAAAAAGGAAATATCTTCAGGTTAAAACTCGAAAGAAGCGTTCTGAGAAACTGCTTTGTGATGTGTGTATACATCTCACAGATTTAAACCTTTCTTTGGATTCAGCAGTTTGGAAACACTCTTTTTGTCCATGCTGCAAATGTACATTTGGGAGCTCTTTGAGGCCAATTGCAAAAAAGTGAACATCCCAGGATAAAAACTAGAAAGAATTTATCTGAGAAACGGCTTTGTGATGTGTGCATTCATCTCACAGAGTGAAACCTTTCTTTTCATTCAGCAGTTTGGAAACACTGTTCTTGTAGAATCTGTGAAGAAAATGTGGGAGCGCATTGAGGCCTATGGTGACAAAGGAAATATATTCCTATAAAAATTAGAAAGAAGCTTTTGAGAAACTGCTTTGTGATTTTGCATTCATCTCACAGTTAAACCTTTCTTTGGATTCAGCAGTTTGGTAACACTGTTTTTTCCATCCTACTAATGGACATTGGGAGATCAGCAAAGCCCATGGGGAGAAAGAAAATATCCCAGGATAAAAACTAGAAGGAATGTATCAGAGAAAATGGTTTGTGATGTGGGAATTTATCTCACAGAGTTAAACCTTTCTTTTCATACAGCAGTTGGGAAACACGGTTTTTGTAGAGTCTGTGAAGGGATATTGGGAGCGCATTAAGGCCTATGGTAAAAAAGGAAATATCTTCTGATTAAATACTAGAAAGAAGCTTTCTGAGAAACTGCTTTATGATATTTGCATTAATCTCACAGAGATAAACCTTTCTTTGGATTCTGCAGTTGGGAAAAAGGAAGGAATATACCTGAGAAAACACTCTGTGATTTGCACATTCATTTTGCAGTGTAAAACACTTCTTTTCATTCAGCAGTTTGGAAACACTCTTTTTGTAGAATATGTGAAGGGATATTTATCAGCGCATTCAGGCCTATGGTGAAAAATGAAATATATTTTGATAAAAACGAGAAAGAAGCTTTCTGAGAAACTGCTTTGTGATGTGTTCATTCATCTCACAGAGTTAAACCTTTCTTTGGACTCAGCAGTTTGGAAACGCTGTTTTTGTCCATTCGGCAAATGGACACTTGGGGGCACATTGAGGCCAATGGCAAAAAAGCAAATATGCCAGGATAAAAACTAGAAGGAAGTTATCTGAGAAACTGATTTTTGATGTGTTCATTCATTACACAGTGAAACCTTTCTTTTCATTCAGGAGTTTGGAAACACTGTTTTCTTAGAATCTGTGAAGAGACATTTGGTAGCATTTTGAGGCCTACAGTGAAAAAGGAAATAACTTCAGATTAAAACTAGGAATAAACTTTCTGAGAAACTGCTTTGGGCTGTGTTCATTCATCTTCAGATTCAGCAGTTTGGTAACACTGTTTTTGTCCATTGTGCAAATGGACATTTGGAAGCTCATTGAAGCCAATGGCGTAAAAGCAAATATTCCGAGATAAAGCCTAGAAGGCAGCTCTCTCAGAAAACGCATTCTGATGTGTGCATTCATGTTGCAAAGTTAAACCTTTCTTTTCATTTAACAGTTTGGAAACACTGTTTTTGAAGAATCTGCAAAGGAATATTTGGGAGTGCATTGAGGCCTGTTGTGAAAAAGGAAATATCTTCAGGTAAAAAGTAGAAAGAAGCTTTCTGAAAAAATGCTTTGTGCTGTGTTCATTCATCTCAGAGTTAAACCTTTCTTTGGGTTCAACAATTTGGTCACACTGTTTTGTCCATTCTGCAAATGGACATTTGGGAGCTCATTGAGGTCAATGGCAAAAAAGCCAATATCCCAGGCTAAAAACCAGAAGGAAGATATCTGAGAAACCGCTCCGTGTTGTGTGCACTCATCTCGCAGAGTTAAACTTTTCTTTTCTTTCAGCAGTTTGGAAACATTGTTTTTGTAGAATATGCAAAGGGATATTTGGGAGCACATTGAGGACTATGGAGAATACGGGAATATATTCAGGTAAAAATTGGAAAGAAGCTCTCTGAGAAACTGCTTTGGGCTGCGTTCATTCATCTTACAGATTTAAACCTTTGTTTGAACTCAGGAGTTTGGAAACACTGTTTTTGTACATTCTGTGAATGGACGTTTGGGAGGTCATTGGGGTCAACAGTGAAAAAGGAAATATGACAGGAGAAAAACTAGAAGATATCTGAGAAAACACTCTGTGATTTGTGCATTCATCTCACAGTGTTAAACCCTTCTTTTCATTCAGCAGTTTGGAAATACTGTTTTTTAGAATCTGTGAAGGGATATTTGTCAGTGCATTGAGGCCTATGGTGAAAAAGGAAATATATTCTGATATAAACTAGAAGGTAGCTTTCTGAGAAACTGCTTTGTGATGTGTTCATTCATTGCACAGAGTTAAATCTTTCTTTGGATTCAGCAGTTTGGAAACACTGTTTTTCTCCATTCTGCGAATGGACATTTGGGAGCTCATTGAGGCCTAGGTCAAAAAAGCAAATATCCCAAGATAAAAACTAGAAGGAAGCTCTTTGAGAAAATGCGTTGTGATGTGTATATTCATCTCACAAATTTAAGCTTTTCTTTTCATTCAGCAGTTTGTAAACACTGTTTTTGTAGAATCTGCAAAGGGGTATTTGGCATTGCATTTTGACCAAAATCAAAATTGAATTTTTTTGATTCGAAAAAATTGAATATCCCTGGATAAAAACTAGATGGACGATATCTGAGAAACTGGTTTGTGATATGTGCATTCATCTAGCAGAGTTGGCAGAGTTAAACCTTTCATTTCAGTCAGCATTTTGGAAGCACTGTTTTTGGAGAATCTGTGAATGCATATTCTGGAGCACGATGAGGCATATGGTACAATGGAATTTTGTTCAGATAAAAATTCGGAAGAAGCTTTCTGAGAAACTTCATGGTGATGTTTTCATTCATCTCACAGAGTTAAACATTTCTTTGGATTCAGCAGTTTGGAACCACTGGTTTGGTCCATTCTGTGAATGGACATTTGGGAGTTCATTGAGGCCAATGGTGAAAAGTGAATATCCCAGGATAAAAACTAGAAAGAAGTTATCTGAGAAACCTATTTGTGATGAGTGCATTCATCCCATAGAGTTAAACCTTTCTTTTCATTCAGCAGTTTTGAAATACTCTTTTCTTAGAATCTGCAAAGAGATATTTTGTAGCACAATGAGGCCTATGTTTAAAAAGGAAATATCTTCAGATAGAAACCAGAAAGAACATTTCTAAGAGACTTCTTTTTGATGTGTGGATTCATCTGATGGAGTTAAACCTTTCTTTGGATTCAGAAGTTTGGTAACACTGTTTTTGTCCATTCTACCAATGGACATTTGGGAGTTCATTGAGACCAATGGCAAAAAAGCATATATCCAAGGACAAAATCTAGAAGGAAGTTATCTGAGAAACTGAACTGTGATGTCTGCAATCATCTCATCGAGTTAAACATTTCCTTTCATTCAGCAGTTTGGAAACACTGTTTCCATAGAATCAGCAAACAGACATTTGGTAGAGCATTGATGCTGAAGGGGAAAAAGGCATTATCTTCAGATAAAAAATAGAAGGAAGCTTAAAGAGAGATTGCTTTGGATGTGTGCATTAATCTCACTTTTCTTTTAATTCAGCAGATTGGTGACACTGCTTTTGTCCATTCTGCGAATGGACATTTGGGAGCTTATTGACGCCAATGGCGAAAAAGCGAATATCCCAGGATAACAAGAAGGAAGTTATCTGAGAAACCGATTTGTGATGTGTGCATTTATCTCACTGAGTTAAACCGTTCATTTCACTCAGCAGTTTGGAAGCACTGTTTTTTGGAATCTGCTAACAGATATTTTGTAGTGCATTGTGGCCTACTGTGAAAAAGGAAATATCTTCAGATAAAAAATAGAAAGAAGCTTAATGAGAAACTGCTCTTGGTTGTTTGCATTCATCTCACAGAGTTAAACCTTTCTTTGGATTCAGCAGTTTGGTAAAACTGTTTTTGTCCATTCTGTGAATGGACATTTGGGAGCTCATTGAACCAATGAAGAAAAAGCAAATATCCCAGGATAAAATCTATAAGAATGTTATTGGAGAAAAAGATTTGTGATGTGTTCATTCATCTCACAGAGTTAAACCTTTCTTTTAATTCAGCAGTTTTGAAACACTGTTTCCTTAGAATCTGCTAAGAGATATTTGGTAGTGCAATGAGGCCTATGGTGAAAAAGGAAATATCTTCAGATAAAAACTGGAAAGAACCTTTCTGACAGACACTTTTTGATGCGTGGATTCATCTCCCAAGGTTGAGCTTCTCTTTGGATCCAGCAGTTTTGTGACACTGTTTCTGTCCATTCTGTCAATGGACACTTGGGAGGTCATTGAGGCTAATGGCAAAAAAGTGAATATCCCAGGATGAAAACCTGAAGGAAGATATCTGAGAAAATGCTTTCTGATATGTGTATTCATCTCACAGTGTTAAACTTTTCTTTCCATACAGCAGTTTGGAAATACTGTTTTTGTAGAATCTGTGAAGGGATATTTGGCAGCGCATTGAGGCTTATTGTAAAAAAGGAAATATATTCAGAAAAAAACTGGAAAGAAGTTTAATCAGAGACGGCTATGGGTTGTGTACATTCATCTAACAGAGTTATAGCTTCCTTAGGATTCAGCAGTTTGGTAAGACTGTTTATGTCCATTCTGCAAATAGACATTTGGGAGCTCATTGAGTCAGTAGTGAAAAAGTGAATATCCCATGATAAAAATTAGAAGGAGGCTCTCTGAGAAACCGCTTTGTGATGCTTGCATTCATATTGCAGCATTAAACATTTCTTTTCATTCAGCAGTTTGGAAACACCTGTTTTTGTAGAATCTGCAAAGGGCTATTTGACAGTGTATTGAGGCTACTTTGAAAAAGGAAATATCTTCAGATAAAAACTAGAAACAAACTTTCTAAGAAACAGCTTTGTGATGCGTTCCTTCATCTAACAGAGTTAAACCTTTCTTTGGATTCAGCATGTGGTAACACTGTTTTTGTCCATTCTGTGAATGGACACTTGGGCGCTCACTGAGGCCAATTGGGGAGAAAGCAAATATTCCAGCATAAGAACTAGAAGGAAGCCCTCTGAGAAACTGCTTTGTGATGTGGGCATTCATCTCACAGAGTTAACCCTTTCTTTTCATTCAGCAGTTTGGAATCATTCTTTTTGTAGAATCTGTGAAGAGATATTTTGAAGCGCATTGAGGCCTACTGTGAAAAAGGAAATATCTTCAGATAAAAACTAGTAAGAATCTTAATGAGAAACTGCTTTCAGTTGTGTGCATTCATCTCACAGTGTCAAACCTTTCTTTTGATACAGCAGTTTGGTAACACTGTTTTCGTCCATTCTGTGAATGGTCATTCGGGAGCTCATTGAGGCCAAAGGTGAAAAAGTGACTACCCAGGATAAAAACTAGAAAGAGCCTTTCTGAGAAACTGCTTTGTGATGTGTGCATTCTCCCTGCAGAGCTAAACCTTCCTTTTCATTCAGCAGTTTAGAAACAGTGTTTTTGTAGAATCTGCAAAAGGATATTTGGCAGAGCATTGAGGCCTATGGTGAAAAAGGAAATATCCTCAGAGAAAACCTAGAAAGAACCTTTCTGAGAGACGACTTTTTGATGTCTGAATTCATCTAACAGAGTTAAAGCTTTCTTTGGAATCAGAACTTTGGTAAAACTGTTTTTGACCATTCTGCACATGGACATTTGGAAGCTCATTGAGGCCAATGGCAAAAAAGTGAATATCCCAGGATAAAAACTAGAAGGAAACTCTCTGAGAAACCAATTGCTGTGGTTTGCATTCATCTCCAAGAGTGAAACATTTTTTCCATACAGCAGTTTAGAAACACTGTTTCTGTAGAATCTGCGTAGGAATATTTGGCAGTGCATTGAGGCCTATGGTGAAAAAGGAAATAGCTTCAGATAAAAACTAGAAAGACACTTTCTGAGAAACTGCTTTGTGATGTGTGGATTCATCTCATAGAGTTAAATCTTTCTTTTCATTCAGCAGTTTGGAAACACTGTTTTCTTAGAAAATGCCAAGAGATATTTGGTAGTGCAATGAGGCCTATGGTTGAAAAGGAAATATCTTCAGATTAAAACTAGAAAGAAGCTTTCTGAGAAACTGCTTTGTGATGTGTGCATCCATGTCACAGAGTAGAATCTTTCTTTGGATTAGGCAGTTTGGTAACACTGTTTTAATACATTCTGCAAATGGACATTTGGGGGCTCATTGGGGCCAATGACAAAAAAGTGAATTTCCCAGGATAAAAACTAGAAGGAACATATCTGAGAAAAAGCTTTGTGAAGTGTGGATTCATCTCACAGCATTAAACCATTCTTTTCATTCAGCAGTTTCAAAACACTGTTTTTGTAGAATCTCTGAAGGGATACTTAGGAGCACGTTGAGGCCTATGGTGAAAAAGGAAATATCTTCAGAAAAAAAACTGGAAAGAAGCATTCTGAGAAACTGCTTTGTGATGGGTCCATTCAACTCACAGATTTAAACCGTTCTTTGGATTCAGCAGTTTGGAAACACTGTTTTCGTACATTCTGCGTGTGGACTTTTGGGGGCTCATTGAGGCCAATGGGGAAAAAGTGAATATTCCAGGATAAAAACAAGAAGGAAGGTATCTGGGAAACTGCTCTGCATTGTGTGTATTCACCTCGCAGAGTTAAATCTTTCTTTTCATTAAGCAGTTTGGAAAAATTGTTTTTGTAGAATCTGCGAAGGGATATTTGACAGCACATTGAAGCCTTTGGTGAAAAAGGGAACATATTCTGACAAAAAGTAGAAAGAAGCTTTCTGAGAAACCGCTATGTGGTGTTTTCATTCACCTTATATTGTTAAACTTTTTTTGGATTCAGCTGTTTGGAAACACTGTTTTTGTCCATTCTGCGAATGGATATTTGGGAGCTCATTGAGGCCAATGGTGAAAAAGTGAATATCCCAGGATAAAAACTAGAAGCATGTTATCTGAGAAACTGATTTGTGATGTGTGTATTCATCTCACATAGTTAAACTTTTCTTTTCATTCAGCACTTTGGAAACACTCTTTTTGTAGAATATGTGAAGGGATATTTGGAAGTGCTTTGAGGCCTATGGTGAAAAAGGAAATATTGTCAAATAAAAACTAGAAAGAAGCTTTCTGAGAAACTGCTTTGTGATGTGTCCATTTATCTCACAGAGTTAAACGTTTCTTTGGATTCAGCTGTATGGAAGCACAGTTTTTGTTGATTCTGTGAATGAACATTTGGAAGCTCAATCAGGCCAATGGCGAAAAAGTGAATATCCTGGGATAAAAACTAGAAGGAAGATATCTGAGAAAACCCTTTGTGATGTGTGCATTCATCTCACAGTGTTAAACCTTTCTTTTCATTCAGTAGTTTGGAAACACTGTTTTTGAAGAATCTGTGAAGAGATATTTAGAAGCACATTGAAGCCTAAGGTGAAAAAGGAAATTTCTTCAGATTAAAACTAGAGAGAAGCATGCTGAGAAACTGCTTTGTGATGTGTTCATTCATTTTACAGAGTTAAAACTTTCTTTGTATTCAGCAGTTTGGAAGCACTGTTTTTGTCCATTCTGTGAATGCACATTTGGGAGCTCATTGAGAACAATGGCGAGAAAGTGAATATCCCAGGATTAAAACTAGAAGGAATTTATCTGAGAAACCGATTTCTGAGATTTGTATTCAACTCACAGAATTAAACCTTTCTTTTCATTCAAGAGTTTGGAAACTCTGTTTTATCAGAGTCTGTGAAAAGATATTTGGTAGCACATTGAGGCCTATGATGAAAAAGGAACTATTTTCAGATAAAAACTACAAAGAAGCTTAATGAGAAACTGCTTCAGGATGTGTGCATTCATCTCACAGAGTTAACTTTTCCTTGCAGTCATCAGTTTGGTAACACTGTTTTTGTCCATTCTGCGAATGGACATTTGGGAGCTCATTGATGCCAAAGCGAAAAAGTGAATAGCCCAGGATAAAAACTAGATGGAAGCTCTCCAAGAAACTGCTTCATGATGTGTTCAGTCACCCTGCAGAGCTAAACCTTCCCTTTCATTCAGTAGTTTGGAAACAGTGTTATTTTGGAATCTGTGAAAGGGTATTTGGCAGCACATTTAGGCCTATGGTGAAAAAAGAAATATCCTCAGATAAAAACTAGAAAGAACCTTTCTGAGAGACACCTTTTGATGCGTGGATTCATCTAACAGAGTTAAAGATTTCTTTGAACTCAGCAGTTTTGTAACACTGTATTTGTCCATTCTGCAAACGGACTTTTGGGAGCTCATTGAGGCCAATGGTGAAAAAGCAAATATCCCAAGATAAAAAGTAGAAGGAAGCTCTCTGAGAAACCACAGTGTGTTGTTTGTATTCATCACCCATAGTGAAACCTTTCTTTTCATAAAGCAGTTTGGAAACAATGTTTTTGTAGAATCTGCAAAGGGATATTTGACAGCACATTGAGGCCTATGGTGAAAAAGGAAATATCTTCAGATAAAAAATTGAAAGAAGCTTTCTGAGAAACTGCTTTGTGATGTGTTCATTCTTCTCAGAGAGTTAAAACTTTCTTTGGATTCAACAGTTTGTTAACACTGTTTTTGTCCATTCTGTGAATGGACATTTGGGAGCTCATTGAGGCCAATGGTGAAAAAGCAAATATCCCAAGATTAAAACTAGAAGGAAGCTCTCTGGGAAACCACTTTGTGATGTTTGCATTCATCGCCCAGAGTTAACCATTTCTTTTCATTCAGCAGTTTGGAAACAATATTTTTGCAGAATTTGCAAAGGGATATTTGGCAGCACATTGAGGCCTATTGTGAAAAAGGAAATATCTTCTGATAAAAACTAGAAGGAAGCTTTCTGAGAAAGTGCTTCATGATGTTTTCATTCATCTCACAGAGCTAAACTATTCTTTGGATTCAGCAGTTTGGTAACACTGTTTTCTTAGTATCTGTGAAGAGATATTTAGTAGCAGAATGATGCCTATGGTGAAAAAGGAAATATCTTCAGATTAAACTAGAAAGAAACTTTCTGAGAAACTGCTTTGTGATGTGTGCATTCATCTTATAGAGTTAAAACTTTCTTTGGATTCATCAGTTTGGTAACACTGTTTTTTTCCATTCTGTAAATGAACATTTGGGAGTTCACTAAGGCTAAAGGCAAAAAAAGGAATATCCCAGGATAAAAACTAGAAGGAAGCTCTCTAAGAAACTGCTTTGTGATGTGTGCATTCATCTCGCAGATGTAAACCATCCTTTTCATTCAGCAGTTTGGAAACACTGTTTTCTTGAATCTGCGAACAGATATTAAGTAGCGCATTGAGGCCTATGGTGAAAAAGGAAATATTTTCAGATAAAAACTAGAAAGAAGCTTAACGAGAAACCTCTATGTAATGTAGTCCTTCATCTCACAGAGGTAAACATTTCTTTGCATTCAACAGTCTGAAAACACTGTTTTTGTCTATTCTGTGAATGGACTTTTAGGAGCTCATTGTGGAAAATCACGAGAAAGAGAATATCCTATGATAAAAACTAGGAGAAAGATATCTAAGAAACCACTCTTTGTTGTGGGCATTAATCTCAGAGTTAAAACTTTCTTTTCATTCAGCAGTTTGGAAAACTTTCTTTGGATTCTGCAGGTTGGTAATGCCATTTATGTCCATTCTGCGAATGGACATTTGGGATCTCATTTAGGCCATTGGTGAAAAAGCAAATATCCCAGGATAAAAACTAGAATGAAGTTATCTGAGAAATGGTTCTTTGATGTGCGGATTAAGCTCAAAGAGCTTAACCTTTCTTTTCATTCAGCAGTTTGGAAACACTGTTTTTGTAGAATCTGTGAAGGGATATTTGGCCTATGGTGAAAAAGGAATTGTCTTCAGATAAAAACTACATAAAGGCTTTCTGTGAAACTGCTTTCTGATGTGTGCATTCATCTCACAGAGTTAAACCTGTCTCTGGATTCAACAGTTTGTAAACACTGTTTTTGTCCATGCTGCAAAAGGACATTTGGGAACTCATTGAGGCCAATGGCTAAAAAGAGAATATCTCATTATAAAAACTACAAGCAAACTACCTGTGATGTGGACACTTTGAGATGTGGACACTCATCTCACAGAGTTAATCCTTTCTTTTCATTCAGCAGGTTGGAAACACTGTTTTTGTAGAATCTGTGAAAGGAAATTTGGGAGTTCATTGGGGCGTATGGTGAAAAAGAATATATATTCAGATAAAAACTAGAAGGAAGTTTACTGAGAAAGTGCTTTGTGATGTTTTCATTCATCTGACAGAGGTAAACATTTCCTTGTTTTCAGCAGTTTGGAAACACTGTTTTTGTAGAATGTGCGATCAGATATTTGGGAGTGCCTTGGGGCCTATGCTGAAAAAGGAAATATCTTCAGATAAAAACTAGAAAGAAGTTTTCTGAGAAACTGCTTTGTGACGTTTCCATTAATCTCACACAGTTAAACATTTCTTTGGATTCATCAGTTTGGAAACACTGTTTTTGTTCATTCAACTAATGGACATTTTGGAGCTCATTGAAGCCAATGGCCAAAAAGCGAATATCCCAGGATAAAAACTAGAAAGAATTTATCTGAGAGACTGATTTGTGGTGTAAACATTCATCTCACAGAGTTAAACCTTTCTTTGGATTCAGCAGTTTGGGAAAACTGTTTTTGTCCATTCTGTGAATGGATATTTGGGAGCTCCTTGAGGCCAATGGTGACAAAGTGAATATCCTAGGATAAAAACTAGAAGGAAGATATCTGAGAAACTGCTTTGTTCTGTGTGGATTTATCTCCCAGGGTTAAATATTTCTTTCAGTTCAGCAGTTTCAAAACACTTTTCTTAGAATCTGTGAAGAGATATTTTTCAGCACATTGAGGTGTATTGTGAAAAAGGAAATATATTCATATAAAAATTAGAAAGAAGCTTTCTGAGATACTGCTTTGTGATATGTGCATTCACCTTACAGAGTTAAACATTTCTCTGGATTCAGCAGTTTGGAAACACTGTTTTTGACCAGTCTGCAATCAGACATTTTGGAGCTCATTTCGGCCAGTGGTGAAAAAGCGAATATCCCAGCATAAAAACTAGAAGGAATTTATCTGAGAAACCAATTCGTGATGTGTGCTTTGAACTCACAGAGTTAAACCTTTCTTTTCATTCAGCAGTTTGGAAACACTGTTTTCTTAGAATCCACGAAGGGATATTTGGTAGTGCATTGAGTCCTAGGGTGAAAAAGGAAATATCTTCAGATAAAAACTAGAAAGAATCTTTCTGAGAAATTGCTTTGTGATGTGTGCATTCATCTCACAGAGCTAAACCTTTCTTTGAATTCTGCAGTTTACAAACAGTGTTTTTATCCATTCTGCGAATGGACATTTGGGAGCTCTTTGAGGCCAATGGTGAAAAAGTGAATATTCCAGGATAAAAACTAGAAGGATGTTATCTGAGAAACCGATTTGTGGTGTGTGCATTCATTTCACAGAGGTAAACCTTTTTTTTTCATTCACTAGTTTGGAAACACTGTTTTTGTAGAATCTGTGAGGGGATAATTGTGAGCGCAATGAGGCCTATGGTGAAAAAGGAAATATATTCATATAAAAATTACAAAGAATCTTTCTGAGAAGCTGTTTTCTGATGTGTGCATTTATCTCACAGAGTGAAAGGATTCTCTGCATTCAGCAATTTGGAATCACTGTTTTTTTCCATGCTGCAAATGGACATTCAGGAGCTCATTGTGGCCAATGGCAAAAAAACAAATATCCCATGATAAGAACTACAAGAATCTATCTGAGAAACTGCTTTGCAATGTGTGCATTCATCTCACAGAGTTAAACATTTATTTTCATTCAGTGGTTTGGAAACACTGTTTTTCTAGAATTTGTGAGGAGATAGTTCATAGGGCATTGAGGTCTGTGGTGAAAAAGGAAATATGTTGAGAAAAAACTAGAAAGAATCTTAATGATAAAGCAAATATCCCAGGATAAAAACTTGAAGGAAGATATCTGAGAAACTGCTCTGTGTTGTGTGCATTCATCTCCCAGAGTTAAACCTTTCTTTTCTTTCAGCAGTTTTCAAACATTGTTTTTGTAGAATCTGTGAAGGGATATTTTGGAGTGCATTGAGGCCTAAGGTGAAAAAGGGAATATATTCAGGTAAAAACTAGAAAGAAGCTTTCTGAGAAAATGCTTTGTGATGAGTACATTCATCTCACAGAGTTAAACCTTTCTCTGGATTCAGCAGTTTGGAAAAATTGTTTTTGTGCATTCTGAGAATGGCCATTTGGGAGCTCATTGAGGACAATGGCAACAAAATCTACACCCCAGGATAAAAACTAGGAGATATCTGAAAAACCGTGTTGTGATGTGTGCAATCATCTTACAAAGTTAAACCTTCCTTTTCATTCAGCAGTTTGGAAACATTGTTTTGCAGAATCTGCAAAGGGATATTTGGGAGTGCATTGAGGCCTATGATGAAAAAGGAATTATCTTCAGAGAAAAACTTGACAGAAGCTTTATGAAAAATTGCTTTATGATGTGGGCATTCATCTCACAGAGTTAAAACTTTCTTTTCATTTAGCAGATTGGAAACACTGTTTTTGTAGAAACATATTTTGTAGCAATATCCCTGTGAAGGGATATTTGGCAGTGCTTTGAGGCCTATGGCAAAAAAGGAAATATCTTCAGATAAAAACTACAAAGAAGCTTTCTGAGAAACAGACTTGTGATGTGTCCATTCATCTCACAGAATTAAACATTTCTTTGCTTTCAGCGGTTTGGAAACACTGTTTTTGTCCATTCAGTGAATGGACATTTGGGAGCTTATTGAGGCCAATAGCAAAAAAGTGAATATCCCAGGATAAAAACTAGAAGGAAGATATCTGAGAAACTGCTTTGTGATACGTGCATTAATCTCACAGAGTTAAATATTTCTTTTCATTCAGTTGTTTTTATACACTGTTGTTGTAGAATCGGTAATGGGATATTTGCGAGTGAATTGAGGCCTACAGTGGGAAAGGAAGTATCTTCAGATAAAAACTGGAAAGAAGCTTTCTGAGAAACTGCTTTATGACTTTTGCACACATCTCACAGAGTTAAACCTTTCTGTGTATTCAGCAGATTGGAAATCCTGTTTTTGTCCATTCGCAGAATGGACATTTAGGACCTTATTGAAGCCAATGGCGAAAAAGAGACTATCCCAGGATAAAAACTAGAAGGAAGTTATCAGAGAAACCACTTTGTGATGTGTGCATTCACCTCACAGAGTCAAACACTTCTTTCAATTCATCAGTTTGGAAACACCGTTTTCTTAGAATCTGCAAAGAGATATTTTTAGCACATTGAGGCCTAAGGTGAAAAAGGAAATATATTCATATAAAACTTAGAAAGAAGCTTTCTGAGAAACTGCTTTGAGATATGTGCATTCACCCCAAAGATTTGAAGCTTTCTTTTAATGCAGCAATTTGGAAACACTGTTTTCTTAGAATCTACAAAGAGATATTTTGTAGCACATGAAGGCCTATGGTGAAAAAAGAAATATCTTCAAATAAAAACTGTAAAGAACCTTTCTGAGAAACTGCTTTGTGATGTGTGCATTCACCTCACATAGTTAAACCTTTCTCTGGATTCAGCAGTTTGGAAACACTGTTTTTGTCTATAGTGCAAATGGACACTTGGGATCTCTTTGAGGCCAATGGTGAAAAAGTGAATATCCCAGGGTAAAAACTAGAAGGAAGATATCTGCAAAACTGTTTTGTGATTGTGCATTCATCTCACAGAGTTAAACTTTTCTTTCAATTCAGCAGTTTCAAAACACTGATTTCTTAGAATCTCTGAAGAGTTATTTTGCATTGCCTTGAGGCCTATGGGGAAAAAGGAAATATATTCATATAAAAATTAAAAAGAAGCTTTTTGAGAAACTGCTTTGTGATATATGCATTCACCTAACAGAGTTAAACTTTTCTCTGGTTTTGGAAGTTTGGAAACACTGTTTTTGTCTATTCTGCAAACGGACATTTGGGGACTCATTGAGGCCAATGGCAAAAAAGGGAATATCCCAAGATAAAAACTACAAGGAGTTTACCTGAGAAACCTATTTGTGATGTGTGCATTCATTTCACAGAGTTAAACCTTTCTTTTCATTCAGCAGTTTGGAAACACTATTTTCTTAGAATCTGCAAAAAGATATTTAGTAGTTCATTGAGGCCAACTGTGAAAAAGGAAATATCTTCAGATAAGAACTAAAAAGAACCTTTCTGTGAAAATGCTTTGTGATGTGTTCATTCATCACAGAGTTAAAAATTTCTCTGGATTCAGCAGTTTGGAAACACTGTTTTTGTTCATGCTGCAAATGGACATTCGGGAGCTCATTGAGGCCAATGGCAAAAAAGAAAGTATCTCATGATAAAAACTACAAGGAAGCTATCTGAGAAACCACTTTGGGATGTGGGTATTCATCTCACAGAATTAAATCTTTCTTTTCATTCTGCAGTTTGGAAACAGTGTTTTTGTAGAAACTGCGAAGGGGTATTTGGGAGCGCATTGAGGCCTAAGGTGAAAAAGAATATATGTTCAGATGACAACTAGAAAGAAGTTTTCTGAGAAACTCATTTGTTTTGTGTGGATTTGACTCACAGAATTTAACCTTTCTTTGGATTCAGCAGTTTGGAAACACTGTTTTTGTCCATTCTGTGAATGGACATTTGGGAACTCATTGAGGCCAATGGCAAAAAAGCGAATATCACAAGACAAAAACTAGAAGGAAGTTATATGACAAACCGATTTGTGATGTGTGCATTCAACACACAGAGTTAAAGCTTACTTTTAATTAAGCAGTTTGGAAACACTGTTCTCTTAGAATCTTCAAAGAGATATTTTGTAGCACATTGAGGCCTATGGTGAAAAAGGAAATATCTTCAATTAAAAACTAGAAAGAAGCTTTTTGAGAAACTGCTTTGTGATATGTGCATTCATCTCACAGAGTTAAACCTTTCACTGGATTCAGCAGTTTTGTAACACTCTTTTTGTCTATAATGCAAATGGACATTTGGGAGCTCATTGAGGCCAATTGCAAAAAAGTGAATATCCCAGTATAAAAACTAGAAGGAAGATATCTAAGAAACTGCTTTGTGATGTGTGCCTTCATTTCACAGAATTTAACATTTCTTTCAAATCAGCAGTTTCGAAAACACTGTTTTCTTAGAAGAGATATTTTGAAGTACAGTGAGGTCTATGGTCATAAATATATTCATATAAAAATTAGAAAGAAGCTTTCTAAGAAAAACTGCTTTGTGATGTGTGCATCCAGCACACAGAGTTAAACATCTCTCTGGATTCAGCAGTTTGGAAACACTGTTTTTGTCCATTCTGCAAACGGACACTTTGGAGCTCATTGTGGCCAACGGCGAAAAAGCGAATATCTCAGGATAAAAACTAGAAGCACGTTATCTGAGAAACCGATTTGTGATATGTGAATTTACCTCACAGAGTTAAACCTTTCTTTTTGTTAAGCAGTTTTGAAGCACTGTTTTGTTAGACTATGTGAAGAGATATTTTGTGGTGCATTGAGTCCTATGGTGAAAAAGGAAATATATTCAGATAAAAACTAGAAAGAACATTTCTGAGAAACTGCTTTGTGATGTGTGTATTCACCTCACAGAGTTAAACCTTTCTTTGCATTAGCAGTTAGGAAACACTGTTTTTCTTCATTCTGTGAATGGACATTTGGGAACTCATTGAGGCCAATGATGAAAAAGTGAATATCGCAGGATAAAATCTAGAAAGAAGATATCAGATAAACCGCTATGTATGTATTGTGTGCATTCATCTTACAGAATTAAATATTTCTATTCATTCAGCAGTTTGAAAACACTGTTATTTTAGAATCTGTGAGGGAATATTTGGGAGCACATTGATTCTTATGGTGAGAAAAGAAATATCTTAAGATAAAAATTAGAAGGAATCTCTCTGTGAAACTGCTTTGTGATGTGTGCATTCATTTCACAGAGTTAAACATTCTTGGCATGCAGCAGTTTGGAAACACTGTTTTTGTACATTCTGCAAATGGACATTTGGGAGCTCATTGAAGCCAATGGTGAAAAAGTCAATATCCCAGGATAAAAACTTCAAGGAAGCTATCTGAGAAACCACTTTATGATGTGTGCATTCATCTCACAGAGTTAAACCTTTACATTCATCTGTTTGGAAACACAGTGTTTGTACAATCTGCGAAGGAATATTTGGGAGCACATTGAGGCCTATGGTGAAAAAGGAATTATCTTCAGATGAAAACCAGAAAGAAGCCTTCTGAGAAATTGTTTTGTGATTTTTGCATTCATCTCACAAATTCAACCTTTCTTTGGATTCAGCAGTATGGAAACACTGTTTTTGTGTATGCTGTAAATGGACATTTGAGAGATCATTGAGGCCACTGGCGAAAAAGCGAATATCCCAGGATAAAAATTTGAAGGAAGTGAACTGAGAAACTGATTTGTGATGTGTGCATTCATCGTACAGAGTTAAACCTTTCTTTTCATTGAGCTGTTTGGAAACACTGTTTTCTTAGAATCTGCAAAGAGATACTTGGTAGCTCATTGAGGCCTATGGTGAAAAAGGAAATACCTTCAGATACAAACTAAAAAGAAGATTTCTGAGAAACTGCTTTGTGATGTGTGCATTCATCTCACAAACTTAAACCCTTCTTTTCATTCAGCCATTTGGAAACACTTTTTGAAGAATCTGCAAAGGGATATTTGGGAGTTCAATGAGGTCAGTGGTGAAAAAGGAAATATCTTCAGATAAAAACCAGAAAGAAGCTTTCAGAGAAATAGCTTTGTGATGTGTACATTCATCTCACAGACTTAAAGCTTTCTTTGGATTCAGCAGTTTGGAAACACTGTTTTTGTTCATTCTGTGAAAGGACATTTGGGAGTTCATGGAGGCCAAAGGCAAAAAAGTTGGTATCTCAGGGTAAAAACTAGAAGGAGGCTATCTGAGAAACTGCTTTCTGATGTGTGCTTTCATATTACAGATTTAAACCTTTCTTTTGGTTCAGTGGTTTGGAAACACTGTTTTCCTAGAATCTGTGAAGGGATATTTGGTAGCACATGGAGGCCTATGGTGAAAAAGGAAATATCTTCAGATAAAAACTAGAAAGAAGCTTTATGAGAAACTGCTTTGTAATGTGTCCATTTATCTCAAAGATAATCCTTTCTTTGGATTCAGCAGTTTGGAAATACTGTTTTGGTAGAATCTAAGAATGGACCTTTGGGTGCTCATTGAGGCCCACGACAAAAAAGTGAACATACCAGAATAAAAAATAGAAGGAAGTTGTTTGATAAACCACTTTGTGATATGTGCACTCATCTCACAGAATAAAAACTTTCTTTTTATTCAGCCGTTTGGTAATACTGTTTTTGTAGAATCTGTGAAGGGATAATTGGTAGCGCAAAATGCCTAGAGTGAAAAAGGAAATATCTTTGGATAAAAACTAGAAAGACAATTTCTGAGAAACTGCTGTGTTATGCTTGCATTCATCTCACAGAGTTAAAGCTATCTTTGGATTCAGCAGTTTGGAAACACTGCTTTTCCCATTCTGGAAATGGACATTTGGGAGCTCATTGAGGCAAATGGTGAGAAAAGGATTATCCCAGGTCAAAATTAGAAGGTAGCTATCTGAGAAACCGGTTTGTGATGTGTGCATTCATCTCACACAGTTAAAACTTTCTTTTTATTCAACAGTTTGGAAACACTGTTTTTGTAGAATCTGTCAAGGGATATTTTTGAGCATATTGAGGCCTTCAGTAAAAAAGGCAATATATTCATGTAAAAATTTGGAAGAAGCTTTCTGAGAAACTGCTTTGTGATGTGTGCCTTAATCTCATAGAGTTAAACTTTTCTTTGGTTTCAGCAATTTGGAAAGACTGTTTTTGTCCATTCTGTGAATGGACATTTGGGAGCTCATTGAGGCCAAAGTTGAAAAAGATAATATCCCGGGGTAAAAAATAGTAGGAAGCTATCTGAGAAACCGTTTTGTGATATGTGCATTCATGTCACAGAGTTAAATCTTTCTTTACATTCAGCAGTTTGGCAACACTGTTTTTGTAGAATCTGTGAAGGGATATTTGAGACTGAAATGAGGCCTATGGTGAAAAAGGAAATATATTCAGATTAAAACTAGAAAGAAGCTTTCTGAGAAACTGCTTTCTGATGTATACATTCATCTAACAGAAGTAAACATTTCTTTTTATTCAGTAGATAGGAAACACAGTTTCTGTAGAATCTGAGAATGGACATTTCAGAGCTCATTGATGCCATTTCCAAAAAAGTGAATATCCCAGAATAAAAAATAGAAGGAGGCTCTTTGAGAAACCGCTTTGTGATGTGAGCATTCATCACACAGAGTTAAAATTTTCTCTTCATTCAGCAATATGTAAACACTGTTTTCATAGAATCAGCAAAGGTATAATTGGTAGTGCATTGAGGCCTAAGTGGAAAAATACATTTTTTCAGATAAAAATGAGAAAGAAGCCTTCTGAAAAACTGCTTTGTGAGATGTGCATTCATCTCACATAGTTAAAACTTTCTTGGATTCAGCAGTTTGGAAACACTGTTTTGTCCATTCTGCAAATGGGCATTTGGGAGCTCATTGAGGTCAGTGGTGAAAAAGAAAATATCCCAGGATAAAATTAGAAGGAAGCTATATGAGGAACCACTTTGTGATGTGTGCATTCATCTCACAGTGAAAATTTTCTTTTCATTCAACAGTTTGGAATCACTGCTTTTATAGAATCTGTGAAGGGATATTTTGGAGCACATTGAGTCCTATGTGGAAAAAGGAAATATATTCATGTAAAAATTTGAAAGAAGTTCTCTGAAACGTCTTTGTGATGTGTGCATTCATGTCACAGAGTTAAATCTTTGTTTTCATTCAGCAGTTAGGAAACACTGTTTTTGTAGAATCTGTGAAGGGATATTTGAGAGCGAATTGAGGCCTATGGTGAACAAGGAAATATATTCAGATAAAAACAAGAAAGAAGCTTTTGGAGAAACTGCTTTGTGATTAGTACAATCATTTCACAGAAGTAAATATTTCTGTTTGTTCTGCAGTTAGGAAACACAGTTTTTGTAGAATGTGAGAATGGACATTTGGGAGCTCACTAAGGCCAATTCTGAAAAAGTGAATATCCCATGATGAAAACTGGAAGGGGGCTTTCTGAGAAACCGTTTTGTGATGTATGCATTCATCACACAGATTTAAAACTATGTTTTCTTTAGGCAATATGGAAAAACTGTTTTTTGCAGAATTGGCAAAGGGATAATTGGTAGTGCATTCAGGCCTATGGGGGAAAATAAATATTTTCAGAAAAATATTAGAAAGAAGCTTTCTGAAAAACTGATTTGTGAGGTGTGCATTCATTTCACAGAGTTAAGGTTTTCTTTGGATTCAGCGGTTTGGAAACAATATTTTTGTCCATTTGGCGAAAGGACATTTGGGGGCTCATTGAGGTCAAAGGTGAAAAAGTGATTATCACGGGATAAAAACTAGAAGGAAGATATCTGAGAAACAGGTTGTGATGTGTGTATTCATCTGGCAGAGTTAAAAGTTACTTTTCATTCAACAGTGTGAAAACACTGTTTTTGTAGTCTCTGCAAAGTGATATTTGGGAGCACATTGAGGCCTATGGTGAAAAAGGAAACATCTTCAGATAAAAACTAGAAAAAAGCTTTCTAGAAAAAGTTTCTGAGAAACTGCTTTGTGATGTGTACATTCATGTCACAGCAGTAAACATTCCTATTCATTCTGCAGTTTGGAAAAACCGTTTTTGTAGAATCTGAGGATGGAATTTTTGGAGCTCAATGAGGCCAAAGGTGAAAAAGTGAATATCCCAGTATAAAAAGTAGAAGGAAGCTATCTGAGAAGCAGCTCTGTTATGCGTGCATTCATCTTGCAGAGTTACACTTTTCTTTTCATTCAGCATTTTGAAAATGCTGTTTTTGTAGTATCTGCAAAGGGATATTTGGGTGCACATTGAGGCCTATACTGAAAAAGAATATAAGTTCAGATATAAACTAGAAGGAAGTTTTCTGACAAACTGATTTGTGATGCTTGCATTCATCTCACAGAGTAAAAAATTTTTTACATTCAGCAGTTTGGAAACACTGTTGTTGCCCATTCTGTGAATGGACATTTGGGAGCTTATTGAGGCCTACAGTGAAAAAATGAATCACCAGGATAAAAACTAGAAGAAAGCTTTCTGAGAAACTGCTTTGTGATGTATGCATTCATCTCACAGAATTAAAACTTTCTTTTCATTCAGGAGTTTGGAAACACTGTTTTTGTAGAATCTGCAAAGGGATATTTGGGAGTGCATTCAGGCCTATGGTAAAAAAGGAACTATCTTCAGATAAAAACTAGAAAGAAGCTTTCTGACTAACTGCTTTGTGGTATGTGCATTCATCTCACAGAGTTAAGTTTTTCTTTGAATTCTTCACTTTGGAAACACTGTTTTTGTCCATTCTGCGAACGGACAATTGGGAGTTCATTGAGGCCAATGGTAAAAAAGCGAATGTCCTAGGATAAAAACTAAAAGGAAGCTATCTTGTAAACTGCTTTGTGATGTGTGCATTCATCTCACAGAGTTAAACCTTTCTCTTCATTCAGCCGTTTGGCAGCACTGCACAGAATCTGTGAAGGGATATTTAGAAGCCCATTGAGGCCTACAGTGAAAAAGGAAATAACTTCAGATAAGAACTCATAAGAAGCTTTCTGACAAACTGCTTTGTGAGGTGTGCATTCCTCTCACATAGTTAAAGCTTTCTTTGGATTTAGCAGTTTGGAAACACTATTTTTGTCCATTCTGTGAATGGATATTTGGGAGCTCACTGAGGAAAATTCCATAAAAGCACATATCACAGTATAAAAACTAGAAGGAAGCTAACTGAGAAACTGCTTTGTGAAGTGTGCATTCATCTTGTAGAGTTGAACTTTTTTTTTCATTCAGCAGTTTGGAAACACTGTTTTTGTAGAATCTGCAAAGGGATATTTTGGAGCACAGTGTGGCCTATGGCAAAAAAGGAAATATCTGCATATAAAAATTAGAAAGAAGCTTTCTGACATACTGCTTTGTGACGTGTGCATTCATCTCACCGAGTTAAGCTTTTCTTTGGATTCAGGAGTTTGGAAACACTGTTTTTGTCCTTTCTATGAATGGACATTTGTGAGCTCATTGAGGCCAAAAGCAAAAAAGCGAATATCCCAGGATAAAAATAAGAAGAAAGCTATCTCAAAAACTGCTTTGTGATGTGCACATTCATATCACAGGGTTAAAACTTTCTATTTTTTCAGCAGTTTGGAAACACTTTTTTTGAAAAATCTGTGAATGGACATTTGGGAACACATTGAGGCTTAGGGTGAAAAAGGAAATATCTTCATATAAAAACTAGAAGGAAGCTATCTGTGAAACTGCTTTTTGATGTGTGCATTCATCTCACAGAGGTAAACATTTCTTTTCATTCAGCAATTTGAAAACACTGTTGTCTAGAATCTGCGAAGGGATATTTGGTAGCGCACTGATTCCTATGGGGAAAAATAAATATTTTCAGAGAAAAACTACAAAGAAGCTTTCTCAGAAAATGCTTTGTAATGTGTGCTTTCATCTCACAGAGTTAAACTTTTTTTTTTTTTATTTCAGCAGTTTGGAAACACTGTTTTCATCCATTCTCCGAATGGACACTTTGGAGCTCATTAAGGCCAACGGACAAAAAGTGAATATCCCAGGAAAAAAGTACAGGAAAGCTATCTGAGAAACCCCTTTTTGATATGTGTATTCGTCTCCAAGATTTAAACATTTCTTTTCATTCAGCAGTTTGGAAACACTGTTTTTATAGAATCTGCGAAGTGATATTTGGGAGGGCTTTGAAGCCTATGGTGAAAAACAATTTTATTTAAATAAAAACTACAACTAAGCTTTCTGAGAAACTGCTTTGGATGTGTGCCTTCATCTCACAGTGTTAAACCTTTTTTGCATTCAGCAATTTGGAAACACTGATTTTGTCCATTCTGCAAGTGGACTTTTGGAAGCTCTTTGACACCAAGGGTGAAAGAGCGAATATCCCACAATTAAAAACCAGAAGGAAGCTATATGAAAAACAGCTTTGTGAGGAGTGCATTCATCTGGCAGAGTTAAAACTTTGTTTACATCCAGCTGTTTGGAAAAACTGTTTTTGCAGAATCTGCAAAGGGATATTTATAGCACATTGAGGCTTATGTTGTCAAAGGAAATATCTTCATATGAAAACTAGAAGGAAGCTATCTGTGAAACCACTTTGTGACATGTGCATTCATCTCACAGAGGTAAAACTTTCTTTGGATTCAGCAGTTTGGAAACACTGTTTTTGTGCATTCTGTGAAGGGACATTTTGGAGCTCACTGAGGTGAATGGCAAAAAAGCAAATATTCCTGGATAAAAACTAGAAGGAAGATATCTGAGAAATTGCTTTGTCATGTGTGCTTTTATCTCACTGAGCTAAACCTTTCTTTTCATTCAGCAGTTTGGAACATTATTTTTGCACAATCTGTCAGGGGATACTTGGGAGCACATTGAGTCCTATGGTGAAAAAGGTAATATTTTCATATAAAAATTAGAAAGAAATTTTCTGAGAAACTGCTTTATGATGTGTGCATTCGTCTGACAGAGGTAAACCTTTCTTTGGATTGAGCAGTTTGGAAACCCTGTCTTTATCCATTCTGTGAATGGACATTTGTGAGCTCATTGAGGCCAAAGGCAAAAAAGTGAATATCTCCGCTTACAAACTAGAAGGAAGCTATCTGAGATACTGCTTTATGATGTCTGCATTCATCTTGCAGACATAAACTTTTCTTTTAATTTAGCTGTTTTGAAACTCTGTTTTTGTGGAATCTGTGAAGGGATATTTGGGAGCTCATTGAGGCCTATGGTGAAAAAGCAAATACCTTGAGATTAAAACTAGAAAGGAGCTTTCTGGGAAACTGCTTTGTGATGTGTGCATTCGTCTCACAGAGGTAAACTTTTCTTTGGTTTCAGCAGTTTGGAAACACCGTCTTTATACATTCTGTGAATGGACATTTGTGAGCTCATTGAGGCCAATGGTGAAAAACCAAATATATCAGGATGAAAACTATAAGGAACCAATCAGAGACACTGCTTTTTGATGTGTGCATTCTTCTCACAGAGTTAAAGCTTTCCTTTCATTCAGCAGTTTGGAAACACTGTTTTTTTAGAATCTGCAAAGGGATATTTAGGAGGGCATTGAGGCCGATGGTGAAAAAGAAAATATCTTCAGATAAAAAGTAGAAAAAAGTTTTCAGAGAAACTGCTTGTTGAGGTGTGCATTCATTTCACAGAATAAAAACTTTCTTTGGATTCAGCAGTTTGGAAACACTGTTTCTGTCCACTTTGCAAGTGAACATTTGGGAGCTCTTTGAGGCTGATGGTGAAAACCAGAATAATCCAGGATAAAAACTAGAAGGAAGCTATCTCAGAAAATTCTTTGTGATGTGTGCATTCATGTCTTAGAGTTAAAAATTTTTTCATTCAGCAGCTTGGAAACACTGTTTTTCTAGAATCTGCGAAGGGATATTTTGGAGTGCAGTCAGGCCTATGATAAAAAGGGAAATATCTTTAGATAAAAACTAGAAAGAAGCTTTCTGAAAAAATGCTTTGTGATTATTTCATTCATCTCCCACATTTAAATATTTCTTTGCATTCAGCTGTTTGGAAACACTGTTTTTGTCCATTCTGCGAATTGACATTTTGGAACTAGTTGAGGCCAATGGCGAAAAAGTGAATATACCAGGATAAAAACAGAAGGAAGCGATCTGAAAAGCCGCTTTTTGATGTGTGTATTCAACTCACAGAGTTAAACCTTTCTTTACAATCAGCAGTTTGGATACACTGTTTTTATAGAATCTGTGAAGTGATATTTGGGAGCTCACTGAGGCCAATTGTGAAAAGGTGAATATCCCAGGACAAAAGATAGAAGGAAGATATCTGAGAAACAGAATTGTGATGTGCACATTCACCTCATAGAGTTAACACTTTCTTTTCATTCAGCAGTTTGGAATCACAGTTTTTGTAGAATATGTGTAGGGATGTTTGGGAGCACCTTGAGGCCTGTGGTGAAAAAAGAAGTATCTTCATATAAAAATAGACAGAAGCTTTCTGAGAAACCACCTTGTGATGTGTACATTCATCTCTAAGTGTTAAAACCTTCTTTGGATTCAGCAGTTTGGAAATTCTGTTTCTGTACATGTGGCAAATGAACATTTGGGAGCTCTTTGAGGCCAGTGTCAAAAAAGGGAATATCCCAGGATAAATACTGGAAGGAAGCTATCTGAGAAAACACTATGGGATGTGTGAATTTATCTCATATAGTTAAACCTTTCTTTTCATTCAGGAGTTTGGAAACATTGTTTTTGTAGAATCTGTGAAGGGATATTTTGGAGCACATTGAGGCCTAGGGTGAAAAAGGAAATGTCTTCAGTTAAAAACTCAAAATAATCTTTCTGAGAAACTGCATTGTGATGGGTTCATTCATCTCAAAGACTTAAACCTTTCTTTAGATTCAGCAGTTTGGAAACACTGTTTTTGTCCATTCTGTGAATGGACATTTGGGAGCTAATTGAGGCAAATAGCAAAAAAGTGATATCGATCTTTAAAACTAGAAGGAAGATGTCTGAGAAACCACTTTGTGATGTGTGCATTCATCTCACAGAGTTAAACATTTCTTTTTGTTCAGCAGTTTGGAAACACTGTTTTTGTAGAAACTGTGAAGGGATATTTGGGAGCACATAGAGGCCTATGGCAAAAAAGTGAATTTCCCAGGATAAAAACTAGAAGGAAGATATCTGAGAAACCTCTTTGTGATGTGTCCATTCATCACACAGAGTTAAACTTTTCTTTCGATCCAGCAGTTTGGGAACTTTGTTTTTGCCCATGCTGCAAGTGAACATGTTGAAGGTCTTTGAGGCCAAAGGTGAAAAAGAGAATATCCCAGGATAAAAACTACAAGGAGGCTATCTGACAAACCACTTTGTGATGTGTTCATTCATATCAAAGGGTAAAACTTTTGTTTTCATTCACCTGTTTGGAAACACTGTTTTTGTAGAATCTATGAAGGGATATTTGGGAGCAAATTGAGTCCTAAAGTGAAAAAGGAAATATCTTCATATAAAAATTAGAAGGAAGCTTTCTGAGAAACTGCTTTGTGATGCTTACATTTAACAAAATGTTAAAACTTTGATTGGATTCAGCAGTTTGGAAAGACTGTTTTTGTCCATGCTGCAAGTGGACATTTGAATGTTCATTGAGGCCAATGGCGAAAAAGCAAATAACCAAGGATAAAAACTAGAAGGAAGCTCTCTGAGAAACTGATTTGTGATGTGTGCATTCATCTCGCAGTATTAAATCTTTCTTGTCATTCACCAGTTTGGAAGTACTGTTTTTGTAGAATCTGCAAAGGGATATTTAGGAGCACATTGAGGCCTTTGGTGAAAAATGAAATATCTTCAGATAAAAACAAGAAATAAGCTTTCTGAGAAACTGCTTTGTGATGTGTTCATTCATCTCACTGATTTAACACTTTCTTTGGATACAGCAGTTTTGTCCATTCTGCAAATGGACTTTTGGGAGCTCTTTGAGGTCAATGGCAAAAAAGGAAATATCCCAGGATACAAACTAGAAGGAAGCTATCTGAGAAACTGCTTTGTGATGTGTGTATTCATCTTGCAGCGTTAAACACTTATTTTTATTCAGCAGTTTGGAAACACTGTTTTTGTCCACTCTGCAAATGGACATTTGTGAGCTCATTGAGGCCAATTATGAAAAAGTGAATATCCCAGGATAAAAACTAGAAGGAACCTATCTGAGAAACTGCTTTGTGATGTGTGCATTTATCTCACATATTTACACCTTTCTTTTCTTTCACCAGCTTTGAAACACTGTTTTCATAGAATGTGTGATGGGATATTTGGTAGCACATTGAGGCCTATGGTGAAAACAGTAATATCTTCAGATGCAAACTAGAAACATGATTTCTCAGAAACTGATTCATGTTGTGTGCATTCATATAACAGAGGTAAACCTTTCTTTGGATTCCACGGTTTGGAAAAAGTTTTTGTCCATTCTGCAAATGGACATTTTGCAGCTCCTTGAGGCCAATGGTGAAAAAGTGAGTATCCCAGGATAAAAAGCAGAAGGGAGCTATCTGAGAATCCTGTTTATGATGTGTGTGTTCGTCTTGCCGAATTAAACATTTGTTCTCTTTCATCTGTTTGGAAACACTGTTTTTGTAGATTCTGTGAAGGGATATTTGGGAGTGCATTGAGGACTATGCAGAAAAAGGAAATAACTTCATATAAAAACTAGAAAGAAGCTTTCTGATATACTGCATTGTGATGTGTGCATTCGTCTCACAGAGTTAAAACTTTTTCTGGATTCAGAGGTTTGGAAACACTGTTTTTGTCTATTCTGTGAATGGACACTTGGGAGCTCATGGAGGCCAGTGGTGAAAAAGTGAATATCCCAGGACAAAAACTAGAAGCACGTTATCTGAGAAACCAATGTGAGTTGTGTGCATTCATCATCTCACAGAGTTAAATCTTTCTTTTCATTCAGCAGTTTGGAAACACTGTTTTCTTAGAATCTGCCAAGAGATATTTGGCAGTGCAATGAGGCCTACGGTTGAAAAGGAAATATGTTCAGATTAAAACTAGAAGGAAGCTTTCTGAGAAACTGCTTTGAGATGTGTGCATTCATTCACCTCACAGAGTTAAACCTTTCTTTGGGTTCAGCAGTTTGGTAACACTATTTTTGTCCATTCTGCGAATGGTCATTTGGAAGCTTATTGAGGCCAATGATGAAAAAGTGAATTTTCTAGGATAAATACTAGAAGGAAGATATCAGAGAAACTGCTTTGTGACATCTGCATTCATCTCACAGTGTTAAACCTTTCTTTTCTTTCAGCAGTTTGGAAACACTGTTTTCTTAGAATCTGTGAAGTGATACTTGGGATCTCATAGAGGCCTAGGGTGAAAAAGGAAATATCTTCAGATAAAAACTAGAAAGAAGCTTAATGAGAAACTGCTTTGTGATATGTTCATTCATCTCACAGAGTTAAAACTTTGGATTCAGCAGTTTGGTAACACTGTTTTCGTCCATTCTGTGAATGGACATTTGGGAGCTCATTGAGGCCAATAGCGAAAAAGTGAATATCCCAGGATAAAAATTAGAAGGAAAATATCTGAGAAAACGCTCTGTGATGTATGCATTCATCTTGCAGTGTTAAATCTTTCTTTTCCTTCAAAAGTTGGGAAACACTGTTTTTCTGGAATCTGTGAATAGATATTTTGCAGCACATTGAGGCCTATGGTGAAAAAGGAAATATCTTCTGATAAAAATTAAAAGCTTTCTGAGAAACTGCTTTGTAACTTGTTCATTCATCTCAGAGAGTTAAACCTTTTTTGGATTCTGCATTTTGGTAACAGTGTTTTCGTCCATTCTGCGAATGGACATTTAGGAGCTCATTGAGGCCAGTGGCAAAAAAGCAAGTATCCAAGGATGAAAACTAGAAGGAAGGTATCTGAGAAACCGTTCTGTGTCATGCGCATTCATCTCACAGAGGTAAAACTTTCTTTTTATTCAGAAGTTTGGAGACATTGTTTTTGTAGAATCTGTGAAGGGATATTTGGGAGCAAATTGAGGTCTATGGGGAAAAGGAATATTTTCAGGTAAAAACTAGAAAGAAGCTTTCTGAGAAGCTGCTTTGTCATGTGTTCATTCATCTTACAGAATTAATCCATTCTTTGGATTCAGCAGTTTGGAAATCCTGTTTTGTCCATTCTGTGAATGGACATTTGGGAGCTCTTTGACACCAATGTCAATAAAGTGAATACACAGGATAAAAACTAGAAGCACGTTATATGAGAAACTGATTTGTGATGTGTGCATTCACGTCACAGAGTTAAAATTTCTTTTCATTCAGAAGTTTGGAAAATCTCTTTTTGTAGAATATGTGAAAGGATATTTGGAAGCACATTGAGGCCTAATTTGAAAAAGCAAATATCTTCAAATAAAAACTAGAAAGAAGCTTTCTGGGAAACTGCTGGGTGATGTGTTCATTCACCTCACAGAGATAAACATTTCATGGGATTCAGGAGTTTGGAACTGCTGTTTTGGTCCCTTCTGCAAATGGACATTTGGGTGCTCATTGAGGCCAATGGTGAAAAAGCAAATATCCCAGGATGCAAAGTAGAAGGAAGATCTCTCATAAAACGCTTTCTGATGTGTGCATTCATCTCACAAAGTTAAACCTTTCTTTTCATTCAGCAGTTTGGAAACACTGTTTCTGTAGAATCTGCAAAGGGTTATTTGGCAGCGCATTGAAGCCTATAGTGAAAAAGGAAATATATTCAGATAAAAAGTAGAAAGAACCTTTCTGAGAGACTACTTTTTGATGTGTGGGTTCATCTCACAGAGTTAAACCTTTCTATGGATTTAGAAGTTTGGTAACAGTGTTTTTGTCCTTTTTGCCAATGGACATTTGGGAGCTCGCTGAGAGCAATAGCAAAAAAGTGAATATCCCAGCATGAATTCACACATCACAAAGCGGTTTCTCGGATAACTTCCTTCTAGTTTTTATCCTGGGATATTTGCTTTTTCGCCAATGGCTTCCATGCATTCCCAAATGTCCATTCGCAGAATGACCAAAAACAGTGTATCCAAAATGCTGAATCCAAAGAAAAGTTTAACTTTGTGAGATGAATGAACACTTCACAAAAGAGTTTCTCAGAAAGGTTCTTTCTAGTTTCTGTCTGAAGATATTTCCTTTTTCATCCCAGGCCTCAATGCACGGCCATATATTCCTTCACAGATTCTACAAAAACATTGTGTCCAAACTGCTGAATGAACAGAAAGGTTTAACTCTGTGACATGAATTCACACACGACAAAGTGGTTTCTCAGTTAGCTTCCTTCCAGTTTTTCTAATGGAATATTCACTTTTTGGCCATTGGCATCAATGAGCTCCAAAATGTCCAGCGCAGAATGAACAAAAACAGTGTTACCAAAATGTCAAATGTAAAGAAAGGTTTAGTTTAACTCTGTGAGATGAATGCACTCATTCCCACGCAGTTTCTCATTAAGCTTCCCCCTGGTTTTTATTGGAAGATATTTCCTTTTTCACCATAGGTCTAATTGCGCTACAAAATATCTCCTCACAGATTCTAAGAGAACAGTGTTTCTAAACTGCTGAATGAAGAAAAGGTTGAAGTCTGTGAGATGAATGCATGATCACAAATCAGTTTCTCAGATACCTTAATTCTAATTTTTATCCTGGGATATTCAATTTTTCGCCATTGACCTCAATGAGCTCCAAAATGTCCATTCACGGAATGGACAAAAACAGTGTTTCCAAACTGCTGAATGGAAAGAAAGGTTTAATTCTGTGAGATGAATGCACACATCACACATCAGTTTCTCAGATAACGTGCTTCAAGTATTTTTTTCCTTGGATATTTGCTTTTTCACCATTGGCCTCAAAGATGTCCCAAATGTCCATTGGCAGAATGGACAAAAATAGTGTTTCCAAGTTGCTGAATCCAGAAAAAGTTTTATCTCTGTGAGATGAGTCAACACATCCCCAAGCAGTTTCTCAGAATGCTTCTTTCTAGTTTTTATCTGAATATATTTCCTTTTTCAACATAGGTCTCAATGTGCTACAAAATATCTCTTTGCAGATTCTAAAAAACAGTGCTTCAAAACTGCTGAACGAAAAGAAAGGTTTAACTCTGTGAGATGAATGCACACATCACAAAGCATTTTCTCAGTCATCTTCCCTCTAGTTTTTATTCTGGGATATTGGCTTTCTCACCATTGACCTCAATGAGCTCCAAAATGTGCTTTCACAGAATGGACATAAACAGTGTTTCTAAACTACTGAATCCAAAGAAATGTTTAACTCTGTGAGTTGAACGCACACATCCCAAAGCAGTTTCTCATTAAGCTTCTTTCCAGTTTTTATCTGAAGTGATTTCCTTTTTCACCATAGGTCTCCATGCGCTAGCAAATACCTCTTTGCAGATTCCACAAAAACAGTATTTCCAATCTACTGAATGAAAAGAAAGGTTTAACACTCTGAGACGAATGCTCACGTTACATATTTCTTTCTCTGATACCTTCCTTCTAGTTTCTCTCCTGGGATATTCACTTTTTCACCAATGACCTCAAAGAACTCCAAAAAATGGACAAAAACAGTGTTTCCAAACTGCTGAATCCAAAGAAAGGTTTAACTCTGTGAGATGAATGAACACATCAGGAAGGATTTTCTCAGAAACCTTCTTTCTAGTTTTTACCTGAGGCTATATCCTTTTTCACCATAGGCCTCAATATGCTTCCAAATATCCCTTCACATATTCTACAAAGAGACTCTTTCCAAACTGCTGAATGAAAAGGAAGGTTTACCTCTGAGAGATGAATCCCCACATCACAAATCAGTTTCTGAGATAATGTGCTTCTAGTTTTAGTCATGGGATATTTGCTTTTTCGCCATTGGCCTCCAAGAGCTCTGAAATGTCCACTCACGGAATGGACAAAAAGAATGTTTCCAAACTTCTGAATCCAAAGAAAGACTTACCTCTGTGGGATGAATGAGCACAACAAAGAGCAGTTTCTCAGAAAGCTTCTTTCTACTTTTTATCTGAAGATATATCCTTTTTCACAATAGGCCACAATGCACTGCCAAATATCCCTTTGCAGATACTACAAAAACAGTGTTTCCAAACTGCAGAATCCAAAGAAAGGGTTAACCCTCTAAGATGAATGAACACATCACAACGATGTTTCTCAGAAAGCATCTTTCTAGTTTTTATCTGAATATATGCCCTTTTTCACCATAAGACTCAAAGGGATCTCAAAAGTCCCTTTGCAGATTGTACAAAAACACTGTTTCCAAACTCCTGAAAGTAAAGAAAGGTTTAAGTCTGTGAGATGAATGCAAACAACATAGAGCAGTTTCTCATATATCTTCCTTCTGTTTTCTATCCTGGGATATTGGCTTTTTCGCCATTGGCCTCAAAGAGCTCTGAAATGCCCATTTGTGGAAGGGACATAAACAGTGTTACCAAATTGCTGAATCCAATAAAAGATTTAACTCTGTGAGATGAATGAACACAGAAAAAAGCAGATTTTCTCAGAAATCTTCTTTCTACTTCTTACATGAAGATATTTGTATTTTCACAATAGGCCTCAATGTGCTGCAAAATAGCCCTTGCAGATTCTACAAAACAGTGTTTCCAAACTGCTGAATGAAAAGAAAGGTTTAACTTTGCGAGATGAATGCACACATTACAAAGCTTTTCCTCAGAGAGCTTCCTTCTAGTTTTTATCTTGGCATATTCACTTTTTTGCCATTGACCTTGATGGGTTCCCAACTGTCCATTCACACAATGGACAAAAACTGTGTTACCAAACTGCTGAATCCGAAGAAAGGTTTAACTCTGTGAGATGAATGAACACATCACATAGCAGTCTATCTGAAAGCTTCCTTCTAGTTTTTTTCAGAAGATATTTCCTTTCTCACCATAGGTCTCAATGCTCTACCAAATGTCTCTTTGCTGATTCTAAGAAAAGAGTGCGTCCAAACTGCTGAATGAAAGGAAAGGTTTAACTTGGTGAGATGAATGCACACATCACAAAACGGTTTTTCAGATAACTTCCTTCTAAATTTTATCCTTGGATATTCACTTTGTTGCCATTGGCCTCAATGAGCTCTCAAATGTCCATTAACAGAATGGACAAAAACAGTGTTTTCAAACTGTTGAATCCAAAAAAGGTTTAACTCTGTGAGATGAATGCAGACATCACAAAGCTGTTTCTCATTGAGCTTTTTTCTAGTTTTTGTCTGAAGATAATATACCTTTTTGACCACAGTTCTCAATGCGCTACAAATATCTCTTCACAGATTCTAAGAAAACAGTGTTTCCAAACTGCTGAATGAAAAGAATGGTTTATCTCTGTGAGATGAATGCACACAACACAGAGTGGTTTCTTAGATATCTTCCTTCTAGTTTTTATCCTGGGATATTTGCTTTATCGCCATTGGCCTCAATGTACTTCCAAATGTCCCTTTCCAAAATGGACAAAAACAGTGTCACCAAACTGCTGAATCCAAAGAAAGGCTTACCTCTGTGAAATGAATGAGCACATCACAAATCAGTTTCTCAGAAAGCTTCTTTCTAGTTTTTATCAGAAGTTATTTCCTTTTTCACCATTGGCCTCAATGCACTGCCAAACATTTTTCACAGATTCTACAAAAACAGAGTTTCCAAAGTGCTGAATGAAAAGAAAGGTTTAACTCTGTGAGATGAATGCCCACATCAAAAAGCAGCTTCTCAGAGCACTTCCTTCTAGTTTTTGTCCTGGGATATTGCCTTTCTCCCCCAATGGCTTCAGTAAGCTCCAAAATGTCTAATTTGCAGAATAGGCAAAAACAGTGTTACCAAACTGCTGAATCCAAAGAAAAGTTTTACTCTGTGAGATGAATGAACACAGCACCAAGCAGTTTCTCATTAAGCTTCTTTCTAGTTTTTATCTGAAGATATTTTCTTTTTCATGATATGCCTCAAAGTGCTGCTAAATGTCCCTTCACAGATTCTAAAAAAACAGTGTTTCCAAGCTGCTGAATGAAAAGAAAGGTTTAACACAGTGAGATGAATGCACACATCACAAAGCATTTTCTTAGATAACTTCCTTGTAGCTTTCATGCTGGGATATTCACTTTTTGCCATTGGTGCCAATGAGCTCCCAAATGTCCATTGGCAGAAAGGACAAAAGCAGTGTTACTAAACTGCTGAACCCAAAGAGCAGTTCAACACTGTGAGACGAATCCACACATCAAAAAGTAGTCCATCGGAAAGGTTCTTTCCAGTTTTTATCTGAAGATATTTCCTTTTTCACCATAGGCCTCACTGTGCTACAAAATATCTCTTGCAGATTTTAAGAAAACGGTGTTTCCAAACTGCTGAATGAAAGAAAGGTTTAACTCTGTGAGATGAATGCACACACCACAAATCAGTTTTTCTGATAACATCCTTCTAGTTTTTGTTCTGGGACGTTTCCTTTTTCACCATTGGTCTCAATGAGCTCCCAAATGTCCATTTGCAGAATGGACAGAAAGAGTGTTACCAAACTGCTGAATGCAAAGGAAGGTTTAACATTGTGAGATAAATGCACACAACCAAAAGCAGTTTCTCATTAAGCTTCTTTCTAGTTTTTATCTGAAGATATTTCCTTTTTCACAGTAGGCCTCAATAAACTACAAAATATCTCTTCACAGATTCTAAAAAACAGTGCTTCCAAACTTCTGAAAGAAAAGAATGGTTTAATTCTGTGAGATGAATGCACACATCACAAATCAGTTTCTCTGATAACTTCCTTCTAGTTTTTATCCTGGGATATTCGCTTTTTCGCCATTGGCCTCAAAGAGCTCCCAAATGTCCATTCTCAAAATGGACAAAAACAGTGTTTCAAAACTGCTGAATCCAAAATATTGTTTAACACTGTAAGATGAAGAAACACACCACAAATCAGTTTTGCAGTAAATTCTTTCTAGTTTTCATCTGAATATGTTCCTTTTTCACAATATGCCTCAATGCAGTGCCAAATATCCCTTTGCAGATTCTACAAAAACAATGATTCCAAACAGTTGAATAAAAAGAAAGGGTTAACTCTGTGAGATGCATGCCCACATCACAAAGCAGTTTCTCAGAGAGCTTCCTTCTAGTTTTTATGCTGGGATATTTGCTTTCTCCCCCATTGACCTCAATGAGCTCCAAAATACCCATTCACAGAATGGACAAAAACAGGGTCACCAAAGTGTTGAATCCAAAGAAATTTTTAACTCTTTGAGATGAATGAACACAGCACAAAGCAGTTTCTCAGCAATCTTCTTTCTAGTTTTTATTGGAAGATATTTTGTTTTTCACCATAAGCCACAATGCAATGTTAAATATCTCTTTGCAGATTCTCCAAAAACAGTGCTTCCAAACGGCTGAATGGACAGAAGGTTTTAACACTGTGAGATAAATGCACAAATCACAGAGTGTTGCTCAGATATCTTCCTTCTTGTTTTCATGCTGGGATATTCACTTTTTTGCTATTGTCCTCAATGAGCTCCCAAATGTCCATTGGCACAAAGGACAAAAACAGTGTTACCAAACTACTTATTTTTTTTTTTGCTGCTTTTTTATTTAATTTTTTTACAATTTCATTGTAAAACCACTTAACATGAGATCTTCCCTCTTTTTTTTAAATTTTATTTTTTTGTTATAATACTTTAAGTTTTAGGGTACATGTGCACAATGTGCAGGTTTTATACATATGTATACATGTGCCATGTTGGTGTGCTGCACCCATTAACTCGTCATTTAGCATTAGGTACATCTCCTAATGCTATCCCTCCCCCCTACCCGCACCCCACAACAGTCCCCAGAGTGTGATGTTCCCCTTCCTGTGTCCATGTGTTCTCATTATTCAATTCCCACCTATGAGTGAGAACATGCAGTTTTTGGTTTTTTGTCCTTGTGATAGTTTGCTGAGAATGACGGTTTCCAGTTTCATCCATGTCCCTACAAAGGACATGAACTCATCATTTTTATGGCTGCATAGTATTCCATGGTGTATATGTGCCACATTTTCTTAGTCCAGTCTATCATTGTTGGACAATTGGGTTGGTTCCAAGTCTTTGCTTTTGTGAATAGTGCTGCAATAAACATATGTCTGCACGTGTCTTTATAGCAGCATGATTTATAATCCTTTGGGTATATACCCAGTAATGGGATGGCTGGGTCAAATGGTATTTCTACTTCTAGATCCCTGAGGAATCGCCACACTGATTTCCACAATGGTTTAACTAGTTTTCAGTCCCACCAACAGTGTAAAAGTGTTCCTATTTCTCCACATCCTCTCCAGCACCTGTTGTTTCCTGACTTTTTAATGATCGCCATTCTAACTGGTGTGAGATGGTATCTCATTGTGGTTTTGATTTGCATTTCTCTGATGGCCAGTAATGATGAGCATGTTTTCATGTGTTTCTTGGCTGCATAAATGTCGTCTTTTGAGAAGTGTCTGTTCATACCCTTCGCCCACTTTTTGATGGGGTTGTTTGTTTTTTTCTTGTAAATTTGTTTGAGTTCTTTGTAGATTCTGGATATTAGCCCTTTGTCAGATGAGTAGGTTGCAAAAATTTTCTCCCATTTTGTAGGTTGCCTGTTCACGCTGATGGTAGTTTCTTTTGTTATGCAGAAGCTCTTGAGTTTAATTAGATCTCATTTGTCAATTTTGGCTTTTGTTGCCATTGCTTTTGGTGTTTTAGACATGAAGTCCTTGCTCATGCCTATGTCCTGAATAGTATTGCCTAGGTTTTCTTCTAGGGTTTTTATGGTTTTAGGTCTAACATGTAAGTCTTTAATCCATCTTGAATTAATTTTTGTATAAGGTGTAAGGAAGGGATCCAGTTTCAGCTTTCTACATATGGCCAGCCAGTTTTCCCAGCAGCATTTATTAAATAGGGAATCCTTTCCCCATTCCTTGTTTTTGTCAGGTTTGTCAAAGATCAGATGGTTGTAGATAAGTGGCACTATTTCTGAGGGCTACGTTCTCTTCAATTGATCTATATCTCTGTTTTGGTACCAGTACCACGCTGTTTTGCTTACTGTAGCATTGTAGTATAGTTTGGAGTCAGGTAGCATGATGTCTCCAGCTTTGTTCTTTTGACTTAGGATTGACTTGGTGATGTGGGCTCTTTTTTGGTTCCATACGAACTTTAAAGTCGTTTTTTCCAATTCTGTGAAGAAAGTCATTGGTAGCTTGATGGAGATGGCATTGAATCTATAAATTACCTTGGGCAGTATGGCCATTTTCATGATATTGATTCTTCCTATCCATGAGCATGGAATGTTCTTCCATTTGATTATATCCTCTTTTATTTCATTGAGCAGTGGTTTATAGTTCTCCTTGTAGAGGTCACTCACATCCCCTGTAAGTTGGATTCTTAGGTATTTTATTCTCTTTGAAGCAATTGTGAATGGGAGTTCACTCATGATTTGGCTCTCTGTTTGCCTGTTATTTGTGTATAAGAATGCTTTTGATTTTTGTACATTGATTTTGTATCCTGAGACTTTGCTGAAGCTGCTTATCAGCTTAAGGAGATTTTGGGCTGAGATGATGGGGTTTTCTAGATATAAAATCATGTCATCTGCAAACAGGGACAATTTGACTTCCTCTTTTCCTAATCCAATAACTTTTATTTCCTTCTCCTGCCTAATTGCCCTGGCCAGAACTTCCAACACTATGCTGAATAGGAGTGGTGAGAGAAGACATCCCTGTCTCTGCCTGTTTTCAAAGGGAATGCTTCCAGTTTCGCCCATTCAGTATGATATTGGCTGTGGGTTTGTCATAGATAGCTCTTATTATTTTGTGATGCGTCCCATCAATACCTAATTTATTGAGAGTTTTTAGCATGAAGGGTTGTTGAATTTTGTCAAAGGCCTTTTCTGCATCTATAGAGATAATCATGTGGTTTTTCTCTTTGGTTCTTTTTATATGCTGGATTACATTTATTGATTTGCATACACTGAGCCAGCCTTGCCTCCCAGGGATGCAACCCACTTGATCATGTTGGAAAAGCTTTTTGATGTCCTGCTGGATTCGGTTTGCCAGTATTTTATTGAGGACTTTTGCATCAATGTTCATCAAGGATATTGGTCTCAAATTCTCTTTTTTGGTTGTGTCTCTGCCAGGCTTTGGTATCAGGAAGATGCTGGTCTCATAAAATGAGTTAGGGAGGATTCCCTCTTTTTCTGTTGATTGGAATAGTTTCAGAAGGAATGGTACCAGTTCCTCCTTGTACCTCTGGTAGAATTTGGCTGTGAATCCATCTGGTCCTGGACTTTTTTCGTTGGTAAGCTATTTATTATTGCCACAATTTCAGAGCCTGTTATTGGTCTATTCAGAGGTTCAACTTCTTCCTGGTTTAGTCTTGGGAGGGTGTATGTGTCGAGGAATTTATCCATTTCTTCTACATTTTCTAGTTTATTTGCATAGAAGTGTTTGTAGTATTCTCTTATGGTAGTTTGTATTTCTGTGGGATCAATGGTGATATCCCCTTTATCATTTTTTATTGCGTCTATTTGATTCTTCTCTCTTTTCTTCTTTATTAGTCTTGCTAGTGGTCTAACAATTTTCTTGATCTTTTCAAAAAGCCAGCTCCTGGATTCATTAATTTTTTGAAGGGTTTTTTGTGTCTCTATTTCCTTCAGTTCTGCTCTGATTTTAGTTATTTCTTGCCTTCTGCTAGCTTTTGAAAGTGTTTGCTCTTGCTAGTCTAGTTCTTTTAATTGTGATGTTGGGGTGTCAATTTTGGATCTTTCCTGCTTTCTCTTGTGGGCATTTAGTAGTATAAATATCCCTCTACACACTGCTTTGAATGTGTCCCAGAGATTCTGGCATGTTGTGTCTTTGTTCTCATTGGTTTCAAATAACATCTTTATTTCTGCCTTCATTTCGTTATGTACCCAGTAATCATTCAGGAGCAAGTTGTTCAGTTTCCATTTAGTTGAGTGGTTTTGAGTGAATTTCTTAGTCCTGAGTTCTAGTTGTGATTGCACTGTGGTCTGAGATACGGTTTGTTATGATTTCTCTTCTTTTACATTTGCCAAGGTGGGCTTTACTTCCACCTATGTGGTCAGTTTTGGAATAGTTGTGGTGTGGTGCTGAAAAAAATGTATATTCTGTTGATTTGGAGTGGAGAGTTCTGTAGATGTCTATTAGGTCCGCTTGTTGCAGAGCTGAGTTCAATTTCTGGGTACCCTTGTTAACTTTCTGTCTCATTGATCTGTCTAATGTTGGCAGTGGGGTGTTAAAGTCTCCCATTATTATTGTGTGGGAGTCTAAGTCTCTTTGTAGGTCACTCAGGACTTGCTTTATGAATTTGGGTGCTCCTGTATTGAGTGCATATATATTTAGGATAGTTAGCTCTTCTTGTTGAATTGATCCCTTTACCATTATGTAATGTCCTTCTTTGTCTTTTTGATCTTTGTTCGTTTAAAGTCTGTTTTAACTGAGACTAGGACTGCAACCCTTGCCTTTTTTTCCATTTGCTTGGTAGATCTTCTTCCATCCCTTTATTTTGAGCCTATGTGTGTCTCTGCACGTGAGATGGGTTTCCTGAATACAGCACACTGATGGGTCTTGACTCTTTATCCAATTTGCCAGTCTGTGTCTTTTAATTGGAGCATTTAGCCTATTTACATTTAGAGTTAATATTGTTATGTGTGTATTTGGTCCTATCTTTTTGATGTTAGTTGTTAATTTTCCTCATTAGTTGATGCAGTTTTCTTCCTAGCCTTCATGGTCTTTACATTTTGGCATGTTTTTGCAGTGGCTGTTACCGGTTGTTCCTTTCCATGTTTAGTGCTTCCTTCAGGAGCTCTTTTAGGGCAGGCCTGGTGGTGATGAAATCTCTCAGCATTTGCTTGTCTGTAAAGTATTTTATTTCTCCTTCACTTATGAAGCTTAGGTTGGCTGGATATGAAATCCTGGATTGAAATTTCTTTTCTTTAAGAATGTTGAATATTGGCCCCCACTCTCTTCTGGCTTGTAGAGTTTCTGCCAAGAGATCCGCTGTTAGTCTGATGGGCTTCCCTTTGTGGGTAACCCGACCTTTCTCTCTGGCTACCCTTCACATTTTTTTCTTCATTTCAGCTTTGGTGAATCTGACAATTATGCATCTTGGAGTTGCTCTTCTCGAGGAGTATCTTTGTGGCATTCTCTGTATTTCCTGAATCTGAATGTTGGCCTGCCTTGCTAGATTGGGAGCCAAGATGGCCGAATAGGAAAGGTTCCGATCTATGGCTCCCAGTGTGAGCAACGCAGAAGACGGGTGATTTCTGCATTTCCATCTGAGGTATGAGGTCCATCTCACTAGGGAGTACCAGACAGTGGGTTCAGGACAGTTGGTGCAGCGCACCATGCTCAAGCTGAAGCAGGGTGAGGCATTGCCTCACTTGGGAAGAGCAAGGGGTCAGGGAGTTCCCTTTCCTATTCAAAGAAAGGGGTGATACACGGCACCTGGAAAATCGGGTCACTCCCACCCTAATACTGTGCTTTTCCAACAGGCTTAAAAAACGGCACACCAGGAGATTATATCCCACACATGGCTTGGAGTGTCCTATGCCCATGGAGTCTCACTGATTGCTAGCACAGCAGTCTGAGATCAAATTGCAAGGTGGCAGCAAGGCTGGGGGAGGGGCGCCTGCCATTGCCCAGGCTTGATTAGGTAAGAAAACTTCTAAATCCATAAAAAGGTTTAACTCTGTGAGATGAATCCACACATCAAAAATAGTCTCTCAGAAAGGTTCTTTCTACTTTTTATCTGAATATATTTCCTTTTTCACTATAGGCTTCAATGCATTGCCAAATACTCCTTTGCAGATTCTACAGAAACAGTGTTTCCAAACTGCTGAATGAAAAGAAAAGTTTAACTTTGTGAGCTGAATGCACACATCAGAAAGCGTTTTATGAGAGATCTTCTTTCTTCTTTGCATCTTGGGATATTTGCTTTTTCACCATTGGCCTCAATGAGCATCCAAATGTCCATTCGCAGAAGGGACCAAAACAGCGGTTCCAAACTGCTGAATCCAAAGAAATGTTTATCTCCATGAGATGAATGAACACGTCACAAAGCAGATTCTCAGAAAGCTTCTTTTGAGTTTTTATATGAAGAAAATTCCTTTTTCACCATAGGCCTCCACCTGCTCCCAAAATTCCCTTCTCAGTTTCTACAAAAACAGTTTTGAAAAACTGCTCAGTGAAGTGAAAGTTGTAACTCTGCGTGATGAACGCACACATCACAAAGCATTTTCTCAAATATCTTCCTTCTAGTTTTTATCCTGGGATAGTCACTTTTTTGCCATTGGACTCAGTGAGCTCCCAAATGTCCTTTCACAGTATGGACAAAAACAGTGTTACCAAACTGCTGAATCCAAGGAAAGGTTTAAATTTGTGAGATCAAAGCACACCTCACAAAGCAGTTTCTTGGACAGATTCTTTCTAGTTTTTATCTGAAGATATTTCCTTTTTCATCATAGGCCCCAATGTGCTGCCAATTATCCCTTCATACTTTCTACAAAACAGTGTTTCCAAACTGCTGAGTGAAAAGAGAGTTTTTACTCTTTGAGATGAATGCACACATCACAAAGCAATTTCTCATTAACGTGCTTCCAGGTTTTATCCTGGCATATTCCCTTTTCCGCCATTGGCCTCAATGAGCTCCCAAATGTCCACTTGCAGAATGGACAAAAAAAGCATTTCCAGGCTGCTGAATCCAAAGTAAATTTTCCCTCTGTGAGATGAATGTGTACATCCCAAGGCAGTCTCTCATTCAGCTTCCTTCTATTTTTTATCTGAATATATTTCCTTGGTCACCACAGGGCTCAATGCTCTGCAAAATATCTCTTCATAGATTCTAAGAAAGCAGTGTTTCCAAACAGTTGAATGAAAACAGAGGTTTAACTCTGTGAGATGAATGAACTCATCCCACGCAGTTTCTCTTTAAGCTTCCTTCTAGTTTTTATCCTGCGGTATTTTTTTTTTTTTTTTTTTGCCATTGGCAACAATGAGCTCCCAAATGTCCATTCGCAGCATGGACAAAAACAGAGTTTACAAACTGCTGAATCCAAATAAAAGTATAACTCTGTGAAGGGAATGAATGCATTACAAAGCAGTTTCTCAGAAAGCTTCTTTCTATTTTTTATCTGAAGATGTTTCCTTTTACACAAAAGGCCTCCAGGCATTGCCACATATCTCTTCGCAGATTCTACAAAAACAGTGCTTCCAAGCTGCTGAATCAAAAGTAAGGTTTAACTCAGTGAAATTAATGCACACATCACAAATCAGTTTCTCAGATAACATCCTTCTAGTTTTTATCCAGGGATATTCACTTTCTCACCATTGGCCTCAATGAGTTCCCAAATGTCCATTCGCAGAATGGATAAAAACAATGTTACCAAACGGCTGAATCCAAAGACAGGTTTTTTTTTTGTTTGTTTGTTTGTTTTTTTTTTTTTTTTTTTTTTTTTTTTTTTTGAGACGGAGTCTCGCTCTGTCGCCCAGGCTGGAGTGCAGTGGCGGGATCTCGGCTCACTGCAAGCTCCGCCTCCCGGGTTCACGCCATTCTCCTGCCTCAGCCTCCCAAGTAGCTGGGACTACAGGCGCCCGCCACTACGCCCGGCTAATTTTTTTGTATTTTTAGTAGAGACGGGGTTTCACCGTTTTAGCCGGGATGGTCTCGATCTCCTGACCTCGTGATCTGCCCGCCTCAGCCTCCCAAAGTGCTGGGATTACAGGCGTGAGCCACCGCGCCCGGCCCAAAGACAGGTTTAACTCTCTGACATGAATGAACACTGCATAAAGGAGATCCTCAGAAAGCTTCTTTCTAGTTTTTATCTGAAGATATTTCCTTTTTCACCATAGGCTTCTACACACTGCCAAATATCTCTTTGCAGATTCTAAGAAAACAGCGTTTCCAAACTGCTGAATGAAAAGAAGGGTTTATCTCTGTGCAATGAATGCCGACATCAGAAATCGGTTTCTCAGAAAACTTCCTTGTATTTTTTATCCTGGGATATTCTCTTTTTCACCTTTGGCCTCCCTGAGCTCCCAAATGTCCATTTGCAGAGTGGACAAAAACAGTGTTTCCAAACTGCTGAATCCAAAAAAAAGTTTAACTCTGTGAGATGAATGCAACCATCATACAGCAGTTTCTCAGCTTCTTTCTAGTTTTTTTCTGAAGATAATTCCTATTTCCCCTTAGGCCACAATGCACTACTAAATATCCCTGCGCCAATTCTATGAAAACAGGATTTCAAAATGGCAGAATGAAAAGGAAGTTTTAACTCGGTGAGATGAATGCACACATCACAAAATGGTTTCTTAGATAGCTTCCTTCTAGTTTTCATCCTGGGATATTTGCTTTTGTTCCAAAATGTCCTTTCTCAGATTCTACAAAAACAGCATTTCCTGGCTGCTGAATTGAAAGAAAGGTTTACATCTGTGAGGTGAATATACACATCACAAAACAGTTTCTCTTAAATTTTCTTTCTTATTTTTATCTGATTTTATTTCCTTTTTCACCTTAGGACTCAACATTCTGCCAAATGTCCCTTCGGATATTCTATGAAAACAATGTTTCCAAAAGGCTGAATGAGAAGAAAGGTTTAATTCTGTGAGGTGAATGCACACACAACCAAGCAGTTTCTGAGATAGCTTCCTTCTAGTTTTTATCCTCGGATATTTGCTTCTTCTTCAATGGCCTCAGTTAGCTCCCAAATATCCAATGGCAGAATAGACAAAAACAGTGTTCCAAACTGCTGAATCCAAAGAATGGTTAAAGTCTGTGAGACAAACACCCACATCACACAGCAGTTTCTCATAAAGCTTCTTTCTAGATTTTGTTTGAAGATATTTCCTTTTTCACCATAGGCCTCAATGTGCTCCCAATTGTCCTTTCACAGATTCCACAAAAACAGTGTTTTCAAAAGGCTGAATGAAAAGAAGGGTTTAATTCTGTGAGATGAATGCACGCACCACAATTCGTTTTCTCAGATAACTATCTTATATTTTTTATCTTTGGGTGTTGTCTTTTTTGCCATTTTCCTCACTGAGCTCCCAAATGTCCATTCACAGAATGGACAAAAACAGTGTTTCCAAACTGCTGAACCCAAAGAATGGTTAAAATCTGTGAGATGAACACCCACATCACAAAGCAGTTTCTCAGAAAGCTTCTTTCTAATTTGTATTTGAAAATATTTCCTTTTTCACCGTAGGACTCAAAGCGCTCCCAAATATCCTTTCTCAGATTCAACAAAAAGAGTGTTTCCAAACTGCCGAATGAAAAGAAATGTTTAACTCTGTGAGATAAATGCACACATCACAAAGGGGTTTCCTGGATGGCTTCCTTCTACTTTTTATGCTGGGATATTCACTTTTTCGCCATTGGCCACAATGAGCTCCCAAGTGACCACTTGCAGCATGGGCAAAAACAGTGTTTCCCAACTGCTGAATGAAAAAGGACATTGAACTCATGATTTGAATGCAAGCATCACAAAGCAGTTTCTCTGAAAGCTTCTTTCTAGTTTTTATCTGTAGATATTTACTTTTTTAACATACGCCTCAATGTGCTCCCAAATATCCCTTCACAGATTCCACAAAAAGTGTTTCCAAACTGCTGAATGAAAGGAAAGGTTTAACTGTGCTAGATGAATGCACACATCACAAAGTGGATTCTCAGATAGTTTCCTTCTAGTTTTTTTCCTGGTGTAATCTCTCCTTCACAATTTGCCTCAATGAGCTCCCAAATGTCCATTCACACACAGGAAAAAACCAGTGCTTCCAAACGGCTGAATTGAAAGAAATGTTTAACTCTTTGAGATGAATGCAAATATCACAAAGCAGTTTCTCAGAAAGATTCTTTCTAGTTTTTATCTGAAGTTGTATTCTTTTTCACCATAGGCCTCAAAGCGTTCCCAAATATCCCTTCACAGATTCTACAAAAACAGTGTTTCCAAATTGCTGAATGTAAAGAAAAGTTTAATTCTGGGAGATAAATGCACACATCACAATGGGGATTGACAGAGGGCTTCATTCTACTTTTAATCCTTGGATATTCACTTTTTTGCCATTGGCCTCAATGATATCCTAAATCTTCATTCTCAGATTCCACAAAAACATTGTTCCAAACTGCTGACTGAAAAGGAAGGTTTAACTCACTTAAACCAGTTAAACTGCTTAAACTCAGTTAAAGCAGTTTCTCAGAAAGCTTCTTTCTAGTTTTTATCTGAAGATATTTCCTTTTTCACTGTAGACCTCAATGTGCTACTAAATGTCTCTTTGCAGATTCTAAGAAAACAGTGTATAAAAAACTGTTGAATGAGAGGAAAAGAATGACTCTGTGAGAAGAAAGCACACATCACAAATTGGTTTCTCAGATAACTTCCTCCTAGTTTTTATCTTGGGATATTTGCTTTTTTGCCATAGGCCTCAATGAGCTCCCAAATGTCCATTCACAGAATGGACAAGAACAGTGTTTCCAAACTGCTGAATCCAAAGAAAGATTTAACTCTGTGATATGAATGGAAACATCACAAAATAGTTTCTCAGAAAGCATCTTTTTAGTTTTTATCTGAAGATATTTCCTTTTTTACCAAAAGCCTCAATGCACTCCCAAATATCTCTTTGCAGATTCTACAAAAACAGTTTTTCAAAACAGCTGAATGAAAAGAAAGGTTTAACTCTGTGAGGTGAATGCACACATCTGAAAGCAGTTTCTCAGATATCACTTTCTAATTTTTATCATGGGACATTCAATTTCTTGCCATAGGCCTCAATGCGCTTCCAAATATCTTTTCACAGATTCTACAAAAACAGTGTTTCCAAACTGCTGATTTCAAAGAAAGGTTTAATCTTGTGAGATGAATGCACACATTCTAAAGCAGTTTCTCAGAAATCTTCTTCCTATTTTTTATCTGAAGATATATTCTTTTACACCATAGGCCTCAGTGCGCTCCCAAATATCCCTTTGCAGATTCAAAAAAACAGTGTTTCCAAACTGCTGAATGAAAAGAACAGTTTAACTCTGTGAGCTAAATACACACACCACATAGCGGTTTCCTAGATCCTTCCTTCTACTTTTTTCCTGGTATATTATCTTTTTCCCCATTGTTCTCAAAGAGCTCCCATATGTCCATTTGCAGCATGGACAAAAACAGTGTTTTCAAACTGCTGAATCCAAAGGAAGTTTTACCTCTTTGAGATTAAATGCACACATCACAAAGCAGTTTCTCAGAAAGCTTCTTTGTAGTTCTTACCTGAAGCTATTCTCTTTTTCACCATAGGCCTCAAACACTCCCAAATATCCCTTCGCACATTCTACAAAAAAAGCATTTCCAAACTGCTGAATGAAAACAAAGTTTTAACTCTGTGAGGTGAATGCACACATCACAAAGTGGTTTCTCAGATAGCCTCCTTCTAGTTTGTATCCTGGGATATTGGCTTTTATTGCCATTGGCCATAATGAGCACAAAAATGTCCATTTGCAGCATGCACAAAAACAGTGTTTCCAAACAGCTGAATCCAAAGAAAGGTTTAGCTCTGTGAGATGAATGCACACATCACAAAACAGTTTTACAGAAAGAATGTTTCTAATTTTTTTTTATGAAGAGATTTCCTTTTTCACCATAGGCCTCAATGTGCTCCAAAATATCCCCTCACAGATTCTACAAAACCAGTGTTTACAAACTGCTGAATGAAAAGAAAAATTTAACTCTACGAGACAAATGCACACATCATGAAGAGTTTTCTCAGATATTTTCCTCCTAGTTTTTATCCGGGGATACTCACTTTTTCACTTTTGGCCTCAGTGATCTCCCAAATGTCCATTCTGTGAATGGACAAAAAAAGTGTTTCCAAACTGTTGAATCCAAATAAAGTTTTAACACTATGAGACAAATGCACATATCACAAAGCAGTTTCTCATAAAGCTTCTTTCTAGGTTTTATCGGAAGATATTTTGTTTTTCACCATAGGCCTCAACGCGCTGCCAAATATCACTTCACAGATTCTACAAAAAAAAGTTTTTCCAAACTGCTGAATGAATAGAATGGTTTAACACTGCCAGATTGATGCAGACGTCACAAAGCATTTTCTCAGATATCATCCTTATATCTTTTATCGTGGGATACTCACTTTTGCACCATTGGCCTAAATGAGATCCCAAATGTCCACTTGCAGAATGGACAAAAAATGTGCTTGCAAACTGCTGAACCCAAAGAAAGTTTAACTCTGTCAACACATCAAAAAGTAGTCTCTCAGAAAGGTTCTTCCTAGTTTTTATCTGAAGATATTTACTTTTTCACCATAGGCCTCATTGGGTTACCAAATATCTCTTCTCAGATTCTAAGAAAACAGTGTTCCAAACTCCTGAAGGAAAAGAAAGGTTTAAATCTGTGAGATGAATGCACACATCACAAGTCGGTTTCTCAGATAACTTCCTTCTAGTTTTAATCCTGTAATATTAACAATTTTGCCATTGGCCACAAAGAGCTCCCAAATGTCCGTTCACAAAATGGACAAAAACAAGGTTTCCAAACTACTGAATCCAAAGAAAAGTTTAATTCTGTAATTCTGTGAGATGAATGAACACATCACAAAGCAGTTTCTCCAAAAACTTCTTTCTAGTTTTTATTGGAAGATATTTCCTTTTTCCCCGTAGGCCTCAAAGCACTGCCAAATATCCCTTCACAGATTCTACACAAGAAATGTTTCCAAACAGCTGAAAGAAAAGAAAGTTTTAACACTGTGAGATGAATGCATACATCACAAAACGTTTTCTCAGATATCTTCCTTCTAGTTTTTATCCTGGGATATTCAGTTTTTTGCCATTGGCCTCAATGAGCTCACAAAAGCCCGCTCACAGAATGGACAAAAACTGGGTTTCCAAATGCTGGATGAAAAGAAAGTTTTAACACTGCGAGATGAATGTATACATCAAAAAGCAGTTTCTCAGATATCTCCCTTCTAGTTTTTAACTGGGATAAACTCTTTTTCGTCATTGCTTCAATGAGCTCCAAATTGTCCATTCCCAGAATAGACAAAAACAATGTTTCCAACAGTCTTCAGATAAAAACTTGAATGAAGCTTTCTGAGAAACTGCTTTGTTATATGTTCATTTATCTAACAGAGTTAAACCGTTCTTTCATTTCAGCAGTTTGGAAACACTGTTTAGGTCTATTCTTTGAATGGGCATTTGGGAGCTCATTGAGATCAATGGCAAAAAAAAAAAAAACAGAATATCCCAGGATAAAATCTAGAAGGAATTTACATGAGAAAACGCTTTGTGATGTGTGCATTCATCTCACAGATTTAAACCTTTCTTTTCATTCAGCAGTTTGGAAACACTGTTTTGTTAGTATCTGTGAAGAGATATTTGGTAGCACATTCAGGCCTGTGGTGAGAAAGGAAATATCTTCAGATAAAAACTAGAAAGAAACTTATTGAGAAACTGCTTTGGAATGTGTGCATTCATCTGACAGAGTTAAATGTTTCTTTGCATTCAGCAGTTATGTAACACTGTTTTGTCCATTCTGTGAATGGATATTTGGGAACTCAATGAGGCCAATTGCGAAAAAGCAAATATCCCAAGATAAAAACTAGAAGGAAGCTATTTGAGAAAATGTTTTTCATGTGTGCATTCATCTCACAGAATTCAAACTTTCTTTTCATTCATCAGTTTTGAAACACTGTTTTTGTAGAATCTGCAAAAGGATACTTAGCAGTGCATTGAGGCCTATCATGAAAAAGGAAATACCTTCAGATAAAAACTAGAAAGAAGCTTACTAAGAAACTGCTTTTTGACATGTTCACTCATTTTGCAGTGTTAAACCTTCCTTTGGATTCAACAGTTTGGAAAGACTTTTTGTCCATTCTGCTAATGGACATTTGGGAACTCCTTGAGTCCAATGGTGAGAAAGTGAATATCCTAGGATAAAAAGTAGACGGAAATTATCTGAGAAACTGATTTGTGATGTGTGCATTCATCTCACAGAGTTTAAACTGTCTTTTTATTCAGCCATTTGGAAACACAGTTTTTTGGAATTTGCAAAGAGATATTTGGTAGCACATTGAGGCCTGTTGAGAAAAAAATGATCTTCAGATAAAAACTAGAAAGAGTCTTAATGAGAATCTGCTTTGTGATGTGTGCATTCCTCTGACAGAGTTAAATCTTTCTTTGGAATCAGTAGTTTGGTAACAATATTTTTGTCCTTTCTGCACATGGACATTTGAGAGCTCATTGAGGCCAATGGCTAAAAAGAGAATATCACAAGACAAAAAGAAGGAAGCTCTCTGAGAAAATGCTTTGTGATGGGTGCATTCATCATGCAGAATTAAACCTCTCTTTTCATTGAGGAGTTTGGAAACAGTTTATGTAGAATCTGTGAAGGGATATTTGGGGAGCGCATTAAAGTCTATAGTGAAAGTGGAAATATCTTCAGATAAAAACTAGAAAGGTGCTTTCTGAGAAACTGCTTTGTGCTGTGTTCTTTCATTCAAAGAGTTAAACATTTCTTTGGATTCAGCAGTTTGGTAACACTGTTGTTGTCCATTCTGCGAATGGACATTTGGGAGCTCATTAAGGCCAATGGCAAAAAAGTGAATAGCCCAGGATAAAAACTAGAAGGAAGCTACCTGAGAAACCCCTTTGTGATGTGTTCATTCTTATCACAGAGTTAAACCTTTCTTTTCATTCAGCATTTTGGAAACACGGTTTTTGTAGAATCTGCAAATGGACATTTGGGAATTAATTGAGGCTAATGGCAAAAAAGTGAATATCCCAGGATAAAAACTAAAAGGAAGTTATCTGAGAAAATGATTTGTGATGTGTTCATTCATCTTGCAGAGTTAAACCTTTTTTTCATTTAGCAGTTTGGAAACACTGTTTTTATAGAATCTGTGAAGGGATATTTAGCAGCGCATTGAGGCCTATGGTGAAAAATGAAATATCTTTAGATAAAAACTAGAAAAAAGCTTTCTGAGAAACGGCTTTGCGATGTGGTCACTCATCTCACAGAGTTAAATATTTCCTTGGACTCAGCAGTTTTGAAACACTGTTTTAACCCAATCTGCGAATGGACATTTGGGAATTCATTGAGGCCAATGGCAAAAAAAGCAAATATCCCAGGATAAAAACTAGAAGGAAATTATCTGAGAAACGGATTTGTGATGTGTGCATTCACCTTACAGAGCAAACCCTTCTTCTCATTCAGCAGTTTGAAAACTGTTTTCTTAGGTTCTGTGAAGAGGTTTTGATAGCGCATTGAGGCATAGGGTGAAAAAGGAAATACTTTCCAATAAAAATTAGAAAGAAGCTTTCTGAGAAAATGCTTTGGGATATGTGTGTTCATCTCACAGAGTGAAAGCTTTCTTTGGCTTCAGCAGTTTGGAAACACTGTATTTGTCCATTCTGCAAATGCACATTTGGGAAATCATTGCGGCTAATGGTGGCAAAGTGAATATCCCAGTATAAAACTAGAAGGAACATATCTGAGAAATGTTTATGTTGTGTGCATTAATCTCAAAGAGTTAAACCTTCCTTTTCATTCAGCAGTTTTGGAAAAGTATTTCTACCATCTGTGAAGTGATATTTGGGAGCACATTGGGGCCTATGGTGAAAAAGGGAATATATTCAGGTAAAAACTATAAAGAAGGTTTCTGAGAGACTGCTTTCTGATGTGTTCATTCTTCTCACAGAGTTAAACCTTTCTTTGGATTCAGCAGTTTGGAAATACTATTTTTTCAAATTCTCTGAATGGACCTTTGGGAACGCATTGAGGCCAATGGTGAGAAAGTGAATATCCCAGGATAAAAACTAGAAGAAATTTATCTGAGAAACCAATTTGTGATGTGTGCAATCATCTCAAAGTGTTAAAACTTTCTTTTCATTCTGCCGTTTGGAAACAGTGTTTACGTTGAATCTGCGAAGAAATATTTTGTAGCGCAAATGGGCCTATGGTGAAAAAGGAAATATCTTCAGATAAAAACTAGAAAGAACCTTTCTGACAGACTGCTTTTTGATATGTGCATTCATTTCACAGAGTTCAACTTTTCTTTGCATTCAACAGCTAGGTAACACTGTCTTTGTCCATTCTGTGAATGGACTTTTGGGAGCTCATGGAGACCAATGGCAAAAAAGTGAATATCCCAGGATAAAATTTGAAGGAAGATATCTGAGAAAATGCTTGTGATGTGTGCATTCATCTAGCAGTGTTAAACCTTTCTTTACTTTCCACTGTTTGTAAGTACTTTAGTACAATCTGCAAAGTGATATTTGGTAGCACATTGAGGCCTATTGTGAAAAAGGAAATATCTTCAGATAAAAACGAGAAAGAGGCTTAATGAGAAACAGGTTTCAGATGTGTGCATTCATCTCACAGAGTTAAAACATTGTTTGGATTCGGCAGTTTGGTAACAATGTTTTTGTACATTGTGTGAATGGACATTTGGGAGCTCATTGAGGCCAATGGTGAAAAAGTGAATATACCATGATAGAAACTAGAAGGAAGATATCTGAGAAAATGCTGTGTGATGTGTTCATTCATCTCATAATGATAAACCTTTCTTTTCATTCAGCAGTTTGGAAACACTGTTTTTGTAGTGTCTGTGATAGATAATTGGGAGCGCATTGAGGTCTATGGTGAAAAAGTTAATATCTTCAGATAAAAACTATAAAGAAGCTTTCTGATAAACTGATTTGTGCTGTGCTCATTCATCTCACAGAGTTAAACCTTTCTTAGGATTCAGCAGTTTGGAAACACTGTTTTTGTCCATTCTGTGAATGGACATTTGGGAGCTCATTGGGGCCAATGGTGAAAAAGGGAATATCCCAGGATAAAACTAGAAGAAAGTTATCTGAGAAACCGATTTGTGATGTGTGCATTCATCTCACAGAGTTGAAACTTTTTTTCATTAAGCAGTTAGGAAACACTGTTGTCTTTGAATATGCGAAGAGATATTTTGTAGTGCAAAGAGGCCTATGGTGAAAAAGGAAATATCTTCAGATAAAAACTAGAAAGAAGCATTCTGACAGACTGCTTTTTGATGTGTGCTTTCATCTCATAGAGTTGAACTTTTCTTTGGGTTCAACAGTTAACTAACACTGTCTTTTTCCATTCTGTGATTGGATATTTGGGAGCTCATTGAAGCCAATGGTGAAAAAGTGAATATCTCAGGATAAAATTAGAAGGAAGATATCTGTGAGAATGCTTTGTGATGTGTGCATTCATCTTGCAGTGTTAAAACTTTCTTTACACTCAGCAGATTGGAAGCCCTGTTTTTAGAATCTGCGAAGAGATATTTTGTAGCACATTGAGGCCTATTGTGAAACAGGAAATATCTTCAGATAAAAACAAGTAAGAAGCTTAAGGAGAAACTGCTTTGTGATGTGTGCATTCATCTCACAGGGTTGAACTTTCTTTGGATTCAGCAGTTTGGTAACAGTGTTTTTGTCCATTGTGTGAATGAACATTTGAGAGCTCATTGAGGCCAATGGTGAAAAAGTGAATATACCACTAGAAGGAAGATATCTGAGAAAACGCTTTGTGATGTGTGCATTCATCTCGTAGTGTTAAACCTTCATTTTCATTCAGCAGTTTGGAAACATTGTTTTTGTAGTATCTGTGATAGATAACTTGCAGTGCATTGAGTCCTATGGTGAAAAAGGAAATATCTTCAGATAAATACTAGAAAGAAGATTTCTGATAAACTGATTTGTGCTGTGTTCATTCATCTCACAGACTTTAAACTTTCTTTGGATTCAGCAGTTTGTAACACTGTTTTTGTCCATTCTGCAAATGGACATTTTGGATCTCTTTGAGGCCAATGTCAAAAAAGCAAATATTCCAAGATGAAAACTAGAAGAAAGCTGTCTGAGAAAACGCTTTGTGATGGGTGCATTCATCTCACACAGTTAAACCTTTCTTTTAAATCAGGAGTTTTGAAACACTGTTTTTGTAGAATCTGTGATAGATATTTTGCAGCACATTGGAGACCAATGGTCAAAAAGAAAATATCTTCAGATAAAAACTAGAAAGAAGCTTAATGAGAAACTGCTTTGGATGTGTGCATTCATTTCACAGTTAAACATTTCTTTGGATTGAGCATTTGATAACACACTTGTTTTCAATTCTGTGAATGGACATTTCAGAGCTCATTGAGTCCAATGGCAAAAAAGTGAATATCTCAGGATAAAACAGAGAAAGAAGATATCTGAAAAAAGGCTTTGGGATGTGTGCATTCATCTCACAGAATTACACCTTTCTTTTCATCCAGCAGTTTGGAAACACTGTTTTTGTAAAGTCTGTGAAGGTATATTTGAGAGTGCATTGAGGCCTATGGTGAAAAAGGAATTTTCTTCAGACAAAAACTCGAAAGAAGCTTTCTGATAAACTGCTTTGTGATGTGTTCATTCATCTCACAGAGGTAAAGCTTTCTTTGGATTCAGCAGTTTGGAAACACTGTTTTTGTCCATTCTGTGAATGGACATTTGGGAGCTCATTGAGGCCAATGGCAAAAAAGTGAATATCCCAGGATAAAATCTATATTTAAGAGCATATTGAGGCCTATGGTGGAAAGCAAAATATCTTCAGATGAAAACTAGAAAGAAGCTTTCTGAGAAACTGCTTTTTGAAGTGTGCTTTGATCCCACAGATTTAAACCTTTCTTTAGATTCAGCAGTTTGGTAACACTGTTTTTGTCCATTGTGTGAATGGACATTTGGGAGCTCATTTAGTCCAATGGCAAAAGTGAATACCCCAGGATAAAATCTAGAAGAAAATTATCTGAGAAACCGATTTGTGATGTGTGCATTCATCTCACAGAGTTAAACCTTTATTTTCATTCAGTAGTTTGGAAATACTGTTTTCTCAGAATCTGCAAAGAAAGAGATATTTGGTAGCGCATTGAGGCCTATCAGGAAAAAGGAATTTGCTTCAGATAAAAAGTAGAAGGAAGCTTAATGAGAAACTGCTTGGGGATGTGTGTATTCATCTTACAGAGTTAAAACTTTCTTTGGATTCAGCAGTTTGGAAACACTGTTTTTGTCCATTCTACAAATGGATATTTAGGAGCTCATTGAGGCCAATGGCAGAGAAGCCAATATCCCAGGATAAAATCCAGATGGAAGATATCTGAGAAAATGCTCTGTGTTGTGTGCATTCATCTCACAGAGTTAAACCTTTCTTTTCATTCATCAGCTTGTAAACATTGTTTTCATAGAATCTGCAAAGAGATATTTTGGAGTGCATTGAGGCCTATGGTGAAAAAGGAAATATATTCAGGAAAAAACTTGAAAGAAGCTTTCTGAGAAACTGCTTTGTGATGGGTTCATTCATCTTACAGTGTTAAACCTTTCTTTGGATTCAGCAGTTTGGAAACACTGTTTTTGTACATTCTGTAAATGGACTTTGGGACTCATTGAGGCCAATGGCGAAAAAGGGAATATCCCAGGATGAAAACTAGCAGCACTTTATCTGAGAAACTGCTTTGTGATGTGTTCATTCATCTCGGATAGTTAAACCTGTCTTTCCGTTCAGCATATTGGAAACACTGTTATTGTAGAATCTGCAAAGGGATATTTGACAGCGCATTGAGGCCTATGGTGAAAAGCGAAATATCTTCAAATGAAAACTAGAAAGAAGCTTTCTGAGAAACTGCTTTTTGAAGTGTGCTTTGATCTCACCGAGTTAAACCTTTATTTAGATTCAGCAGTTTGGTAACACTGTTTTTGTCCATTGTGTGAATGGACATTTGAGAGCTCATTTAGTCCAATGGCAAAAGTGAATATCCCAGGATAAAATCTAGCAGGAAGTTACCTGAGAAACCGATTTGTGATGTGTGCACTCATCTCAAAGAGTTATACCTTTCCTTTCATTCAGCAGTTTGGAAACGTTGCTTTCTTAGAATTGGCAAAGAGACATTTGGCAGCGATTTGAGGCCTAAGGTGAAAAAGGAAATATCTACAGATGAAAACTAGAAAGAAGCTTAATGAGAAACTGCTATGGGATGTGTGCATTCATCTCACAGAGTTAAACTTTTCTTTGGATTCAGCAGTTTCGTAACACTGTTTTTGTCCATTCTGTGAATGGACATTTGGGAAGTCATTGAGGCCAATGGTGAAAAAGTGAATATCCCAGGATAAAACTAGAAGGAACATAACTGAGAAAATGGTTTGTGATTTGTGCATTCATCTCACAGAGTTAAACCTTTCTTTTCATTCAGTAGTTTGGAAACACTGTTTTTGTAGAATCTGTGAAGGGCTATTTGGCAGCACATTGAGGCCTATCATGAAAAAGGAAACATCTTCAGATAAAAACTGGAAACAAGCTTTCTGAGAAATTGCTTTGTGATGTGTTCATTCATGTTAGAGAGTTAAACTTTCTTTGGCTTCACCAGTTTGGAAACACTGTTTTTGTCCATTCTGCAAATGGATACTTGGGAGATCACTGAGGCCAATGGCAAAAAAGTCAATATCCAAGGATAAAACCTAGAGGCACGTTACCTGAAAAAAGATTTCTGATGTGTGCATTCATCTCACAGAGTTAAACCTTTCTTTTTATTCATCAGTTTGGAAACACTGTTTTCTTAGAATCTGTGAATAAATATTTGGTAGCACAATGAGGCCTATGGTGAAAAAATAAATATCTTCAGATAAATACTAGAAATAATATTTATGAGAGAATACTTTTTGATGTGTGGATTCATCTCGGAGTTAAAGCTTTCTTTCCATTCAGAAATTTGGTAAAACTGTTTTTTCTATTCTGCCAATGGACATTTGGGTGCTCATTGAGACCAAGGGCGAAAAAGTGAACATTCCAGGATAAAAACTAGAAGGAAGCACTCTGAGAAAACGCTTTGTGATGTATGCATTCATCTCACACAGTCAAAAATTTCTTTTCATTCAGCAGTTTGGAAACACTGTTTTTGTAGTGTCTGCAAGGGGATACTTGGCAGTGCTTCGAGGCCTATTTTGAAAAAGGAAATATCTTCAGATAAAATCTAGAAAGAAGCTTAATGAGGAACTGCTTTCTGATATGTTCATTCCTCTCACAGAGTTAAACCTTTCTTTGGATTCAGCAGTTTGGTAATAATGCTTTTGTCCATTCTGTGAATGGACACTTGGGAGCTCATTGAGGCCAATGGCAAAATAACGAATATCCCAGGATAAAAACTAGAGGGAAGCTCTATGTGAAACCACTTTTTGATGTGGGTATTCATTTCATGGAGTTAAAACTGTCGTTTCATTCAGCAGTTTGGAAACACTGTTTTTATGGACTATGTGAAAGGATATTTGGCAGCGCATTGAGACATATGGTGAAAATGGATATATCTTCAGATAAAAACTAGAAAGAAGCTCCCTGAGAGACTGCTTTGTGACGTCAGCTTTCATCTCACACTGTTAAACATTTCTTTGAATTCAACAGTTTGGTAACACTGTTTTTGTCCTTTGTGCGAATGGGCATTTTGGAGCCCATTGAGTCCAATGGCAAAAAAGTCAGTATCCCAGGATAAAAAAGACAAGGACGGTATCTGAGAAAAAACTTTGTGATGTGTGCATTCATCTCAAAGAGTTAAGCCTTTCTTTTCTTTCAGCTATTTGGAATCATTGTTGTTGTAGAATCTGCAATGGGATATTTGGGAGCGCATTGAGTCCTATGGTGAAAAAGGGAACATATTCAGATAAAAACTAGAAAGAAGCTTTTTGAGAAACTGCTTTGTGAAGTGTGCTTTCATCTCACAATGTTAAACCTTTCTTTGAATTCAGCAGTTTGGTAACACTTTTTGTCCATTGTGCGAATGGACATTTGGGAGCTCATTGAGTCCAATGGCAAAAGAGTGAGTATCCCAGGATAAAAATTAGAAGGAAGATATCTGAGAAAAAGCTTTGTCATGTGTGCATTCATCTCAAAGAGTTAAACCTTTCTTTTCATTCAGCAGTTTGGAAACACTGTTTTTGTAGAATCAGAGAAGGGATATTAGGCAGCGCATTGAGGCCTGTTGTGAAAAAGGAAATATATTCAGATAAAAACAAAAAAGCTTTCTGAGAAACTGCTTTGTGCTGGGTTCATTCATATCACAGAGTTAAATATTTTTTTGGATTCAGCAGTTGGGTAACACTGTTTTTGTCCATTCTGTGAATGGACATTTGGGAGCTCTTTGAGGCCAATGGCAAACATCCAGGGGTAAAAATTAGAAGGAAGCTCTCTGAGAAACTGCCTTGTGATTTCTTCATTCATTTCAGAGAGTTAAACCTTTCTTTGGATTAACCCATTTGGAAAAACTGTTTTTGCCCATTCTGCAAATGGACATTTGAGATGTCATTGAGGCCAATAAGGAAAAAGGGAATATCCAAGGATAAAAACTAGAAGGAAGATATCTGAGAAAATGCTCCATGTTGTGTGCATTCATCTTGCAGGGTTAAAACTTTTTTTTCATTCAACAGTTTGGAAGCACTGTTTTTGTAGAATCTGTGAAGGAATATTTGGCAGCTTCTTGAGACCTATTGTGAAAAACGAAATATCTTCAGATAAAAACTAGAAAGAAGCTTTCTGAGGAACTGCATTGTGATGGGTTGGACATTTGGGAGCTCATTGAGGCCAAAGGCGAAAAAGTTAACATCCCAGGATAAAACTAGAAGAACAATATCTGAGAAACCAACTTATGATGTATGCATTCATCTCACAGAGTTAAAACTTTTCTTCATTCAGCAGTTTTGAACACCGTTTTCTTAGAATCTGCGAAGAGATATTTTGTAGTGCAATGCGGCCTACTGTGAAAAAGGCAATATCTTCAGATATAAATTAGAAAGAAACTTTCTGAGAGACTAGTTTTTGATGTGGGGATTCATCTCACAGTGTTGAGACTTTCTTTGGATTGAGCAGTTTATTTACACTGTTTTTGACCACTCTGCCAATGAACATTTGGGAGCCCATTGAGGCCAATGGTGAAAAAGCAACTGTCCCAGGATAAAAACAAGCACGTATCTGAGAAACTGATTGGTGATGTGTGCTTTGGTCTCACAGAGTTAAACCTTTCTTTTCATTAAGCAGTTTGGAAACACTCCTTTTTTGGAATATGTGAAAGGATATTTGGAAGCACATTGAGACCTATGATGAAAAAGGATATGTCTTCAGATAAAAACTAGAAAGAAGTTTTCTGAGAAGCTGTTTCATGATGTCTTCATTCGTCTCACAGAGTTAAAACTTTCTTTGGATTCAGCAGTTGGGAAACACTGTTTTTGTCCATTCTGCGCGTGGACATTTGGGAGCTCATTGAGACCAATGGCGAAAAAGCAAATATCCCAGGATATAAACTAGAAAGAAGTGATTGGAGAAACCCATTTGTGATGTGTGCATTCATCTCACAGAGTTGAACTTTTCTTTTCATTCAGCTGTTTTGAAACACTGTTTTCTTAGAATGTGTGAACTGATATTTGGTAGCACATTGAGGCCTATGGTGAAAAATGAAATATCTTCAAATAACAACTAGAAAGGAGCTTAAAAACAAACTGCTTTGGGATCTCTGCATTCATCTCACAGAGTTAAACTTTTCTTTGGATTCAGCAGTTTGGTAACACTGTTTTTGTCCATTCTGTGAATGGACATTTGGGAGCTCACTGAGGCCAATGGCAAAAAAGAGAATATTCCAGGATAAAAACTAGAAGGAAGATATCTGAGAAACTGCTTTGTGATGTGTGCATTCACCGCACACAGTTAAAACTTGCTTTTCATTCAGCATTTTGGAAACACCTTTTTTATAGAATCTGTGAAGGGATATTTGGCAGTGAATTGAGGCCTATGGTGAAAAAGGAAATATATTCAGATAAAAACTAGAAAGAAGCTTTCTGAGAAACTGCTTTGGGAAGTGTTCATTCATCTCACAGAGTTCAACCTTTCTTTGGATTCAGCAGTTTGATAACACTATTTTTGTCCATTCTGCGAATGGACATTTGGGAGCTCATTGAGCCCAATGGCCAAGAAGCGAATATCTCATGATAAAAACTAGAAGGAAGCTCTCTGAGAAACCGCTTTATGATGCATGCATTCATCTTGCAGAGTTAAACCTCTCTTTTCATTCAGCAACTTGTAAACACTTTTTTCTTAAAATCTTTGAATAGATATTTGGTAGTGCAATGAGGCCTATGGTGAAAAAGGAAATATCTTTAGATAAAAACTAGCAAGTACTTTTCTGAGAGAATACTTTTTGATGTGGGGATTCATCTCATGGAGTTAAATTTTCCCTTAGATTCAACAATGTATTTACACTGTTTTAGTCCGTTCTGTCTACGGACATTTGGGAGCCTATTGAGGCCAATGGTGAAAAAGTGAATATCCCAGTATAAAAGCTACAAGCACTTTATCTGAGAAACTGATTTGTGATGTGAGCATTCATCTCACAGAGTTAAATCTTTCTTTTCATTCAGCAGTTTGGAGACACTCTTTTTGTACAATGTTTTAAGGGATATTTGGAAGCATATTGAGGCCTATTGTGAAAAACAATATGTCTTCAGATACAAACTAGAAAGAAACTTTCTGAGAAACTGCTTTGTGATGTGTTCATTCACCTCACAGAGTTAAACTTTTGTTTGGATTCAGCAGTTTGGAAACACTGTTTTTGCCCATTCTGTGAATGGACATTTGGGAGCTCATGGAGGCCAACGTTAAAAAAGTGAATATCCTAGGATAAAAACTAGGAGGAAGCTCTCTGAGAAAATGCTGTGTGATGTGTGCATTCATCTCACAGTGTTAAGCCTTTCTTTTCATTCAGCAGTTTGGAAACATTGTTTTTGTAGAATCTGCCAAGGGATATTTGGGAGTTCACAGAGGCCTATGGTGAAAAAGGGAATATGTTCAGGTAAAAACTAGAAAGAAGCTTTCTGAGAAACTGCTTTGTGATGTGTTCATTCATCTTACAGAGATAAACCTTTCTTTGCAGTCATCAGTTTGGAAACACTGTTTTTCTCCATTCTGCAAATCGACATTTGGGAGCTCCTTGTGGCCTATGGCAAAAAAGCAAATATCCCGTGATAAAAACTAGAAAGAAGTTATCTGAGAAACCGATTTGTGATGTGTGCATTTATCTCACAGAGTTAAACCTTTCTTTTCATTCAGCAGGTTGGAAACACTGTTTTCTTAGAATCTGCAAAGAGATATTTGGAAGCATAATGAGGCATATGGTGAAAAAGGAAATACCTTTAGATAAAAAACAGAAAGATCTATTCTGAAAGACTACTTTTTGATGTGTGGATTCTTTTCATAGAGTTAAACCTTCCTTTGGATTCAGCAGTTTATTTACCCTGTTTTTATCCATACTGCCAGTGGGAGCCCCTTGTGGCCAAAGTGTAAAAGCGGATAACCCAGGATAAAAACTACAAGCACATTATCTGAGAAACTGATTGGTGATGTGTGCATTCATCTCACAGAGTTAAACATTTCTTTTCATTCAGCAGCTTGGAAACACTCTTTTTGTAGAATATGTGAAGGGATATTTGGAAGCGCATTGAGGCCTAATGTGAAAAATCATATGTCTTCAGATAAAAACTAGAAATAAGCTTTCTGAGTACCTGCTTTGTGATGTGTTCATTCATCTCACAGAGTTAAAGCTTTCTTTGGATTCAACAGTTGGTAAACACTCTTTTTGTCTATTCTGCTCATGGACATTTGGGAGCTCATTGAGGCCATTGACAAAAAAGCAAATATCCCATGAAGACAACTAGAAATAAGTTATCTGAGAAAGCGATTTGTGATGTTGTGCATTCATCCCACAGAGTTAAAATTTTCTTTTCATTCAGCAGTTTTGAAACACTGTTTTGTTAGAATCTGCAAACTGATATTTGGTAGCGCATTGAGGCCTGCGGTGAAAAAACAATATATCTTCAGATAAAAACTAGAAAGAAGCTTAATGACAAACTTCTGTGGGATTTGTGCATTCATCTCACAGAGTTAAACATTTCTTTGGATTCAACAGTTTGGGAACACTGGTTTTGTCCATTCTGGAATGGATATTTGTGAGCTCATTGAGGCCAATAGTGACAAAGAGAATATCCCAGGATAAAAACTAGAAGGAAGCTCTCTGAGAAACCACTTTGTGATGTGTGCATTCATCTCCCAGAGTTAAAACTTTCTTTTCATTCAGCAGTTTGGAAACACTGTTTTTGTAGAATCTGCGAAGGGATATTTGGCTGCGCATTGAGGCCAATTGTGAAAGAGGCAATATCATCAGATAAAAACTAGAAAGAAACTTTCTGAGAAACTGCTTTGTGATGTGTTCACTCATCTCACAGATTTCAACTTTCTTTGGATTCAGCAGTTTGGTATCACTGTTTTTGTCCATTCTGTGAATGGACATTTGGGGGCTCATTGATCCCAATGGTGAAAAAGCAAATATCTCAGGATAAAAACCAGATGCATTCATCTAGTTATGCATTAATCTCGCAGAGATAAAACTTTCTTTTCATTTAGCAGTTTGGAAACACTGTTTTCTTAGAATCTGCAAAGAGACATTTGGTAGCACAATGAGGCCTATGGTGAAAAAGGAAATGTCTTTAGATAAAAACTAGAAAGAACATTTCTGAGAGACTACTTTTAGATGAGGGGGTTCATCTCACAGAGTTAAATCTTTCTTTGTTTTCAGCAGTTTATTTACACTTTTTTTGACCTTTCCACCAATGGACATTTGAGAACCCTTTGAGGGCAATGGCAAAAAAGCAAATATCCCAAGATGAAAACTACAAGCACGTTATCTGAGAAACTGATTTGTTATGTGTGCATTCGTCTCACAGAGTTAAACCTTTCTTTTCATTCTGCAGTTTAGAAACACTCCTTTTGTAGAATATGTGAAGGGATATTTGGAAGTGCATTGAGGCCTATGGTGAAAAAGGATATGTCTTCAGATAAAAACAAGAAAGAAGCTTTCTGGGAAACTGCTTTGGGATATGTTCATTCATCTCACAGAGTTAAACCTTTCTTTCAATTCAGCAGTTTGGAAACACTGTTTTTGTCCATACTGTGAATGGACATTTAGGAGCTCATTGAGGCCAATGGCAAAAAAGTGAATATCCCAGGATAGAAACTAGAAGGAAGTAATCTGAGAAAGCTATTTGTGATGTGTGCATTCTTCTAACAATGTTAAATCTTCCTTTTCATTCAGCAGTTTGGAAACACTGTTTTCTTAGAATCTGCAAACTGATATTTGTAGCGAATTGAGGCCTATGTTGAAAAATGAAATATCTTCAGATAGAAACTGGAAAGAAGCTTAATGACAAACTGCTTTGGGATCTGTGCATTCAGCTCACAGAGTTAAGCATTTCTTTGGATTTAGCAGTTTGGAAACACTGTTTTTGTCCCCTCAGCTAATGGACATTTGGGAGCTCATTGAGGCCAGTGTCGAAAAAGCAAATATCCTAGGATTAAAAACTAGAAGAAAGCTCTCTGAGAAGACGCTTTGTGATGTCTGCATTCATCTCACAGAGTTAAACCTTTCCTTTCATGCAGCTGTTTGGTAACACTGTTTTCTTAGAATTTGCAAAGTGATATTTGGTAGTGCAATGAGGCCTATGGTGAAAAAGGAAGCATATTCAGATACAAATATATCTCAGAAAGAACCTTTCTGAGAGGCTACTTTTTGTTGTGGTTATTCATCTCAGAGAGTTAAACCATTCTTTGGATTCAGCACTTTATATACACTGTTTTTGTCCATTCTGCTAATGGACATTTGGGAGACCAATGAGGCCAATGGTGAAAAATCGAATACCCAGGAAAAAAACTGCAAGCACATTATCTGAGAAACCGATTTGGGATGTGTGCATTCATCTCTCACAGTTAAGCACTTCTTTTCATTCAGCAGTTTGGAAACACTTTTTTCGTACAATCTGCAAAGGGATATTTGGCAGCGCATCGAGGCCTGTAGTGAAAAAGGAAATATCTTCAGATAAAAACTAGAAAGAAGTTTAACAAGAAAGTGCTTTGGAGTGTGAGCATTCATCTCACAGAATAAAACCTTTCTTTGGATTCAGAAGTTTGGTAACAGTGTTTTTGTCCATTCTGTGAATGGACATTTGGGAGCTCATTGAGGCCAAAGGCAAAAAAGCAAATATCCCTGGATAAAAACTAGAAGGAAGATATCTAAGCAACTGCTCTGTGTTGTGTGCATTCATCTCGCAGAGTTCAACTTTTCTTTTCACTCAGCAGTTCAGAATCATTGTTTTGTGATATTTGGGAGCACATTGAAATCTTGGTGAAAAAGGAAATATCTTCAGACAAAAACTAGAAAGAATCTCTCTGAGAAACTGCTTTGCGATGTGTCTATTCATCTCCCAAAATTAAACCTTCTTTGGATTCAGCAGTTTGATAACACTGCTTTATTCCATTCTGCAAGTGGACATTTGGAAGCTCTTTGAGGCCAAAGGTGAAAAAGCAAATATCCCAGGATAAAAACTAGAAGGAACCTCTCTGAGATACTGCTTTGTGATGTATGCATTCATCTCACAGTGTTAAACCTTTCTTTTCATTGAAGCAGTTTCAAAACACTGTATTTGTAGCATCTGCAAAGGGATATTTGGCAGTGCATTAAGGCCCATGGTGAAAAAGGAAATATCTTCATATTAAAACTAGAAACAGCTTTCTGAGAAACTGCTTTGTGATGTGTTCATACATCTCCCAGAATTAAACCTTTATTTGGATTCAGCAGTATAATAACACTGTTTTTGTCCACTTTGAGAATGGACATTTTGGAGCTCATTGAGGCCAAAAGCGAAAAAAGGAATACCATGATAAAAACTACCAAGAAGATATCTGAGAAACTGCTCTGTGTTGTGTGCATTCATCTCGCAGATTTAAAGCTTTCTTTTCATTTAGCATTTGGAAACATTGTTTTTGTAGAATATGCAAAGGGATATTTGGGATCGCATTGAGGACTATGATGAAAAAGGAATATATTCATTAAAAACTAGAAAGAAGCTATCTCAGAAACTGCTTTGTTATGTGTTCATTCGTCTTAAAGAGTTAAACGTTTCTTTGGATTCAGCTGTTTGGAAACACTGTTTTTGTTCATTCTGCAAATGGACAGTTGGGATCCCATTGAGGCCAATGGCGAAAAAGTGAATATCCCAGGATAAAAACTACAAGCAAGTTATCGGAGAAACTTATTTGTGTTGTGTGCTTTCGTCTCACAGAATTAAACCTTTCTTTATATTAAGCAGTTTGGAAACACTGTTTTTGTAGAATATGTGAAGGGATATTTCAAATGCATTGAAGCCTATTGTGAAAAAGGAAGTATCTTCAGATAAAAACTAGAAAGCGGCTTTCTGAGAAACTGCTTTGTGATGTGTTCATTCATCTCACAGAGTTCAGCCTTTCTTTGGATTCAGCAGTTTGATAACACTGTTTTTGTTCATTCTGTGAATGGAAATTTGGGAACTCATCATGGCAAAAGGTGAAAAAGAAAATATCCCATTATAAAAATTAAAAGGAAGCTATCTGAGAAACTGCTTTGAGATATATGCATTCAGCTCATAGAGTAAAACCTTTCTGTGGATTCAGCAGTTTCATAAAACTGTTTTTCTCCGTTCTGTGAATGGACATTTGGGAGCTCATTGAGGCCAAAGGAGAAAAGGTGAATATCTCAGGACAAAAAGTGAAAGGAAGATATCTGAGAAACTGCTCTGTGTTGTGTGAATTCACCTCGCAGAGTTAAAGCTTTCTTTTCATTCAGCAGTTTGGAAACATTGTTTTTGTAGAATCTGTGAAAGGATATTTGGGAGCACATCGAGGACTATGGTGAAAAAGAGAATCTATTCAGGTAAAAACTGAAAGAACTTTTCTGAGAAACTGCTTCAGGATGTGTTCATTCTTCTCACAGATTTCCGCTTTTCTTTGGATTCAGCAGTTTGGTAACACTGTTTTTGTCCATTCTGTGAATGGAAATTTGGGAACTCATCATGGCAAAAGGTGAAAAACCAAATATCTCATTATAAAAACTAAAAGGAAGCTCTCTGAGAAACTGCTTTGAGATGTATGCATTCATCTCATAGAGTAAAACCTTTCTTTGGATTCAGCAGTTTCATAAAACTGTTTTTGTCCATTCTGTGAATGGACATTTGGGAGCTCATTGAGGCCAAAGGTGAAAAAGGGAATATCCCAGGATAAAAACTAGAAGCATGTTATCTGAGAAACTGACTTATGATGTGTGCATTCTTCTCATAGAGTTAAACCATTTTTTCATTCAGCAGTTTGAAAACACTTTTTTCTTAGTATCTCTGAAGAGATATTTAGTAGCACAATGAAGCCTATGGTATAAAAGGAAATATCTTGAGACAAAAAAACTAAAAAGAACCCTTCTGAGAGACTAGTTTTTTGATGTGGGGATTCATCTCACAGAGTTAAACATTTCTTTAGATTCAGCAGTTTATTTACACTGTTTTTTTCCACTCTGCCAAAGGACTTTTTGGAGCCCACTGAGGCCAATGGTGAAAAAGTGAATATCCCAGGATAAAAACTACAAGCACGTTATCTGAGAAACTGATTTGCTATGTGTGTTTTCATTTCACAGAGTTAAACTTTTCTTTTCATTCAGCAGTTTTTAAACACTCTTTTTGTGGAATATGTGAAAGGATATTTTGAAGCACATTGAGGCCTATGGTGAAAAAGTGTATGTTTTCAGATAAAAACTAGAAAGAAGCTTTCTGAGAAACTGCTTTGTGATGTGTTCGTTCATCTCACAGAGTTAAACCTTTCTTTGGATTCAGCAGTTTGGAAACACTGTTTTTGTCCATTCCGTGAACGGACATTTGGAAGCTCATTTTGCCTCAGCCAAAGGCAAAAAAGTGATTATCCCAGGATAAAAACTAGAAAGAAGATATCTGAGAAACTGCTCTGGGTTGTATGCATTCATCTCACATAGTTAAATTTTTTTTTCATTCAGCAGTTTGGAAACATTGTTTTTCTAGAATCTGCGGAAGGATATTTAGGATCTCGTTGAGGACTATGGTGAAAAAGGGAATATATTCAGGTAAAAATTAGAATGGAGCTTTTTGAGAAACTGCTTTGTGATGTGGTCATTCCTCTCAGTGTTAAACCTTTGTTTTCATTCAGCAGTTAGGAAACTGTTTTCTTAGAGTCTGCAAAGAGATATTAGTTACCCAGTGAGGCCTATAATGAAAATATCTTCAGATAAAAACTAGAAAGAACCGTTCTGAGACACTACTTTTGATGTGTGGTTTCATCTCACAGACTTAAACATTTCTTTGGATTCAGCTGTTTTTTTTAACACTGTTTTTGTCCATCCTCCTATTGGACATTTGGGAGTTCATTGACGCCAATGGCAAAAAATCAAATATCCCAGGGTAAAAACTACAAGGTAGATATCTGAGAAACTTCTCTGTGTGGTGTGCATTCATCTCACAGATTTAAAATTTTCTTTTCATTCAGCAGTTGGGAAACACTGTTTTCTTAGAATCTGCAAATTGATATTTGGCAGCACATTGAGGCCTACTGTGAAAAAGGAAATATTATCAGATAAAAACCAGAAAGAAGCTTTCTGAGAAATTGCTTTGTGAAGTGTGGATTCATCTCACAGAGTTAAATACTTCTTTGGATTCAGCAGTTTGGTAACAGTGTTTTTGTACATTCTGCAAATAGACATTTAGGAACTCATTGAGCCAATGGTAAAAAAGCAAATATCCCATGATAAAAATTAGAAGGAAGCTCTCTGAGACACCGCTTAGTGATGTGTGCATTCATCTCACAGAGTTAAACCTTTCTTTTCATTCGGCAGTTTGGAAACACTATTTTTGTAGCATCTGAGAAGGGATATTTAGCAGTGCATTGAGGCCTATTGTGAAAAAGGAAATATGTTCAGATAAAAACTAGAAAGAAGCTTTCTGAGAAACTGCTTTGTGACATGTTCATTCATCTTACAGAGTTAAACATTTCTTTGGATTCAGCAGTTTGGAGACACTGTTTTTTTTTTCCATTCTGCGAAAGGACGTTTGGGAGCTCATTGAGGCCATTGCAGAAAAGTGAATATAAAAGGATAAAAACTAGAAGCACATTATCTGTGCAACCGATTTGTGATGTGTGCATTCATCTCACAGATTTAAACCTTTCTTTTCATTCAGAGGTTTGGAAACACTGCTTTCTTAGAATCTGCGAATAGATATTTGGTAGTGCCTTGAGGCCTGTGGTGAAAAAGGAAGTATCTTCAGATATAAACTACAAAGAAGCTTAATGAAAAACTGCTTTAGGATGTATGCTTCATCTCACAGAATTAAACATACCTTTGGATTCAGCAGTTTGGTAACACCGTTTTTGTCCATTCTGCGAATGGACATTTGGGAGATCTTTCAGGCCAGTGGTGAAAATGTGAATATCCCAGGATGAAAACTAGAAGGAAAATGACTGAGAAAACGCTTTGTGATGTGTGCATTCATCTAGCATTGTTAAAACTTTCTTTTCATTCAGCAGTTTGGAAACACTGTCTTTGTATAATCTGTGAAGGGATATTTGGCAGCGCATTGAGGCCTATTGTGAAAAAGGAAATATCTTCAGATAAAAACTAGAAAGAAGCATCCTGGGAAACTGCAGTTTGATGTGTTACTTCATCTCAGAGAGTTAAACATTTCTTTGGATTCAGCAGTTTGGAAACACTGCTTTGTCCATTCTGTGAATGGACTTCTTGGAGCTCATTGAGGCCAGTGGTGAAAAAGCGAATATCCCAGGATAAAAACTAGAAAGAAGTTATCTGAGGAACCGCTTCATGATGTGTGCATTCATCTTGGAGATTTAAACTTTCCTTTTCATTCAGCAGTTTTGAAACACTGTTTTTGAAGAATCTGCAAACCGATATTTGGGAACCCATTGAGGCCTATTGCAAAAAAGGGAATATCTTCATAAAACAACTAAAATGAAGCTTGCTGAGAAACTGCTTTGTGTTGTTTGCATTCATCTCAGAGTTAAACCTTTCTTTGGATTCAGCAGTTTGGAAGCAGTGTTTGTGCATGCTGCAAATGGAAATTTGGGAGCTCATTTAGGCCAATAGTGAAAAAGAAAATATCCCAGGATAAACACTTGAAGGAAGCTATCTGAGAAACTGCTTTGTGATGTCTGCATTTATCTTGCAGAGTTAAAACTTTCTTTTCATTCAGCGGTTTGGAAACGCTGTTTATGTAGAATCTGCGAAGGGACATTTGACTGCGCATTGAGGCCTATGGTGAAAAAGGAAATATCTTCAGATAAAAACTAGAAAGAAACTTTCTGAGAAACTGATTTGTGATGTGGTCCTTCATCTCATAGAGTTAAACCTGTCTTTGGATTCAGCAGTTTGGAAACAATGTTTTTGTCCATTATGTGAATGGACACTTAGTAGCTCATTGAGGCCAATTGTGAAAAGTGAATATCCCAGGATAATCCCTAGAAAGAAGATATCTGAGAAACCTCTTTTTTGCTCCATGTACTCATCTCACAGAGTTAAAACTTTCTTTTCATTCAGAAGTTTCAAAACACTGTTTTGTTAGTGTCTGCAAAGGGATATTTTGTAGCAAATAGTAGCCTGTGGTGAAAAAGAAAATATATTCAGGTAAAAATTAGAAAGAAGCTTTCGGAGAAACTGCTTTGTCATGGGTGCATTCATCTCAGAGAGTTAAAAGTTTCCTTGTATTCAGCAGTTTGGAAACAGTGTTTTTGTCCATTCTACTAATGGTCACTTTGGACCTCATTGAAACCAATTCCTAAAAAGCGACTATCACAGTATTAAAAACTAGAAGGAAGATATCTGAGAAACTGTTTTCTTATGTGTGCATTCATCTCATAGATTTAAAGTTTTCTTTTAATTCAGCAGTTTGGAAACACTTTTTTTGTAGAATCTGTGAAGCTATATTTTGGAGGGCATTGAGGCCAATGGTGAAAAAGGAAATGTCTTCAGATAAAAAGAAAGTTAAAACTTTCTTTGGATTCACCAGTGTGCAAACAAGGTTTTTGTCCATTCTATGAATGGACATTTGGGAGCTCATTGAGGACAATGGCAAAAAAGTTAATATTCCAGGATAAAAACTAGAAAAAAAATACTTAAGAAAGCACATTACGATGTGTGCATTAAAACTTTCTTTTCATTCAGCAATTTGGAAACACTGTCTTATTAGAATCTACAAAGAGATATTTGGTAGCACATTGAGTTCTAATGTGAAAATGGAAAAATATTCGGATAAAAACTAGAAAGAAGCTTTCTGAGAAACTGCTTTGTGATGCATGCATTCATCTCACGGAGGTACAACTTTCCTTTCTTTAAGAAGTTTGCTAACACTCTTTTGGTCCAGTCTATGAATGTGCATTTGGGAGCTCTTTGAGGCCAATGGTGAAAAAGCAAATATCCCAAGATACATACTGGAAGGAAGACATCTGAGTAACTGCTTTGTGATGTGTGCCTTCATCTCACAGAGTTACACCTTTCCTAAGATTCAGCAGTTTGGAAACAGTTTTTGTCCCTGCTGCAAATGGACATTTGGGAGCTCATTGAGGCCAATGGCAAAAAAGCGAATATCCTAGGAGAAAAACTCAAAGTAAGCAATCTAAGAAACCACTTTGTGGTGTGCTCTTTCATCACACAGAAGTACAAATTTCTTTCATTCAGAAGTTTGGTAACACTGTTTTGGTCCATTTTGTGAATGGACATTTGGGAGCTCATTGAGGCCAATGGTGAAAAAGCAAATATCCCAAGATAAAAACTAGAAGGAAGATATCTGAGAAACCACCTTGTGCTGTGTGCATTCATCTCACTGAGCTAAACCTGTCTTTGAATTCAGCACTTTGGAAACATTGCTTTTGTCCATTCTGAGAAAAGACATTTAGGAACTCTTTGAGGCAAAGGGTGAAAAAGTAAATATCCCAGGATGAAAACTAGAAGGAAGATATTTGAGAAATTGCTTGGTGATATGTGCATTCATCTCACAGAGTTAAAACTTTTTGGATTCAGCAATTTGAAAACACTGTTTTTGTCCATTCTGCGAATGAACGTTTCAGAGCTCATTGGGGCCAAAGGCAAAAAGTGAATATATAAGGATAAACTAGAAGTAAGCTATCTAAGAAACCAGTTTGTGATGTGTGCATTCATCTCACAGAGTTAAACATTTTTTTCATTCAGCATTTTGTAAACACCGTTTTTGTAGAATGTGCTAAAAGATATTTGGGAGAACATTGAGGCCTATGGTGAAAAAGGAAATATCTTCAGATAACAACTAGAAAGAAGCTTTCTGAGAAACTGCTTTGTGATGTGTGCATTCCTCCCACAGAGTTCAACCTTCCTTTGGATGCAGCAGTTTGGAAACACTGTTTTTGTCCATACTGTAAATGGACATTTGGGATCTCATTGAGGCCAATGACGAAAAGGTGAATATCCCAGGACAAAATTGGATGAAAGATATTGGAGAAACTGACTTGTGATGTCTGCATTCATCTTGCAGATTTAAACATTTCTTTTCAGTCAACAGTTTGTAAACACTCTTTTTGGAGAATCTGTGAAGGAATATGAGGCAGGGCATTGAGACCTATGTTGAAAAAGGAAATACCTTCCTATAAAAATTTAAAAAAAAAACCTATCTGTGAAACCTCTTTGCGATGTGGGCATTCATCTCACAGAGTTAAAAGTTTCTTTTCATTCAGCAGTTTGTAAACACTGTTCTGTAGAATCCACGAATACTCATTTGGGAGCTCATTGAGGCCAATGGCGAAAAAGTGATTATCCCAAGATAAAAACTAGAAGAAAGATATCAGAAGCTACGTGGTGATGTGTGTAGTCATCTCACAGTGTAAAACCTTTCTTTTCAATCAGCAGTTTGGAAACATTGTTTTTGTAGAATCTGTGAAGGGATATTTAGGAGTACACTGAGGACTATGGTGAAAAAGAAATATCTTCACATAAAAATTACAAAGAAGCTTTCTGAAAAACTGCTTTGTGATGTGTGCATTCATGTGATAGAGTTAAAACTTTCTTTGGATTCAGCAGTTTTGAAACACTGTTTTTGTCCATTCTGCAAATGGACATTTGGGAGCTCATTGAAGCCATGGGCAAAAAATTGATTATCCCAGGATAAAAACTAGAAGGCAGTGATCAGAGAAACCGATCTGTGATGTGTATATTCATCTCACAGAATAAAAACTTTCTTTTCATTCAGCAGTTTGGAAAAACTGTTTTCTTAGAATCTGTTAAGAAACATTTTGTTTCTCACCAGTGGCCACATTGCGCTACCAAATATCTCTTCACAGTTTCTCAGAAAGATTTTTTCTATTTTTTATCTGGAGATAATTTGTTTTTCACAGTAGTACACAGTGTGCCCCCAAATATCTCTTTGCAGATTCTAAGAAAACTGTTTTTCCAAACTGCTGAATGAAAAGAAAGGTTTATCTCTTTGTATGAATGCACACAACACAAATTGGTTTCTCACATAACTTCCTTCCTGTTTTTATACTGCAATAGTCACTTTTTCACCATTGGCCTCAATGAGCTCCCAATGTCCATTCTCAGAATGGACAAAAAGAGTGTTTTCACACTGCTGAATCCAAAGAAAGTTACAACTCTGTGAGATGAATGAACACATCACAAAGCAGTTTCTCAGAAAGCTTCCTTCTAGTTTTTAACTGAAGTTATTCCCTTTTTCACTGCAGGCCTCAATGCGCTACAAAATATCTCTTTGCAGATTCATAGAAAACAGTGTTTCCATACTGCTCAATGCAAAGAAAGGTTTAACTCTGTGAGATGAATGCACACATCACAAGTCAGTTTCTCAGATAATTTCCTTGTAGTTTTTATCCAGGGATATTCTCTTTTTCACCATTGGCCTAAATGAGCTCCCAAATGTCCATTCGCAGAATGGAGAAAAACAGTGTTTCCAAACTGCTTAATCCAAATAAACTTTTAACTCTGTGAGATGAATGCACACATCATAAAGCAGTTTCTCAGAAAGCTTCTTTCTAAATTTTATCTGAATGTACTCCCTTTTTCACCCTAGGCCTCAATGCACTACCAAATATCTCTTCGCAGATTCTAAGAAAAGAGTATTTCCCAACTGCTGAATGAAAAGAAAGGTTTAACTCTGTGAGATGAATGCGCACATCACAACTAGGTTTCTCAGATAACTTCCTTCTATTTTTTATCCTGAGAAATTTACTTTTTGGCCTTTGGACTCAATGAACTTCCAAATGTCCATGGGCAGAATGGACAAAAACAGTGTTTGCAAACTGCTGAATCCAAAGAAAAGTTTAACTCTGTAAGATGAATGAATGCATCACAAAGCAGTTTCTCAGAAAAATTGTTTCTAGTTTTTAACTGAAGATATTTAATTTTTCACTAAAAGCCTCAATGTGCAGCCAAATACCCCTTTGCAGATTCTAAGAAAACAGTCTTTGCAAGCTGCTGAATGAAAAGAAATGTTTAATTATGTGAGATGAATACACACATCACAAAGTGGCTTCTCAGATAGCTTCCATCTAGTTTTTTCCAGGTATATTCACTTTTTTGCCATTGGCTTCAATAAGCTCCCAAATGCCCATTCTGTGAATGGACAAAAACAGTGATTCCAAACTGTTGAATTCAAAGAAAAATTTAGCTCTGTGAGACAAAAGCACACATGACAAAGCAGTTTCTCTGAAAGCTTCTTTCTAGTTTTATCTGAAGGTATTGCCTTTTTTACCATAGGCCTCAATGCACTACCAAATATCTCTTTGCAGTTTCTAGGAAAATGGTGTATCCAAACTGCTGAATGAACACAAAGGTTTAACTCTGTGAGATGATGGCACACATCACATTTCAGTTTCTCACATAACTTCCTTCTAGTTTTGATACTGCGATATTCGTTTTTTCACCACTGGCCTAAATGACCTCCCAAATGTCCATTCGCAGAATGGACAGTGTTTCCTCTCTGCTGAATATAAAGAAAGGTTTAACTGTGTGATATGAATGCACAGATAACAAAGCAGTTTCTCAGAAAGCTGCTTTCTAGCATTTAACTGAAGACATTTCCTTTTTCACCAGAGGCCCTCAAATTGCTCACAGACATCATTTGGAAGATTCTACAAAAGTAGTTTCCAAACTGCTCAATGTGAAGAAAAGTTTACTTCTGCGAGATGAATGCCCACATCCCAAAGCGGTTTCTCAGATCTCTTCCTTCTAGCTTTTATCCTGGGATATTCGCTTTTTTTTGCATTGACCTCAATGAGCTACTTGATTCTCAAAGGTACAATAACAGTGTCTCCAAGCCGCTAAATCCAAAGAAAGGTTTAACTCTGTGAGATGAATGAACACATCACAAATCAGTTTCTCAGAAAGCTTCTTTCTGGTTTTTATTTGAAGACTGTTCCCTTTTCCCCCATAGGCTTCAATATGCTACCAAATATCTCCTCACAGATTCTAAGAAAACAGTGTTTCCAAACTGCTGAAGGAAAAAAAAGGTTTAACTCTGTGAGATGAATGCACACATCACAAATTGGTTTCTCAGATAAAGTCCTTCTAGTGTTTATTGTGTGATATTCTCTTTTTCGCCATTGGCCTCAATGAGCTCCCAAATACCCATTCACAGAATGGACAAAAACAGTGTTTCCAAACTGCAGAATGCAAAGAATGGTTTAACTCTGTGAGATGAATGCACACATCACAAATCAGTTTCTCAAGTAGCTTCCTTCTAGTTTTTATCCTGGGATATTCTGTTTTTTTGCCATTGATCTCAATGAGCTCCCAAATGTCCATTCACAGAATGGACTAAATTAGTCTTTCCACACTCCTGAATCCAAAGAAATGTATAACCTTGTGAGATGAATGTACACATCACAAAGCAATTTCTAGTTAAGCATCTTTCTAGTTTTTATCTAAAGATATTCCCTTTTCCACCATAGGCCTCAATGCACTGCCAAGTATCTCTTTGCAGATTCTAAGAAAACAGTGTTTCCAAACTGCTGAATGAAAAGAAAGGTTTAACTCTGTGAAATGTATGCACACATCACAAAGCGGTTTCTCAGATGTCTTCCCTCTAGTTGTTATCCTGGTATATACAGTGTTTCACCATTGGCCTCAATGGGCTCCCAAATTTCTGTTCCACAAATAGACAAAAAGAGTAATACCATACTGTTGAATCCAAAGAATGTTTTAGCTCTGTGAGATGAATGCACACATCATGAAGCAGCTTCTCTGAAAGCTTCTTTCTGTTTTTTTTTCTGAAGATATTTCCTGTTTCACCATAGGCCCCAATGCGCTACCAAATATCTCTTCGCTGATCCTAAGAAAACAGCATTTCCAAAGTGCTGAATAGAAAGAAATGTTTAAGGGTGTGAGATGAAGGCAGGCTTCACAAAGCCGTGTTTAAGAAAGCTTCATTCTAGTTTTTATGAGAAGATATTTCCTTTTTCACCATTGGCCTCAATGTGCTCCCAACTATCCATTTGCAGATTATACAAAAACTGTGTTTCCAAACTGCTGAATGAAAAGGAAGGTTTAACTCTGTGAGATGAATGTACACATCACAAATCCGTTTCTCAGATAGGTTCTTTCTAGTTTTTTTACTGGGATATTCCCTTTTTCGACTGTGGCCTCAATGAACTCCAAAAAGTCCATTCGCAGAATGGACAAAAACATTGTTTCCAAAATGCTGAATCCACAGAAAGTTTTAACTCTTTGAGATGAATTTATACATCACAAAGCAGTTTCTCATAAAGCTTCTTTCTAGTTTTTATATGAAGATGATTCCTTTTTCACCATAGGCCTCAATGCGCTACCAAATGTCTCTTCGCACGTACTAAGAAAACAGTGTTTCAAAACTGCTGAAAGAAAAGAAAAGTTTAACTCTGTGACGTGAATGCACACATCACATATCAGTTTCTAGATAACTTCTTAGTAGTTTTTATCCTGGGATAATTGCTTTTTCACCATTGGCCTCAATGAGCTACCAAATATCCATTCACAGAATGGATAAAAGCAGTGTTTCCAAACTGCTGAATCCAAAGAATGGTTTAACTCCATGACGTGAATGAACACATCACAAAGTAGTTTCTCATAAAGCTTCTACTATTTATCTGAAGGTGTTTCCTTTTCACTTTAGGCCTCAATGGGCTACCAAATATCCCTTCGCAGATTCTACAGAAACAGTGTTTCCAAACTGCTGAATGAAAAGAAAGTTTTAATAATGTGAGCTGAATGCACACATCACAAAGCAGTTTCTCAGAAATCTTCTTTGTAGTTTTTATGTGAAGGTATTTCCTTTCTCACCATAGGTCTCAATGCACTCCTAAATATCCCTTTGCAGATTCTACAATAAAAGTGTTTCCAAAGTGCTGAATGAAAAGAAAAGTTTAACTCTGTGAGATAAATGCACACATCACAAAGTGGTTTCTCAGATAGCTTCCTTCTAGTTTTCATCCTAGGATATTCACTTTTTTGCCATTGGCCTCAATGAGCTCCCAAATGTCCATTTGCAAAATGGTCAAAAAAAGTGTTTCCATACTGCTGAATGAAAACAAAGGTATAGCACTGTGAGATGAATGTACACGTCACAAAGCAGTTTCTCATTAAACTTCTTTCCAGTTTTTATCTAAAGATATTTCCTTTTGCACCATAGGCCTCAATGTGCTAACAAATATCTCTTAGCAGATTCCAAGAAAACAGCCTTTCCAAACTGCTCAATTAAAAGAATGGTTTAATTCTGCAAGATGAATGCACACATCACAACGAAGTTTCTCTGAAAGCTTCTTTCTAGTTTTTATCTGAAAATATTTCCTTTTTCACCATAGTCCTCAATGCGCTCCCAAATATCCCTTCTCAGGTTCTACAAAAGCAGGGTTTCCAAACTAGTAAATGAAAAGAAAAGTTTACCTCTGTGAGATGAATGCACACATCACAAAGCCGTTTCTAAGATAGCTTCCTTCTAATTTTTATCCTGGGATATTTGCTTTGTCACCATTGGCCTCAACGAGCTCCCAAATGTCCATTCGCAGAATGGATCAAAACAGGGTTTCCAAACTGCTGAATCCAAAGAAAGGTTTAAATCTGTGAGGTGAATCAATACATCACAAAGCAGTTCCACAGAAAGCTACTTTCTAGTTTTTATCTGAGGATATTTCCTTTTTCACCATTGGCCTCAATTCATTACCAAATATCCCTTTGCAGATTCTACAAAAACAGTGTTTCCAAACTGCTGAATGAAAAGTAAGGTTTAACTCTGTGAGATGAATGCTCACATCACAAGGCAGGTTTCTCAGATAACTTCCTTCTAGTTGTTATCCTGGGATATTCAATTTTTCACCTTTGACCTAAATTAGTTCCAAATCTCCTTTCCAGGGATGGACAAAAACAGTGTTTCCAAACTGCTGAATACAAAGAAAGGTTTAACTCTATGAGATGAATGCACACGTCACAAAGCAGGGTCTCAGAATGCTTCTTTCTAATTTTTATATGAAGGTATTTCCTTTTTAAACATAAGCCTCAATGTACTACCAAATATCCCTTCACAGATTAACCAAAACAGTGTTTCCAAACTGGTGACTGAAAAAGAGAGGTTTATCTCTGTGAGTTGAATGCACACATCACATAGCAGTTTCTCAGATATCTTCCTTCTAGTTATTATCCTGGGATATTCACTTTTTTGCCATGGGCCTCAATTAGCTCCCAAATGTCCATTTTGTGGATAAACAAAAACAGTGATTCCAAACTGTTGAATCCAAAGAAAGGTGTAGCTCTGTGAGATGAATCACACATTACAAAGCAGTTTCTCAGAAAGCTTCTTTTTAGTTTTTATCTGAAGTTATTTTCTTTTTCATCTTTGGCCTCAGTGCACTACCAAATATCTCTTCGCAGTTTCTAAGAAAACGGTGTTTCCAAACTGCTGAATGAAAAGAAAGGTTTTACTCTGTGAGGTGAAGGCACACATCACAATTCGGTTTCTCAGATAACTTCCTTCGAGTTTTTATTATGGGATATTTGCTTTTTCGCCATTGGCCTCAATGAGCTCCAAATGTTCATTCTCAGATTTTAGAAAAACCGTGTTTACAGACTGCTGAAAGAAAAGAAAAGTTTACTTCTGTGAGATGAATGTACACATCACAAAGCAGTTTCTCAGAAAACTTCCTTCTGGATTTCATATGGAAGTATTCACTTTTTTGGCATTGGCCTCAATGAGCTCCCTAATGTCCATTCACAGAATGGACAAAACATTCTTTCCAAACTGCTGAATCCAAAGAAATGTTTAATTCTTCAGGATGAATGCCTACGTCACAAAGCATTTTCTCATATAGTTTCCTTCTGCTTTTTCCTGTGATATTCCCTTTTTTGCCATTGGCTTCAATGAGCTCCCAAATGTTCATTCTCAGATTCTACAATGACCGTGTTTCCAAACTGCTCAATGACAAGAAAAGTTTGTCTCTGTGAGATGAATGCACCCATCATAAAGCAGTTCCTGAGAAATCTTCTTTGCAGTTTTTATCTTAACATATTTCCCTTTTTGCCATAGGCCTCAATGTGCTCCGAAATATCCCTTGCAGATTCTACAAAAACAGTGTTTCCAAACTGCTTTATGAAAATAAAGTTTTAATTCTGTGAGATGAATGCACACATCACAAAGCAGATTCTCAGAGAGCTTCCTTCTAGTTGTTATCCAGGGATATTCCCCTGTTTGCTATTTTCCTCAATGAGCTCCCAGATGTCCATTGGCAGAATGGACAATAACATTGATTCCAAACTGCACTATCCAAAGAATGGTTTAACTCTGTGAGTTGCATACCTTTCTCACAAAGCAGTTTCTTATAGAGCTTCTTTCTACTTTTTATCTGAAGATATTTTCTTTTTCACCATAGGCCTATAGGTTCTCCCAAATATCCTTATGTACATAGTCCAAAAACAGTGTTTACAAACTGCTGAATGAAAAGAAAGATTTAACTCTGTGAGATGAATGCATACATCACAAAGTGGTTTCTTAGATAGCTTCCTTCTAGTTTATTTCCTGGGATAATTGCTTTTGTGCCATTGGCCTCAATGAGTTCCAAAATGTCCATTCTCAGAATGGACAAAAACAGTGTTTCCAAACTGCTGAATCCAAAGAAAATTTCAACTCTGTGACATGAATGCACACATCACAGAGCAGTGTCTCAGAAAGCTTCTTTTTAGTTTGTATCTGAAAATATTTCCTTTTTCACCATAGGTCTCAAAGCGCTCCAAAATATCCCTTCGCAGTTTCTATGAAAACAGTGTTTCCCAACTGCTGAAGGAAAAGTAAGGTTTAAATCAACGAGATGAATGCACACATCGCAAAGTCCTTTCTCAGATAGCTTCCATCTAGTTTATTTCCTAGGGTATTCACTTTTTTTTTTCCATTGGCCTCAAAGATCTCCCTAATGTCCATTCAGAGAATGGACAAAAACTGTGTTTCAAAACTGCTGAATCCAAAGAAAGTTTTAACTCTGTGAGATGAATGCACACATCACAATGCAGTTTCTCAGAAAGCTTGTTTCTAGTTTTTATCTGAGATATTTCCTTGTTTACCATAGGCTTCAATCTGCTCCCAAATATCCCCTCTGAGGTTCTACAAAAACAGTGTTTCCAAACTGCTGAATGAAAAGAAAAGTTTAACTCTAGTAGATGAAAGCACACATCACAACCCAGTTTCTGAGGTAGTCTCCTTCCAATGTTTATCCTGGGAAGTTTGCTTTTTTGCCATTGGCCTCAGTGAGCTCCCAAATGTCCCTTTGTGGAATTGACAAAAACAGTGTTTCCAAACTGCTGAACCCCCCCAAAAATTTTAACTCTATCAGTTGAATGCACGCATCACAAAGTAGATTCTCATTAAGCTTCTTTCTAATTTTTATCTCAAGATATTTCCTTTTACACCATAGGCCTCAATGGGACACCTAATATCCCTTCACAGATTCTACTAAAACAGTATTTCCAAACTGCTAAATGAAAAGAAAGGTTCACTTCTGCGAGATGAATGCAGACATCGCAAAGCAGTTTCTCAGATAGCTTCCTTCTAGTTTTTATCCTGGGATATTCAGTTTTTCGCCATTGGTCTCAATGAGCTCCCAAATGTCCATTTGCCACATGGAACAAACGGTGTTTTCAAACTACAGAATCCAAAGAAAAGTTTAACTCCATCAGATGAATGTACACATCACTAAACAGTTTCTCAGAAAGCTTCTTTCTAGTTTTTATCTGAAGATGTTTCCTTTTTCACCATAGGCCTCAATGCACTCCCAAATATCACTTTGCAGAGACTACGAAAACAGTGTTGTCAAACTGCTGAATGAAAAGCAACTTTTAACTCTGCCAGATGAATACACACATCACAACCGGTTTCTGTGATATCTTTCTTCTAGTTTTTATCCTGGGATATTCCCTTTTTTTGCCATTGGCCACAATGAGCTCCCAAATTTCCGTCTGCCAAATGGACAAAAACAGTGTTTCCAAACCCCTGAATCCAAAGAAAGCTTTAACTCTGTGAGATGAATGCACACTTCACAAGGCAGTTTTTTTTTCAGAAAGCTTCTTACTAATTTTTATCTGAAAATATTTATTTTTCCCCACAGGCCTCAATGCGCTACCAATTATCTCTTCACCAATACTGTGAAAACAGAGTTTCTATATTGCTGAATGAAAAGAAAGTTTTAACTCTGCATGATGAAAGTGCACATCACAAAGCAGTTTCTCAGAGAGCCTCCTTCTAGTTTTTATCCTGTGATATACACTTTTTCAGAATTGGCCTCAATGAGCTCCCAAATGTCCATTTGCAGATTCACCAAAAACTGTGTTTCCTAACTGCAGAATAAAAAGAAATATTTACTTCTGTGAGATGATGGTACACATTGGAAAAGAGTTTCGCAGAAAGCTTCTTTCTAGTTTTTATCTGAATATATTTCCTTGTTCACCATAGGCCTAAATTCGCTCTCAAATATCCCTTCACAGATTCTGCAAATCCTGTGTTTCCAAACTGCTGAATGAAAAGAAAGTTTTGACTCTGTGATATGAATGCACACATCACAAAACGGTTTCTCAGATAGCTTCCTGCTCCTTTTTATCCCGGGATATTATCTTTTTTGACATTGGCCTCAATGAGCTCCCAAATATCCATTTGCAGAATGGACAAAAACATTGTTTCCAAATTGCTGAAACCAAAGAAAAGTTTAACTCTGTGAGGTGAAGACACACATCACAAATCAGTTTCTCAGAAAGCTTCTTTCAAATTTTAACATGAATATATTTTCTTTTTCACCGAAGGCCTCAATGTGCTCTAAAATATCCCTTCACAGAGCCAATAAAAACAGTGTTTACAAGCTGTTGAATGAAAAGAAAGTTTTAACTCTGCGAGATTAATGCACACATCACAAAATGGTTTCTCAGATAGCTTCCTTCTAATTTTATCCTGGGATATTCCGTTTTTTGCCATTGGCTTCATTAACCTCCCAAATGTCCATTAGCAGAATGGACAAAACAGTGTTTCCAAACTGCTGAATCCAAAGAAAACTTTAAATCTGTGGGATGAATGTACTCATGACACAGCAGTTTTTCAGAAATCTTCTTTCTAGCTTTTATCTGAAGATATTTCCTTTTTTACCTTAGTCCTCTTTGGGCTACGAATTATCCCTTTGCAAATGATTGTACAAAAACAGTGTTTCCAAACTGCTGAATGAAAAGAAAATTTTAACTCTGTGAGATGAATTCACACATCACAACACGGTTTATCAGACAGCTTCCTTCTAGTTTTTATTCTGGGATATTCACTTTTAAGCCATTGGCCTCAATGAGCACCAAAAGTTCCATTCTTATATTCTACCAAAACAATGTTTCCAAACAGCTGAACCCAAAGAAAGGACTATCTTTGAGATAAATGCACACATCACAAAGCAGTTTCTCAGAAAACTTCTTTCTAGTTTTTATCTGAAGATATTTCCTTTTTAACTCTGAGATTTGAATGCAGACATCAGAAAGTGGTTTGTCAGATAGCTTCCTTCTAGTTTTTTTTCCTGGGATACTCACTTTTTCACCTTTTTCCTCAATGAACTCCCAAATGTCCATTCGCAGAATGAACAAAAACAGTGTTTCCAAACTGCTGAATCCACAGAAAGTTTTAACTTGTGAGATGAATGCAAACATCACAAAGCAGTTTGTCAGAAAGCTTCTTTGTAGTTTTTAATCTGAAGATATTTCCTTTTTGATCACAGACCTCAATGCACTGCAAAATATCACTTCACAGAATCTACAACGACAGTCTTTGTAAACTACTGAAAGAAAAGAAAGCTTAAATTCTTTAATTCCTTTCTCTATGAAATGAATGCACACATCACAAAGCAGTTTCTTAGATATCTTTCTTCTAGTTTTTATCCTGGGATATTTGTTTTTTCAGAATTTTCCAGAAAGAACTTCCAAATCTCCATTACCGGAATTGACAAAAACAGTGTTTCCAAACTGCTGAATCCAAGGAAATATTTAATTCTGTGAGAGGAATGCAAACATCACAAAGTAGTTTCCCAGAAAGCTCCTTTCTATTTTTATCTGAAGATATTTTCTTTTACACCATAGGCCTCAATGCACTACCAAATATCCATTAGCAATTTCTGTGAAAACAGTGTTTCCAAACTACTGAATGCCAAGAAAGTTTTAACTCTGCGAGATGAAAGCACACTTCACAAAATGGTTTCTCAGATAGCTTCCTTCTAGTTTTTATCCTGGGATGTTCGCTTTTTCTTCATTGTCCTCAATGAGTTCCAAAATGTCCATTCGCAAAATGGACAAAAACAGTGTTTCCAAACTGCTGAGTCCAAAAAAAAGGTTTAACTCTGTGAGATGAATGCATACATCTAAAAGCAGTTTCTCAAAAAGCTTCTTTCTAGTTTTAATCAGAAGACATTTCCTTTTTCACCATAGGCCCCAATGTGCTCCCAAATATCCCTTCACAGATTCTACAACAAAGTGTTTCCAAACTGCTGAATTAAAAGAAAAAAGTTTAATTCTGCAAGATGAATGCACACATCACAAAGTAGTTTCTCAGATAACTTCCTTCTAGTTTTTATCCTGTGATATTCACTTTTTCAAAATTGGCTTCAATAAGCTCCAAAATGTCCATTCGTAGAATGGACAAAGACATTTTTTCAACCTGCTGAATATAAAGAAAGGTTTAACTCTGTAAGATTAACACACCCATGACAAAGCAGTTTCTCAGAAAGCTTCTTTCTAAGTTTTATATGAGTATATTTCCTTTTTCACCATAGACTTCAATTCACTAGTAAATAGCCCTTCGCAGACTCTAAAAAATATTGTGTCGAAACTGCTGAAGGAAAAGAAAAGCTTAACTATATGAGATGAATCCACACATCACAAATCGGTTTCTCAGATACCTTCCACCTACTTTTTATCCTGGGATCTGTGCTTTCTTGCCATTTGCTTCAATGAGCTACCAAATGTCCATTCAAAGAATGGACAAAAACATTGCTTCCAAAATGCTGAATCCAAAGAAAGGTTTAACTCTGGGAGCTGAATGCACACATCACAAACGGTTTCTCAGAAAGCTTCATTCTAGTTTTTATCTGAGGATAGTTCATTTTTCACCATAGGCCTCAATGTGCTCCCAAATATCCCATTGTATTTCTACGAAAATGGTGTTTCCAAACTGCACAATGAAAGCAGAGGTTTAACTCTGTGAGATCAATGCACACACCACAAAACATTTTCTCAGATATCTTCCTTCTAGTTTTTATCCTGGGATATTTGCTTTTTCGACAGTCACCTCAAAGACATCTGAAATGTCCATTGTCAAAATGGACAAAAATAGTGTTTCCAAACGGCTGAATCCAAAGTATGGTTTAACTCTTTGAGATGAATGCACACATCACAAAGCAGTTTCTCAGAAAGCTTCTTTCTACTTTTTATGTGAAGATATTTCCTTTTACACCATAGGCCTTAATGCGCTCCCAAGTATCCCTTCGTAGATTCTATGAAAACAGTGTTTCCAAACTGCTGAATGAAAAGGAATATTTATGTCTGCAAGGTGAATGCACACATCACAAAGCAGTTTATCAGATAGCTTCCTTCTAGTTTTTATTTTGGTATATTCCCTTTTAGGAATTGGCCTCCCCGAGCTCCCAATTGTGATTCGTAGAATGGGCAGAAAAAGTGCTTCCAAACTGCTGAATGGAAAGAAAGCTTAGGTCTGTGAGATGAATGTACACATCACAAAGCAATTTCTCCTAAAGCTTCTTTCTACTTTTTATCCGAAGATATTTCCTTTTTCACCATTGACTGTGGTGTGCTCCCAAATATCCCTTTGCAGATCCTTCACAAACAGTGTTTCCAAATTGCTGAATGAACAGAAAGGTTTAACTCTGTGAGATGAATGCACACATCCCAAAGCAGTTTCTCAGAAAGCTTCCTTCTAATTTTTATTTAATTATATTTCCTTTTTCAGCCTAGGCCTCAATGCACTAAAAATTATCTCTTTGCAGATTCTAAGAAAACAGTGTTTCCAAACTGCTGAATTGAAAGACTCTGTGAGATAAATGCACACATCACAAAGCGGTGTTTCATATATCTCCCTGGTACTTTTTATCCCGGGTTATTCACTTTTTCCCCATTGGCCTCAATGAGCTCCTAAATATCCATTTTCAGTATAGACAAAAACAGTGTTTCCAAACTGCTGAATCCAGAGAAAGGTTTAATTCTGTGAGGTGAATGCACACATCAAAAAGCAGTTTCTGAGAAAGCTTCTTTCTAGTTTTTATCTGATGATATTTCCATTTTCACCATAGGCCTCAATGTGCTACAAAATATCTCTTCGCAGATCCTAAGAAAACAGTGTTTCCAAAATGCTGAATTAAAAGAAAGGTTTAACTTGGTGAGATGAATACACTCATCACAAATCGGCTTCTCAGATAACTTCCTTCTAGTTTTTATCCTGGGCTATTCACTTTTTCACCATTGTCCTCAATGAGTTCCCAAATGTCCATTTGCAGAATGGACAAAAACAGTGTTTCCAAACTGCTGAATCCAACGAAAGGTTTAATTATGTGAGTCAAAGGCACACATCACAAACCAGTATCTCAGAAAAATTCTTTCTAGTATTTATCTGAAGATATTTCCATTTTCACCATAGGCCTCAATGTGCTACAAAGTATTTCTTTGCAGATGTTAAGAAAACAGTGTTTCCAAAATGCTGAATTAAAAGACAGTTTTAACTCTGTGAGATGAATGCACACTTCACCAACTGGTTTCTCATAAAAATTCCTTCTAGTTTTTATCCTGGGCCATTCCCTTTTTCACCATTGTCCACAAAGAGTTCCCAAATGTCCCTTCGAAGAATGGACAAAAACAGTGTTTCCAAACTGCTGAATCCAAAGAAAGGTTTAATTCTGTGAGTTGAATGCACACATCTCAAATCAGTATCTCAGAAAAATTCTTTCTAGTTTTTATCTGAAGATATTTCCTTTTTCAGCAAAGGCCTCAAAGTGTCCCCAAATATCCTTCGCAGATTCCACAAAAACCGTGTTTCCAAACTGCTGAATAAAAAGAAAGGTTTTACTCTGTGAGATGAATACACAGATTACAACGTGGTTTCTTAGATATCTTCCTTCCAGTTTTTAACCTGGAATATTCACTTTGTTGCCATTGGCCTCAAAGAGCACCAAAATGTCCATTTGCAGAATCGACAAAAACAGTGTTTCCAAATTGCTGAAAGAGAAGAAAAGTTTAACACTGTGAGATGAATGCAGACATCACAAATTTGTCTCTCAGATAAATTCCTTCTTATCCTGGGATATTCTCTTTTTTGGCCTTTGGCTTCAATGAGCTCCAACATGTCCATTAGCAGAATGAACAAAAACAGTGTTTCCAAACTGCTGAATCCAAAGAAAGGTTTAACTCTGTGAGATGAATGCAAACATCACAAAGCAGTTTCTCAGAAAACTTCTTTCTTTTTTTTCTGAATATATTTCCTTTTTCAACATAGACCTCAAGGCACTCCCAATTATCCAATTGCACATTCTACAAAAACAGTGTTTTCAAACTGCTGAATGAATGGAAAGGTTTAACTCTGAGAGATGATTGCACACATCACAAAGCAGTTTCACAGAATGTTTCCTTTTAGTTTTTATCTGAAGTTATTTCCTTTTTCAACCTAGGCCTCAATGCGCTCCCAAATATTCCTTTGCATATTCTAAGTAAACAGTGCTTCCAAACTGCTGAACGAAACGAAAGATTTAACTCTGTAACATGAATGCACACATCAGAAATTTGTTTCTCAGATAAATTCCTTCTAGTTTTTATCCTGGGATACTCGCTTTTTCACTATTGGCCTTAAGGAACTCCAAATTGTCCATTTGAAGAATGGATTAAAACACTGTTTCCAAACTGCAGAAACCAAAGAAATGTTTAATTCTGTGAGATAAATGAAAATACCACAAAGCACTTTCTCAGAAAACTTCTTTGTAGTTTTTATCTGGAGATATATTCTTTTTTACCATAGGTCTCAAAGCAGTCCCAAATAACCTTTCACAGATTCTACAAAAACGGTTTTTCCAAACTGCTGAATGAAAAGAAAGGATTAGCTCTGTGAGATAAATGCACACATCACAAAGTGGTTCCTCAGATATCTTCCTTGTAGTTTTTATCATGGAATATTCTCTTTTTCATCATTGGCCTCAAGGAGCTCCCTAACGTCCATTTGGAGCATGGACAGAAACAGTGATTCCAAGCTGCTAAATCCAGAGAAAGGTTTAAGTCTGTTAGATGAATCCACACATCACAAAGCAGTTTCTTGGAAAGCATCTTTGTAGTTTTTATCTGAAGATATTTCCTTTTTCACCATAGACCTCAGTGCACTACCAAATATCACTTTGCAGATTCTAAGAAAACAGTGTTTCCAAACTGCTGAATGAAAAGAAAGTTTTAACTCTGTGAGATGAATGCACATAGAAGAAATCACTTTCTCAGATAAATTCCTGCTAGTTTTTATCCTGGGATATTTACTTTTTTGCCATTGCCTTCAGTGAGCTCTGAAATCTCCATTCACAGAATGAACCAAAACAGTGTTTCCAAACTGAGGAATCCAAAGTAAGGTTTAACCCTGTGAGATGAATGCAAACATCACAAAGCAGTTTCTCAGAAAGCTGCTTTCTAGTTTTTATCTGAAGATATTTCCTTTTTCACCATAGGCCTCAATGCGATGCCAAATATCCCTTCGCAGACTATACAAAAACAGTGTTTCCAAACAGTCTGAATGAAAAGAAAGGTTTAACTCTGCATGGTGAATGCACAAATCACAATGTGATTTCTTAGATATCTTCCTTTTAGTTTTTTTCCTTGGATATTCACTTTGTTGCCCTTGGCCTCAAAGAGCTGCCAATTGTCCATTTGCAGAATGGACAAAACACTGTTTCCAAACTGTAGAAAGAAAAGAAAGGTTTAACAGTGTGAGATCAATGCACATATCAGAAATTGGTTTCTCAAATAAATTCCTTCTAGTTTTTATGTTGGGATGTTCGCTTTTTTGCCGTTGGCCTCAATGAGCTACAAAATGTCCATTTGCAGAATGAACCAAAACAGTGTTTCCAAACTGCTGAATCCAAAGAAAGGTTTAACTCTGTGAGATGAATGCAAACATCAAAAAGCAGTTTCTCAGAAAGCTTCTTTGCAGTTTTTTTCTGAAAATATTTCCTTTTTCACCATAGGTCTCAATGTGATGCAAAATATCCTTTTGCAGACTATACAAAAACATTGTTTCCAAATTGCTGAATGAAAAGAAAAGTTTAACTCTGTGAGATGCATGTACACATCACAATGCAGTTTCTTAGATATCTTCTTTCTAGTTTTTATCCTGGGATATTCACTTTGTTGCCATTGGCCTCAAAGAACTCCCAAATGTCCATTGACAGAATGGACAAAAACAGTGTTCCCAAACTGCTGAAAGCTGAAAGAAAAGAAACGTTTAACACTGTGAGATGATTGCACACATCACAAACCTGTCTCTCAGATAACTTCCTTCTAGTTTTTATCCTGGGATATTCACTTTTTCTTCATTGACCTCAATGATCTCCCAAATGTCCATTCACAAAATTGACAAAAACAGTGTTTCCAAACTGCTGATTCCAATGAAAATTTAATCCTGTGAGATGAATGGCACATTCCAAAGCAGTTTCTCAGAAAGTTTCTTTTTGGTTTTTATGTGAGGTTATTTCCTTTTTTCACCATAGGCCTCAATATGCTCCCAAATATCCCTTTGCAGAATCTAAGAAAACAGTTTTTCCAAACTCCTGAATGAAAAGAAAGGTTTACCTCTGTGGGATGGATACATACATCACAGATAGGTTTCTCAGATAAATTCCTTCTCGTTTTTACACTGTGATGTTTGCTCTTTTTGCCACTGGCCTCAATGAGCTCTTAAAAGTGCAGTTGCAGAAGGGACAAAAACAGTGTTTGCAAACTGCTGAATTCAAAGTAAGTTTTATCTCTGGTAGATGAATGCACCCATCACAAAGCAGTTTTTCATAAAGTTTCTGTCTCATTTTTATCTGAAGATAATTACATTTTCACTGTAGGCCTGAATGCAGTCCAAAATATCCCTTTGCAGATTCTACTAAACACTATTTACAAACAGCTGTATGAAAAGGAAGATTTAACTCTGCAAGATTATTGCACACATCACAACGTAGTTTCTTAGATATATTCCTTCTAGATTTTATCCTGGGATATTCAATTTGTCACCATTGTCCTCAATGAGCTCCCAAATGTGTATTCACTGAATGGACAAAAACAGTGTTTCCAGGCTGCTGAATCCAAAGAAATGTTTAACTCTGTGAGATGAATGCACACATCACAAAGCATTTTCGCAGAAACATTCTTTCTAGTTTGTATCTGAAGTTATTTCCTTTTTCACCCTAGGCCTCATTGAGCTACCAAATATCTCTTGGCAGATTCTAAGAAAACTGTGTTTCCAAACTGCTGAGTGAAAAGAAAGGTTTAACTCCATGAGATGAAGGCACACATCACAAAGCAGTTTCTCAAAAAAGCTTCTTTCTAGTTTTTATTTGAAGATGTTTCCTTTTTCACCGTAGGCCTCAATGCACTACAAAATATCTCTTTGCATTTTCTAAGAAAACAGTGTTTCCAAACTGCTGAATTAAAAGTAAGCTTTAAGTCTGTGAGATGAATGCACAAATTAAAAATCTGTTTCTCAGATAACTTCCTTCTAGTTTTTATCCTGCAATATTCACTTTTTCTTCTTTGGCCTCAATGACTTTCAAAATGTCCATCCACAGAATGGACAAAAACAGTTTTTCCAAACTGCTGAATCCAAAGAAAGTTTAAATTCTGTGAGTTGAGTGCACACATCACAAATCAGTTTCTCAGAAAACTTGTTTCTAGTTTTTATCTGAAGATATATTCTTTTTCACCATAGGCCTCAATGCACTACAAAATATCTCTTTGCAGATTCTAAGAAAGCAGTGTATACAAACTTCTAAATTAAAATAAAGCTTTAATTCTATGAGGTGAATGGACACATCACAAAGCAGTCTCTCAGAAAGCTTCTTTCTAGGTTTTTTTTTTGAAGATATTTCCTTTTTAACCATAGGCCTCAATGCGCTTAAAAATAGCCCTTCACATATTCTACAAAAAGAGTGTTTCCAAATTACTGAATGAAAAGAAAGGATTAACTCTGTGAGATAAATCCATAAATCACACATCAGTTTCTCAGATAAATTGCTTCTGTTTTTATCCTGGGATATTGATTTTTTCACCATTGGCCTCAATGAGCTCTCAATTGTCCATTCACAGAATGAACAAAACAGCGATTCCAAACTGCTGTATCCAAAGAAAAGTTTAACTCTGTGAGATGAATGCAATCACCATAAAGCAGTTTCTCAGAAAACTTCTTTCTAGTTTTTATCTGAAGATATTTCCTTTTTCACCATAGACTTCAATGTGCTCCCAGCTATCCCCTTGCAGATTCTGAGGAAACAGTTTCCAAACTGCTGAATGGAAGGAAAAGTTTATCTCCGTGTTTTGAATGCACACATCGCAAATCAGTTTCTCAGAAAACTTCCTTCTAGTTTTTTCCTGGGATATTTGCTTTTTCAGCATTGGCCTCAATGAGCTCCCAAATGTCCACTCACAGAATGGACAAAAACAGTGTTTGCAAACTGCTGAATTCAAATAAAGGTTTAACCCACAACAAAGTAGTTATGCACACATAACAAAGCAGTTTCTCAGGAAGGTTCTTTCTAGTGCTTACCTGAAGATACTTCCTTTTTCACCATAGGACTCAATGTACTACCAAATATCCCTTTACAGATTGTAAGAAATGAAAACATCACAAAGCACTTTCTCGGAAAGTTTCTTTCTTGTTTTTATCTGAAGATATTTTCTTTTTCACCAAAGGCCTCACTGTGCTCCCAAATATCCCCTCCCAGATTCTACAAAAACAGTTTTTCCAAACTGCTGAATGAAAAGAAATATTTACCTCTGTGAGATGAATGCACACATCACAAAGCAGTTTCTCAGATATCTTCCTTCTAGTTTTTATCCTGGGATATTCACTTTTTCAACTTTAGCCTCAATGAGTTTGCAAATGTCCATTTAGAGCATTGACAAAAACAGTGTTTCCAAACTGCTGAATCCAGAGAAGGTATAACTCTGTGAGATGAATGCACACATCACAAAGTGGTTTCTCAAATAGCTTCCTTGTAGTTTTTAACATGGGATATTCGCTTTTTTGCCTTTGGCCTCAATGAGCTCCAAAATGTCCATTTACAGCATGGACAAAAACAGTGTTTCCAAACTGCTGAATCCAGAGAATGGTGTAACTATGTGAGATGAATGCACACATCTCAAAGCAGTTTCTCAGAAAGGTTCTTTCTAGTTTTTATATGAAGATATTTCCTTTTTCTCCATAGGCCTCAATGCGGTACAAGATATCTCTTTGCAGATTCTAAGTAAACAGTGTTTCCACACTGCTGAATTAAAAGAAAGCTTTAACTCTGTGAGTTGAACGCACACATCACAAAGCAGTTTCTCAGAAAGCTGCTTCCTAATTTTTATATTAATATATTTCCTTTTTCACCATAGACCTCAATGTGCTAAAAAATATCACTTCACAGATTCTAGGAAAATAGTGTTTCCAAACTGCTGACTTGAAAAAAATGCTTACCTCTCCAGGATGAACATGCACATCAGAAAGCGGTTTCTCAGATAACTTCCTTCTAGTTTTTATCCTTGGTTATTTGCCTTTTTCCCATTAGCCTCAATGATCTCCCAAATGTCCATTCACAGAATGGACAAAAACAGTGTTTCCAAACTGCTGCATCCAAAGAAAGGTTTAACCATGTGAGAGGAATGCACACATCACCAAGTAGTTTCTCAGAAAGCTTCTTTCTAGTTTTAGTCTGAAGATATTTCCTTTTTCACCATAGGCCTCAAAGTACTCGCAAATATCCCCTAAGAGATTCTACAAAAACAGTGTTTCCAAACTGCTGAATGAAAGGTAATATTTAACTCTGTGAGATGAATGCACACATCACAAAGCAATTTCTCAGGTATCTTCTTTCTAGTTTTTATCATGGGATATTCACTTTTTTGCCATTGCCCTCAATGAGCTCCCAAATGTCCATTTGCAGAATGGACAAAAACTGTTTCCAAACTGCTGAATAGAAAAGTTTAACTCTGAGTTGAATGCACTCATCAAAAGGCTGCTTCTCAGAAAGCTTCTTTTTTGTTTTTATCTGAAGATATTTCCTTTTTCACCATAGGCCTCAATGTGCTCCCAAATATCCATTTGCAGATTCTAAGAAAACGGGTTTTCCAAACTGCTGAATGAAAAGAAATGTTTAATTCTGTGAGATGAATTCATACATACAAATCGGTTTCTCAGGTCATTTCTTTCTAGTTTTTATCCTGGGATATTGTCTTTTTCGCCATTGGCCTCAATGAGCTCCTAAATGTCCATTTTCAGTATAGACAAAAACAGTGTTTCCAAACTACTGAATTGAGAGAAATGTTTAGTTCTGTGTGGTGAATGCACACATCACGAAGGATTTTCTTAGGAAGCTTCTTTCTAGATTTTATTTGAAGATATTTTCTTTTTTGCCATAGGCCTCAATGTGCTACAAATATCTCTCCACAGATCCTGACAAAACATTGTTCCAAAATGCTGAGTTAAAAGAAAGGTTTAACTCTTTGAAATGAATGCACACATCACAAATCGGTTTCTCAGACAACTTCTTTCTAGTTTTTATCCTGGGCTATTCACATTTTTGCCATTGTCCACAATGAGTTCCCAAATGTCCCTTCACAGAATGGACAAAATCAGTGTTTGCAAACTGCTGAATCCAAAGAAAGGTTTAATTATGTGAGTCAAATGCACACATCACAAATCAGTATCTCAGAAAAATTCTGTCTAGTTTTTATCTAAAGATATTTCCTTTTTCGGCAAAGGCCTGAAGGTGCCCCGAAATATCCCCTGACAGATTCTACTAAAGCAGCATTTCCAAACTGCTGAATGAAAAGAAAAGTTTAACTCTGTGAGATGAATGCACACATTTCAACACGGTTTCTTAGATATCTTTCTTTAAGTTTTTATCTTGGGATATTCACTTTTTCACCATTGGCCTCAACGAGTTCCCAAATATCCATTCGCAGAATGTACCAAAACAATGTTTCCAAACTGTGGAATCCAAAGAAATGTTTAACTCTTTTAGATGAATGAAAACATCACAAGGCACTTCTTTCTAGTTTTTATGTAAAGACATATTTTTTTTCACCATAGGCCTGAATGTGCTCCCAAATATCCCTTCACAGATTGTACGAAAACAGTATTTCCAAACTGCTGAATTAAAAGTAAGCTTTAACTCTGTGAGATGAATGCACACATCACAAATCTGTTTCTCAGATGACTTCCTTCTAGTTTTTATCCTGGGATATTTGCTTCTTCGCCATTGGCCTAAATGAGCTCCCAAATGTCCATTCAGAGAATGGACAAAAACAGTGTTTCTGAACTACTGAATCCAAAGAAAGTTTTAACTCTTTTAGATGAATGCACACATCACAAAGCTCTTTCCCAGAAAGCTTCTTTCTAGTTTTTATCTGAAGATATTTCCTTTTTCACCATTTCCAAACTGCTGAATGAGAAGAAAACTTTACCTCTGTGAGTTGAATGCACTTATCACAGATGGGTTTCCAGACAACTTCCTTGTATTTTTTTCCTGGGATATTCACTTTTTCATCATTTGCCTCAATTAGCTCCTAAATGTCCATTTGCAGAATGGACAAAAATATTGTTTGCAAACTGCTGAATTCAAAGAAAACTTTAACTCTGGGACATGAATGCACACATCCCAAGCAGTTTTTCATAAAGCGTCTGTCTAGTTTTTATCTGAAGATACTTGAATTTTCACCCTAGTCCTTAGTGCATTCCCAAATATACCTTCAACAATTCTTCAAAACCGTGTTTCCAAACTGCTTATTGAAAAGACAGGTTTAACTCTGTGAGATGATTGCACACATCACAACACGGTTTCTTAGATATCTTACTACTAGTTTTTATCCTAGGATATTCAATTTGTCATCATTGCCCTCAGTGAGCTCTGAAGTGTCCATTCTCAGAATGGAGAAAAACTGTTTTTCCAAACTGCTGTATCCAAAGAAAGGTTTAACTCTGTGAGATGGATGCACACATCACAAAGCAGTTTCTCAGAAAGGTTCTTTCAGTTTTTAACTGAAGATATTTCCTTTTTCACCCTAGGCCTCAATGCACTACCAAATATCTCTTTGCAGATTCTAAGAAAAGTGTTTCAAAACTGCTGAATGAAAAGAAAGGTTTAACTCTGTGAGATGAATGAGCCCATTACAAATCGGTTTCTCAGATAATGACTTTCTAGTTTTTATCCTGGGATATTCGCTTTTTTGCCATTTGCCTCAATGAGTTCCCAAATGTCCATTTGCAGCAAGGACAAAAACAGTGTTTCCAAACTGCTGAATCCGGAGAAAGCTGTATCTCTGTGACATGAATGCACACATCACAAAGCAGTTTATCAGAAAGGCTCTTTCTAGTTTCTATCTGAAGATGTTTCATTTTTCACCATAGGACTAAATCCGCCACCAAATATCTCTTTGCAGATCCTAAGAAAACAGTTTTTCCAAACTGCTGAATGAAAAGAAAGGTTTAAATCTGTGAAATGAATGTATACATCACATATCGGCTTCTCAGATAACTTCCTTTTGGTTTTTATTCTGGGATATTAACTTTTTCACCATTGGCTTCAAAGAGCTCCCAAATGTCCATTCACAGAATGGACAAAAACAGTGTTTCCAAACTGCTGAATGAAAAACAAGGTTTAACTCTTGTGAGATGAATGCACACGTCACAAAGCAGTTTCTCTGAGAACTTCCTTCTGGTTTTTATCCTGGGATATTTGCTTTTTCACCATCGGCTTCAATGAGCTCCCAAATGTCCATTAGCCGAATGAACAAAAACAGTGTTTACAAACTGCTGACCAAAGAAAAGTTTAACTCTGTGAGATGAATTGAAACATCACAAAGCAGTTTCTCAGAAAGCTTCTTTCTAGTTTTTATATGAAGTTATTTCCTTTTTCACCAAGGGCCTCAATGTGCTCCCAAATATCCTTCCATAGATTATAAGGAAATAGTTTCCAAACTGCTTTAATAAAGAAAGGTTTAACTCTGTGAGATGAATGCACTGATCACAAATCGGTTTCTCAGATAACTTCCTTCTTGTTTTTATCCTGGGATATTTTATTTTCCAGAATTGGCCTCAAAGTGTTTCCAAACGTCCATTTGCAGAATGGACAAAAACAGTGTTTCCAAACTGCTGTATGCAAAGAAATGTTTAACTCTGTGTGATGAATGCACACATTACAAAGCAGTTTCTTGTAAAGCTTCTGTGTAGTTTTTATCTGAAAATAATTCCTTTTTCACCATTGGCCTCAATGAAGTCTCAAATATCCACTTGCAGATTCTACAAAACACTGTTTCCAAACAGCTAAATGAAAAGAAAGGTTTAACTCTGTGAGATGAATGCCCACCTCACAAATCTGTCTCTCAGATAACTTCCTTCTAGTTTTTATCCTGGGATATTCGCTTTTCCTCCATTGGCCTCAATGAGCTCCCAAATGTCCATTCACAGAATTGACAGAAACAGTGTTTCCAAAATGCTGAATCCAAAGAAAGGCTTAATACTGAGACAAATGCAGACATCACAAAGTAGTTTCTCAGAAAGCTACTTTCTATTTTGTATCTGAAGATATTTCCTTTTTCAACATATGTATCAGTGCACTCCCAAATATCCCTTTGCAGATCATACAAAAACAGTGTTTCCAAATTGCTGAATGAGAAGAAAGTTTTAACTCTGTGAGATGAATGCACAACACAAAAGGTTTCTCAGAAAGCTTCTTTCTAATTTTTATATGAAGTTATTTCCTTTTACAACATAGGCCTCAATGAGCTCTGAAATAACCCTTAGTAGATTCTACAAAAACAGTTTTTCCAAACTACTGAATGAAAACAGAGGATTAACTCTGCACTATGAATGCCCACATGACCAAGTGGTTTCTCAGAAAGCATCCTTCTACTTTTTACAGTGCGATATTTGCTTTTTTGCCATTGGCCTCAATGAGCTCCCAAATATCCATTTTCTGATTCTACAAAAACATTGTTTCCAAACTGCTGGATTAGGACTAAAACTTACCTCTTTGAGATGAATGTACACAGCACAAAGTAGTTTCTCAGAAAGCTTCTTTTTGGTTTTTGTCTGAAGATACTTCCTTTTTCACCTTTAGCCTCAATACGCTCCCAAATATCCCTTTGCAGATTCTATAAAAACAGTGTTTCCGAAGAGCTGAATGAAAAGAAAGGTTTAACACTGCAAGATGAATGCACACATCACAAAGCGGTTTCTCGGATAACTTCCTTCTAGTTTTTATCCTGGGATATTTGCTTTTTTGCCATTGACCTCAATGAGCTCCCATATGTCCATTCGCAGAATGGACAAAAACAGTTATTCCAAACTGCTGAAACCAAATAATGGTTTAACACTGTGAGATGAATGTCCACATGACAAACAGTTTCTGAGCAAGCTTCTTTCTAGTTTTTATCTGAAGATACATCCTTATTCATGATAGGCCTCAATGCACTCCCAAATATCCCTTCAAAGATTATACAAAAACAGTGTTTCCAAACTGTTGAATGAAAAGAAATTTTAACTAGTTGAGGTGAATGCACACATCATAAAGTGGTTTCTCAGATAGCTTCCTTCTAGTTTTTGTCCTGGGATATTTGCTTTTTCACCATTGCCCTCAATGAGCTCCAAAAAGCCCATTTTCAGATTCTACAAAAACCGTCTATCCAAACTGCTGATTGAAAAGAAAGGTTTACATCTGTGAGATCAATGCACTCATCACAAAGAAGATTCCCAGAAAGCCTCTTTTTAGTTTATATCTCAAGATACTTTCTTTTTCACCAGAGGCTTCAATTCACTACAAAATATCCCTGCGCAGATTCTATGAAAAGAATGATTCCAAACTGCTGAATGAAAAGAAAGGCTTACCTGTGTGAGTTGAATGCACACATGTGAAAGCAGTTTCTCAGATAGCTTCCTTCTAATTTTTATCCTGGAATAATTGCTTTTTTGCCATTGTCCTCAATGAGTGGTCAAATGTCCTTTTGCAGAGTGGACAAAAACAGTGTTTCCAAACTGCTGAAATGAAAGGAATGTTTAACTCTGTGAGATGAATGCAAACCTCACAAAGCAGTTTCTCATAAAGCTTCTTTCTAGTTTTTATCTGAAGACGCATGCTTTTTCACCATATGCCTCAATGCGCTTCCAAATATGCTTTCACAGATTGTACAAAAACAGTGTTTCCAACTGCTCAATGAAAAGGGAAGTTTCACTCTGCAAGATAAATGAACACATCATAAAGTGGATTCTCAGATAGCTTCCTTCTACTTTTTATTCTGGGATATTCCCTTTTGCGACATTGGCCTCAATGAGCTCCCAAATGTTCATTCTCAGATTCTGCAAAAATGGTGTTTCTAAACTGTTGAATGAAAAGTTAATTTTAACTTGGCGAGATGAATGCACAGATTGCAAAGTGGTTTCTTAGGTATCTTCCTTCTAGTTATTACCCTGGGATAAACACTTTTTCGACACTGGTTTCAGTGAGCTCCCAAATGCCCATTCGCAGAATGGACAAAAACAGTGTTTCCAAACTCCTGAATTCAAAGGAATGTTTAACTCTGTCAGATGAATGCACACATCACAAAGTAGTTTCTCAGAAAGCTTCTCTCTAGTTTTTACCACAAGATATTTCCTTTTTCATCATAGGCCTCAAAGCACTACCTAATATCTCTTCGCAGATTCTAATAAAACAGTGTTTCCAAACTGCTGAATAAAAAAAGGTTTAACTCTGTGAGATGAATGCACACATCACAAATTGGTTTCTCAGATAACATCCTTCTAATTTGTATCCTGGGATATTCACTTTTTCACCATTGGCTTCATTGAGCTCCCAACTGTTAACTTGCAGAATGGACCAAAACACTGTTTCCAAACTGCTGAATGCAAAGAACGTTTAACTCTGTGAGATGAATATACAAATCACAAAGAAGTTTCTCAGAAAGCTTCTTTAAAATTTTTATATGATGATAATCCTTTTTCACTGTAGGCCTCAATGTGCTCCCAAATATCACTTCACAGATTCTACAAAAACCGTGTTTCCAAAGTTTTGAACGAAAAGAAGGGTTTAACTTAGCTAGATGAATGCACAAATCACACAGCAGTTTCTCAAATATCTTCCTTCTAGTTTTTATCCCAGGATATTCACTTTTTTGCCATAGGCCTAAATGTTCTCCCAATTATCCCTTCACAGATTCTACAAAAAGAGTGATTCCAAACTGCTAAATCCAAGGAAAGTTGTAACTATGTGAGGAGAATATACACCTCACAAAGCACTTTCTCAGAAAACTTCTTTCTAATTTTTATGGGAAGATATTTCCATTTTCACGATAGGCCTCTAAGTGCACCCAAATACCCCTTCACAGATTGTACAAAAAACAGTGTTCCCAAGCTGCTGAAAGAAAAGAAAGGTTTAGCTCCACAAAATGAAGGCCCACATCACAAAACGGTCTCCTAGATATCTTCCTTATAGTTTTTATCCTGGGATATTCACTTTTTCACCTTAGTCTTCAATGTGCTCCCAAATATCCCTTCACTGATTCCACAAAAACAGTGTTTCCACACTGTTAAATGAAAAGAAAGGTTAAATTCTGTGGGATGAATGCACACATCATGAAGTGGTTTCTCAGATAGCTTCCTTCTAGTTTAAATCCTACGATATTCGCTTTTTCTTCTTTGGCCTCAACGAGCTCCCAAATGTCCATTCGCAGCGTGGACATCAACAGTGTTTCCAAACTGCTGAATCTAAAGAAAGGTTTAACTCTGTGAGATGAATGTACACATCACAAAGCAGTTTCTCATTAAGCTTCTTTCTAGTTTTTATCTGAAGAGATTTCCTTTTTTACCATAGGCCTCAATGCGCTCCCAAATATCCCTTTGTAGATTGTAGAAAAGCAGCATTTCCAAATTGCTGAATGAAAAGAAAGGTTTAACTCTGCGAGACGAATGCACATATAAGAAAACAGTTCCTCGGATAGCTTCCTTCTAGTTTTTATCCTGGGATATTCGCTTTTTCACTGTTGGCCTCAATGAGCTCCCAAAAGTCCATTCAAAGAATGGACAAAAAGAAATATCATCAGATAAAAACTATAAAGAACCTTTCTTGAGAGACTGTTTTTTTTTTTACGTGCATTCATCTCACAGAGATAAATCTATCTTTGGATTCAGCAGTTTGGAAAAATTGTTTTTTTTTCCATTCTGTGAATGTACATTTGGGAGCTCATTGAGACCAATGGTGAAAAAGCGATCATCCCAGGATAAAAACTAAAAGGAAGTTATCTGAGAAACCAATTTGAGATGCGGGCATTCACCTCACAGTGTTAAAACTTTCTTTTCATTCAGCATTTTGGAAACACTGTTTCCTTAGTATCCGTGAAGAGATATTTGGTAGGGCTTTGAGGCCCATGGTGAAAAAGGAAATATTTTCAGATAATAACTAGAAAGAAACTTAATGAGAAACTGGTTTCAGACGTGTGCATTCATCTAAGAAAGTTAAACCTTTCTTTGGGTTAAGCACTTTGGTAACACTATTTTTGTCCATTCTGCAAAATGACTTTTGGGAGTTAATTGAGGCCAATGGTGAAAAAGTGAATATCCCTGAATAAAAAATAGAAGGAACCTATCTGAAAAACCGATTTGTGACGTGTGCATTCATCTCACAGGGTTAAACCTTCCTTTTCAATCAGCAGTTTGGAAGCACTGTTTTCTTAGGATCTTCTAAGAGATATTTTATTGTGCAATGAGTCCTGTGGTGAAAAAAGAAATATATTCAAATAAAAACTAGAAAGAACCATTCTAAGAGACTTCTTTGTGATGTTTGCATTCATCTCACAAAGTTAAACCTTTCTTTAGATTCATCAGTTTGGTAACACTGTTTTTGTCCATTCTGTGAATGGACTTTTGGGAGCTCATTGAGGCCAATGGTGAAAAAGCAAATATCCCAAGATTAAAACTAGAAGGAAGATATCACAGAAAACGCTTTGTGATGTCTGCATTCATCTCACAGTGTTAAAACTTCTTTTCCTTCAGTAGTTTGGAAACACTGTTTTTCTAGAATCTGTGAAGGGATATTTGGGAGCTCATTGAGGCCTATGGTGAAAAAGGAATTTACTTCAGATGAAAACTAGAAAGAGTCTTTCTGAGAAACTGCTTTGTGATGTGTTCATTCTTCTCACAGAGTTAAACTTTTCTTTAGATTCAGCACTTTGGAAACACTGATTTTGTCCGTTCTGCAGATAGGCATTTGAGAGCTCGTTGATGCCAATGGTGAAAAAGGGAATATCCCAGGATAAAAACTAGAAGAAGTTATGTGAGAAACTGATTTGTGATGTGTGCATTCATCTCACAGAGTTAAAACTTTCTTTCATTCAGCAGTTTGGAAACACTTTTTTTGAAGAATCTGTGAAGGGATATTTTGCAGCACATTGACACCTATAGTTAAAAAGGAAAAATCTTCAGGTAAACACTAGAAAGAAGCTTTCTGAGAAACTGCTTTGTGATGTGTTCATTCATCTCACAGAGTTAAATGATTCTATGGATTCAACAGTGTGGAAACACTGTTTTTATCCATTCTGGGATTGAACGTTTCTGAACTCTTTGAGGTCAATGGCAAAAAAGGCACTAACCCAGGATAAAAACTAGAAGGAAGCTATCTGAGAAACAGATATGTGACATGCACATTCATCTCAGAGAGTAAAACGTTTCTTTTCATCGAGCAGTTTGGAAACACTCTTTTCTTAGAATCTGTGAACAGATATTTGGTAGCACCTAAAGGCCTGTGGCCAAAAAGGAAATATCTTCAGATAAAAACTAGGAAGAAGATTTCTGAGGGAGTGGTTTGTGATGTGTGCATTCACTCTCAGAATTAAGCCTTTCCTTTTCATTCAGCAGTTTGGAAACCCTGTTTCCTTAGAATCTGTGAAGAGATATTTAGTAGCACCTTGTGGCCTGTGGTGAAAAAGGAAATATCTTCAGATTAAAACTAGAAAGGACCATAATTAGAAACTGCTTTTGGATGTGTGCATTCATCTCAAAGCGTTACATCTTTCTATGGGTTCCACAGTTAAGTAGCACTGTTTTGTCCATTCTGTGAATGGACATTTGGGAGCTTATTGAGACCAATGGAGAAAAAGCGAGTATCCTGGGATAAAACTACAAGGAAGGTCTCTGAGAAACGCTTTGTGATGGATGCATTCATCTCACAGACTTAAACCATTCTTTTCATTCAGCAGTTTGGAAACACTGTTTTTGTAGAACATGTGAAGGGATATTTGCACAGCATTGAAGCCTATGGAGAAAAAGGAAATATCTTAAGATAAAAAATAGAAAGAAGCTTTCTGAGAAATTGCTTTGTGATGCATTCATTCATCTCACAGAGTTAAAGCTCTATTTGGATTAAGCAGTTTGGAAACTCTGTTTTTTTCCATTCTGTGAGTGGACATTTGGGAACTCACTGGGGCCAATGGCAAAAAAAAAAAAAAAAAAACGATTATCCAAGGTTAAAAACTAGAAGAAAGTTATCTGAGAAACCAATTAGAGATGTGTGAAATCATCTCCCAGACTTAAATCTTTCTTTTCCTGCAGCAGTTTGGAAACACTTTTCTCTTACCATCTGCAAAGAGATGTTTGGTAGTGACTTGAGACCTATGGTGAAAAAGGAAATACCTTAAGATAAAAACTAGAAAGAAGCTTAATGAGGAACTGGTTTGGGATGTGTGCATTCATCTCCCAGAGTTAAATTTTTGTTTGAATTCAGCAGTTCGGTAACACAGTTTTTGTCCGTCCACGAATGGACATTTTGGAGCTCATTAATGCCACAGGCAAAAAAGTGAATATCCCAGGATAAAAACTGGAAGGAGACTATCTGAGAAACCGCTTTGTGATGTGTACATTCTTCTCACAGAATTAAACCTTTCTTTTCATTCAGCAGATTGGAAACACTGTTTTTGTAGAATTTGTGAAGGGATATTTGTCAGCAAATTGAGGCCTATGGTGAAAATGGGAATATTCTCAGGCAAAAACTAGAAAGAAGCTTTCTCAGAAACTGCTTTGTGATGTGTGCATTCATCTCACACAGTGAAACCTTTCTTTGGATTCAGCAGTTTGGATACACTGTTTCTGTGCATTCTGCAAATGGACATTTGGGTGTTCATTGAGGTCAATGGCGATAAAGTGAATATCCCAAGATCAAAACTAGAAGGAAGATATATGAGAAACTGCTTTGTGTTGTGTGCATTCATCTCACACATTTAAACCTTTCCTTTCAGCAGTTTGGAAACTCTTTTTATAGAATCTGTGAAGGGATATTTGTTAGCGCACTGAGGCCTATGGTGAAAAAGGGAATACATTCAGATAAAAATTAGAAAGAAGCTTTCTGAGAAACTGCTTTGTGATGTGCTTACTCATCTCATAGAGTTAAACATTTCTTTGGCTTCGGCAGTTTGGAAACACTGTTTTTTTCCATTCTGCGAGTGAACATTTGTGAGCTCTTTGAGGCCAATCGTGAAAAAGCAAATATCGCAGGATAAAAACTAGAAGGTAGCTCTCTGAGAAACCACTTTGTGATGTGTGCAGTCATCTCATAGAGTTGTATTTCTCTTTTGATTCAGCAGTTTGGAAACACTGTTTTTATAGAATCTGCAAAGGGATATTTGGCTGCGCATTGAGGCCTATGGTGAAAAAGGAAATATCTTCAGATAAAAATGCAAAGAAGCTTTGTGAGAAACTTTATTTTGATGTGTTCATTCATCTCACAGAGTTAAACCTTTCTTTGGAATCAGCAGTTTGGAAACACTGTTTTCTCCATTCTGCAAATGGACATTTTGGAGCTCATTGAGGCCAATGGCGAAAAAGTGAATATCCCAGGATAAAAACTAGAAAGAAGTTATCTGAGAAACTGACTTGTGATGTGTGCATTTATCTCACAGAATTAAACGTTTATTTTCATTCAGCAGTTTGGAAACCCTGTCTTCTTAGAATTTGTGAAGAGATATTTGATAGCGCTTTAAGACCTATGGTGATAAAGGAAATATCTTCAGATAAAAACTAGCAAGAAGCTTTCAGACAAACTGCTTTGTGAAGTCTGCATTCATCTCAGAGAGGTAAACCTTTATTTGGATTCAGCAGTTTGGAATCATTGCTTTTTTTCATTATGCGAATGGACACTTGGGAGCTTATTGAGGCCAATGGAGGCAAAGAGATTGTCCCAGGGTAAAAACTAGAAGGAAGTTATCTGAGACACATATTGGTGATATGTCCATTCATCTCACAGATTTAAATCTTTCTTTTTCATTCAGCAGTTTGGAGACACTGTTTTCTTAGGATCTGCAAAGAGATATTTGGTCATGCATTGAGGGCTATGGTGAAAAAGGAAATATCTTCAGATAAAAACTAGAAAGTAGCTTTCTGAGAAACTAATTTGTGATATGTCCATTCGTCTCACAGAGTTAAACGTTTCTTTTCATTCAACACTTTGGAAACACTGTTTTTGTCCATTCTGTGAATGGGCATTTGGGAGCTCATTGAGGGCAAAGGCAAAAAAGCCATTATTCCAGGATAAAAACTAGAAGGAACCTACCTGAGAAACCGCTTTGTGATGTGTGCATTTATCTCACAGAGATAAAAGTTTCTTTTCATTCTGCAGTTTGGAAACACGGGATAATTCATAACACATGACTGCCTATGGTGAAAAGGAAATGTCTTCATATAAAAATTATAAAGAAGTTACCTGAGAAACTGATTTGTAATGTGTGCATTTATCTCACAAAGTTAAGCCTTCTTCTCATTCTGCAGTTTGGAAACACTGTTTTTGTATAATCTGCAAAGGGACATTTGGGAGCAAATTGATGCCTATTGTTAGACAGGAAATATCATCAAATAAAAACTAGAAAGAAGCTCTCTGAGAAACAGCTTTGTGATGTGTGCATTCATCTCGCAGAGTTAAACCCTTGTTTGGATTTTTCCGTTTGGAAGCACTGTTTTTGTCCATTCTGCAAATTGACTTTTGGGAGCTCATTGAAGCCAATGCAGAGAAAGTGAATATCCCAGAATAAATACTAGAAGGAAGCTATCAGAGAAACCGCTTTGTGATGCACAGAGTTAAACATTTCTTTTCATTCAACGGTTTGGAAGCACTGTTTTCTTAGAATCTATGAAGAGATATTTCATATTGCATTGCGGCCTATGGTGAAAAAGGAAATATCTTCAGACAAAAACTAAAAAGAAGCTTTCTGAGAAGCTGCTTTGTGATGTGTGCATTTATCTCACAGAGTTACACATTTCTCTGGATTTGACAGTTTGGAAAAACTGTGTTTGCCCACGCTGCAAATGGAAATTTGGGAGCTCATTGAGGCCAAAGGCAAAAAAGCAAATATCCCAGAATAAAACCTAGAAAAATGTATCTGAGAAACCGCTTTGTGATGTGTGTATTCATCACACAGAGTTAAACTTCTCTTTTCTTTTAGCTCTTTAACATTCTTTTTATGAAATCTGTGAAGTGATATTTGTGAGTGAACTGAGGCTTATGGTAAAAAAGGAAATATCTTCAGATAAAAACTAGAAAGAACCTTTCTGAGAAACTGCTTTTTGATGTTTATATTCATCTCAAAAATGTAAAAACTAAAAAGAAGCTTTCTGAGGAACTCCTTTTAGATGTGTGCATTCAACTCTCAGAGGTAAATCTTTCTTTCAATTCAGCAGTTTGGAAACATTGTTTTTTTCCATTCTGTAGGTGGACATTTGGGAGGTCATTGAAGCCAATGGCAAAAAAGTGAATATCCCAGGATGAAAGCTAGATTGAAGATATCTGAGAAACTTCTTTGTGATGCATGAATTCATCTTGCAGAATTAAAGCTTTCTTTTCACTCAGCAGTTTTGTAACACTGTTTTTCTAGAATCTGTGAAGGGATATTTGGGAGCACTTTGTGACCCATGGTGAAAAAGGAAATATCTTCATATAAAAATTTGAAGTTTTCTGAGGAAGTGCTTTGTGATGCGTGCATTCATCTCACAGAGTTAAAACTTTCCTAGGATTCAGCAGGTTTGAAACACTGTTTTTGTCCCTGCTCCAAATGGACATTTGGGAGCTCATTGAGGCCAATGGCAAAGAAGTGAATATCTCAGGATACAAACTAGAAGGAAGCTGTCTGCGAAAATGCTTTATGATGTGTCCATTCATCTCGCAGATATAAACCTTCCTTTTCATTCAGCAGCAGAATCTGCAAAGGGATATTTGGGAGCGCATTGAGGCCTGTGGTGAAAAATGAAATATCTTCAGATAAAAACTAGAAACAAGATTTCTGAGGAACTGCTTTGTGATGTGTGCATTCTTCTCACAGAGTCAAACATTACTTTGGATTCAGCACTTTGGAAACACTATTTTTGTCCATTCTGCAAAGGGACATTTTGGGGCTTATCATGGTGAATGGTGAAAATGCAAATATCCCAGGATAAAAAGTAGAAGGAAGTTATCTGAGAAACTGACTTGTGATGTGTGCATTCACCTCATATAGTTAAAAATTTCTTTGGATTCAGCTGTTTGGAAAAACCATTTTTGTCCATTCTCTGAATGGACATTTTGGAGCTCATTGAGGTCAATTGTGAAAAAGAAAATATCCCAGGATAATAATTAGAAGGAAGCTATCTGAGAAACTGCTTTGTGGTATGTGTATTTATCTCACAGAGTTAGACTTTTCTGTTCATTCAACAGTTTGGAAACAAGGTTTTTGTAGAATATGCAAAGGGATTTTGGGGATCTCATTGAGGCCTATGGTGAAAAAGAAAATATCTTCACATAAAAACCAGAAAAATCTTTCTGAGAAACTGCTTTGTAGTGTACGCGTTCTTCTCATAGAGTTAAACCTTTCTTTGGATTCAGCAGCTTGGAAACACTGTGTGTGTGCTTTGTGCAGGTGGATATTTGGGAGCTCATTTAGGCCAATGGTGAAAAAGCGAATATCCCAGGATAAAAACTTGAAGGGAGCTATCTAAGAGATCGCTTTGTGCTGTGTGCAGTCATCTCACAGAGTTAAATCTTTCTTTTCCTTCAGCAGTTTGGAAACACTTTTTTTTGTAGAATCTGCAAAGGGATATTTGGGAGCACATTGAGGCCTATGGTGAAAAGGGTTACATTCGGTATTTCACTATTGGCCTAAATGGGTTCCCAAATATCCCTTCTGAAATGCTATAAAAACTATTTCCAACCTGCTGAATCAAAAAAGATATTCTGTTTTTCACCATATACATCAGTGGACTCCCAAATATTCCTCTACATATTCTACATAAAGTGTGTTTCCTACCTGCTAAATCAAAGGGGATATTTGATTTTTCATCGTAGGCCTCAGTGAGCTCCCCAACTTCTCTTCACAGATTCTACAAGAAGAGTGTTTCCAAATTTCTGAATCAAAAAAAGGTATAAATCTGTGAGATAAATCCGCATATTACAAAGCTTTTTCACTAATGGCTTCTTTATAGTTTTTATCTAGAAATATTCAGTTTTTCAGTATAGGCCTCAAACGGCTATCAAATATTCCTCAGCAGATTCTATAAAAAAATATATTTTAAACCTGCTGAATCAAAAGAAAGTTTTAACTCTCTGAGATGAATGCACATATCACAGTTTCACAGATCGCTTCTTTCTAGCGTTTATCTGGGCATATTCAGTTTTTCACCATAGAAGTCATTGGGCTACAAACTGTCCCTTGCAGATGATTGCACAACAAGGGTGCTTTCAACCTGCTGAATCAATAAAAGTTTTAACTCTGTAAGATGAATCCACATATCACAAAGCAATTTCACAAATGTTTTCTCTGTGGGTTTTATATGGGGATATTCCATTTTTCAACAAACGCTTCAATGGGCTCCCAAATGTGCCTTTGCAGATTCAACAAAAGAAGTGTTTCTAACCTGTTGAATCCAAAGAAAGTTTAAATCTGTGAGATGAATGCAAACTTTGCAGTGTTGTGTCACAGATAGCTTCTTTCCAGTTTTTATCAGGGGATATTTGTTTTTTTTACAATAGGCTTCAATGGGCTCAATATATGTTTTCACTGAGTATACAAAGAGAGTTTCCAACCTGCTGAATCAAAAGAAAGCTTTAACTCTGTGAGGTGAATCCACACTTCTCAAAAAGGTTTCACAGATAGCCTTCTTGTTGTTATCATTCAGGGATATTCAGTTTTTCACTGTAGGCCTCAAATCTCTCACAAATGTTTCATCATAGATTCTGCAAAATGAATGTTTCCAACCTGCTGAATCAAAAGGAAAGTTTTGCTTTGTGAGACTAATCCACACATCACTAGGAAGCTTCACAGATAACTTCCTTTTATATTTTATCTGGGGATATTTGTTTTTTTACCGTAGGTATCAAAGGGATTCTAAATGCCCCTCTGCAGATTCTACAAAAAAAAAGTTTTTCCAACCTGCTGAATCTAAAGAAAAGGTTAACTCAGATATAAATCCACACATCACAAAGAAGTTTCACAGATAGCTTCTTTCTAGTTTTCATCTGGAGATATTCGTTTTTTCACCATAGACCTATATGTGCTCTCAACTGTCCCTTTGCTGATTCTACAAAAAGAGAATTTCCAACCTGTTGAATCAAAAGAAAGGTTTAACTCTGTGAGATGAATCTAAATATCACAAGGGAGTTTCACAGATAGCTTCTTTCTAGTTTTTATTTGGGGATATTCACTTTTTCACCTTAGGACTCAATGGGCTCAAAAATGTCCCTTTGCATATTCTACAAAAAGAGCGATTCCAACCTGCTGAATCAAAATGAAGGTTTACCTTTGTGAGATGAATCCACCCATCACAATGCCAATTCACAGATAGCTTTTTTCCAATTTTTTTTCTTTGGATTTTGATGTTTCACCGTAGGGTCAATGGGCCTCCAAATGTCCCTTCACAGATTTTTTAAAAAGAGTGTCTCCAAACCGCTGAATTAAAAGAAAAGTTTATGTCCATGAGATGAATCCACACATCACAAGGCAATTTCAGATGGCTTCTTTGTAGTTTTTATCTTGGGATATTCAGTTTTTAAGTACAGGCCTCAAAGGGTTCCCAAGTGTCCTTTCTCAGATTCTACAGAAAGAAGGTTTCCAAACTGCTGAGTCAAAAGAAAGGTTTAACACTGTGAGATGAATCCACCCATCACAAGGCCATTTCACAGAAAGCTTCTTTCTAGTTTTTATCTGGTAATATTCGTTTTTTTAACCTTAGGCCTCAATTGGCTCCCATATGTCCCTTCACAGATACTTCAAAAAGAGTTTTTCAAACCTGCAGAATTAAAAGAAAGGTTTAACTCTATGAGATGAATCCACACATCACAAAGCTGATACACAGATTGCTTCTTTCTAGTTTTTATCTGGGGATATTCTGTTTTTCACTGTAGGCCTCAAAGGGCTCCCAAATATCCCTTTGCAGATTCTACAACAACATTGTTCCCATCCTGCTGAATGAAAAGAAAAACTTAACTTTTGCTGATGAATGTAAACGTCAAAAGGGGTTTCAGAGATAGCTTCCTTCTAGTTTTTATCTGGAGATATTTAATTTGTCACTATAGGTCTGAAAGAATTCCCAAGTGTCTTTTTGCAGGCAGTACAAAAAGAGTGTTTCCAACATGCTGAATCCAAAGAGAAGTTTAACTATGTGAGATGAGTTCACACACCATCAAGCAGTTTGATGGATAGTTTCTTTCTAATTTTTATCTGTGGATATTCAGTTTTGCACTACAAGCTTTAATGGTTTCCCTGTATCTCTTCACAGATTCTTCAAAAAGTGTGTCTCCAACCTGCTGAATCAAAAAAGACATTGAACAGTGTTTAATCCATATATCACAGAGTCATTTCACAAATGGATTTTTTCTATTCAGTTTTTCGTTATAGGTCACAATGGGATCCCAAATGTTCATTCGCAGATTCTACAAAAGGATTGTTTCCGTCGAATCGAAAGAAAGGTTTACCCTCTGTTAGCTGAACCCACACATCACAAAGCAGTTTCACAGATAAATTCTTTGTAGTTTTTATCACAGGATATTCTGTTTTTACTATATGCCTCAGTGGGTCCAGAAATGTTGATTCTTAGACTCCACAAAAAGAGTGCTTCCAATTTGCTGAAACAAAAGAAGTATTGAATTCTGTGAGCTGAATCAGCACATCACAAAGCAGTTTTACAGATAGACCATTTTTAGTTTTTATGAGTGGATATTTCATTTCCACCAGAGGCCTCAGTGGGTCAGAAAAGGCCATTTTTAGATTCTACTAAAAGACTGCTTTTAACCTGCTGAAACAAAACAAATGTTTAACTCTGTTACATGAATCCACAGAACACAGTGCAGTTTCACAGATAGCTTCTTTCTAGTTCTTTTCACAGGACACTCTGTTTTCACAATAAACCTCAGTAGGCTCAGAAATATCCCTTCCCAGATACTACAGAAGTCCAATCTGTTGAATCAGAAGAAAGGTTTAACTCTGTCAGCTGAATTTAGACATCACAAAGCAGTTCCACAGATAGCCTCTTTCTACCTTTTATCATGGTATATTCAGTTTTCACTATAGGACTCATTGGGTTCAGAAAAGTCCATTCTTAGTTTCCATAAAAAAATGTGCTCCTGTCCTGCTGAATCATAATAAATGTTGAACTCTGTGAGGTGTATCAACAGATCACAAAGCAGTTTAACCAATAGCTTCTTTCTAGCTTATTTCGTGGGATATTCTGTTTTGCCCTTTAAGCCCCAGTGTGCCTTCAAATGCCCTTTCTCAGATTCTACAAAAAAAGTGTTTCCAACCTGCTGAATCAAAAGAAAGGTTTAACTCTGTGAGCTGAATCCACACATCACAAAGCAGTCTCACAGACACCTTCTTTCTACTTTTTATCATGGGATATTCAGTTTTCACTATAGGTTTCAGAGGGCTCAGAAATGTCCCTTCACTGATTCTACAAAAAGAATGCTTTCAATCTGCTGAATCCAAGGCAAGGTGTAACTCTGAGAGCTGAATTGAGACATCACAAAGTAGTTAAACAGATAGCTTCTTTCTAGTTTTTATCTGGGGATATTCAGTTTTTCACATTAGGACTCAATGGGTTCCTAAATATTTTCCCACAGACTCTACAAAAAGAGTGAGTCAAAACACAGGCTTAAACACTGTAAACACTCTTTTTCTAGAATCTGCAAATGGACATTTGGGATCCCATTGTGGCCTATAATGAAAAACTGAATATCCCCAGGTAGAAATTAGAAAGAAGCTATCCGTGAGAAGAGAGTACACATCACAAAGTAGTTTTACAGTTAGCTTCTTTCTAGTTTTTATCAGGGGATATATGGTTTTTCACTGTAGGTCTCAATGGGCTCCCAAATGTCCCTACACAGATCCTATAAAAAGAGCATTTCAACCTGCTGAAACAAAACAACAGTTTAACTCTGTGAGATTTAATCACACATAGCAAACCGATTTCACAGATACCTTCCTTCTAGTTTTTATGTGGAGATGTTCGGTTTTTCACTATAAGCCTAAATGGACTCCCAAATGTGTCTTTGCAGATCTTATAAAAAGAGTGTTTCCAACCTGCTGAATCAAAAAAAAGGTTTAAATCTGTGAGATGAATGCACACATCTTAAAGCAATTTCACAGATAACTTCTTTCTAGTTTTTAACTGGGGATATTCGCTTTTTCACTATAGGCCTCAAAGGACTCCAAAATGTCCCTTTGCAGGTTCTACAAACAGAGGGTTTCCAACCTCTTGAATTAAAACAAAGGTTTAACCCTGTGAGATGAATGCACACATCGCAAAGCAGTTTCACAAATAGCTTATTTCTAGTTTTTATCTGAGGATATTTGTTTTACACTATAGGCCTCAATGGGCTCCAAAGTGTCCCTTCACAGATTCTACTTGAAGAGTGTTTCCATTCTGCTCATTCAAAAAAAAAGGTTTAACTCTGTGAAATAAACACACATTTTGGAAAGCAGTTTCACTGATAACTTCGTTCTAGCTTTTATCTAAGGATATTCAGTTTTTCACTAAAGGATTCCATGGGATATGAAATGTCCCTTCACAGATCTTACAAAAACAGTGTTTCCAACCTCCTGAATCAAAAGAACAGTTTAATTTTATGCCATGAATGCACAATTTGCAAAGCAGTTTCATAGATAGTTTTTTTCTACTTTTTATTTTTTATTTTTTTCAGCTTTTTATTTTTTGTTATACTTCAAGTTTTAAGGCACATGTGCACAATGTGCAGGTTAGTTACATATGTATACATGTGCCATGCTGGTGTGCTGCACCCAGTAACTCTTCATTTAACATTAGGTATATCTCCAAATGCTATCCCTCCCCTTCCCCCCATCCCACAACAGGCCCTGGTGTGTGATGTTCCCCTTCCTGTGTCCATGTGTTCTCATTGTTCAATTCCCTCCTAGGAGTGAGAACATGCGGTGTTTGGTTTTTTGTCCTTGTGATAGTTTGCTGAGAATGATGGTTCCCAGCTTCATTCAGGTCCCTACAAAGACATGAAATCATCATTTTTTGTGGCTGCATAGTATTCCATGGTGTATATGTGCCACATTTTCTTAATCCAGTGTATCATTGTTGGACACTTGGGTTGGATCCAAGTCTTTGCTATTGTGAATAGTGCCACAATAAACATACATGTTCATGTGTCTTTATAGCAGTGTGATTTATAATCCTTTGGGTATATACCCAGTAATGGGATGGCTGGGTCAAATGGTATTTCTAGTTCTAGATCCCTGAGGAATGGCCACACTGACTTCCACAATGGTTGAACTAGTTTACAGTCTCACCAACAGTGTAAAAGTGTTCCTATTTCTCCACATCCTCTCCAACACCTGTTGTTTCCTGACTTTTTAATGATTGCCATTCTAACTGGTGTGAGATGGTATCTCATTGTGGTTTTGATTTGCATTTCTCTGATGGCCAGTGATGGTGAGCATTTTTTCACATGTTTCTTGGCTGCATAAATGTCTTCCTTTGAGACGTGTCTGTTCATATCCTTCGCCCACTTTTGATGGGGTTGTTTGTTTTTTTCCTGTAAATTTGTTGGAGTTCATTGTAGATTCTGGATGTTAGCCCTTTGTCAGATAAGTATATTGCAAATATTTTTTCCCATTTTGTAGGTTGCCTGTTCACTCTGATGGTAGTTTCTTTTGCTGTGCAGAAGCTCTTTAGTTTAATTTGATCCCATTTGTCAATTTTGGCTTTTGTTGCCATTGCTTTTGGTGTTTTAGACATGAAGTCCTTGCCCATGCCTATGTCCTGAATGGTATTGCCTAGGTTTTCTTCTAGGGTTTTTATGGTTTTAGGTCTAACATTTAAGTCTTTCATCCATCTCGAATTAATTTTTGTATAAGGTGTAAGGAAGGGATCCACTTTCAGCTTTGTACATATGGCGAGACAGTTTTCCCAGCACCATTTGTTAAATAGGGAATCCTTTCCCCATTGCTTGTTTTTGTCAGGTTTGTCAAAGATCTGATGGTTGTATATATGGGGCATTATTTCTGAGAGCTGTGTTCTGTTCCATTGGTCTATATCTCTGTTTTGGTACCAGTACCATGCTGTTTTGGTTACTGTTGCCTTGTAATATAGTTTGAAATCCGGTAGTATGATGCCTCCAGCTTTGTTCTTTTGGCTCAGGATTGACTTGGCGATGTGGGCTCTTTTTTGGTTCCATATGAACTTTAAAGTAGTTTTTTCCAATTCTATGAAGAAAGCCACTGGTAGCTTGATGGGGATCGTATTGAATCCATAAATTACCTTGGGCAGTATGGCCATTTTCATGATATTGATCCTTCCTACCCATGAGCATGGAATGTTCTTCCATTTGTTTGTATCCTCTTTTATTTCATTGAGCAGTGGTTTGTAGTTCTCCTTGAAGAGGTCCTTCACATCCCTTTTAAGTTGGATTCCTAGGTATTTTATTCTCTTTGAAGCAATTGTGAATGGGAGTTCACTCATGATTTGGCTCTCTGTTTGTCTATTATTGGTGTATAAGAATGCTTGTGATTTTTGCACATTGATTTTGTATCCTGAGACTTTGCTGAAGTTGCTTATCAGCTTAAGGAGATTTGGGGCTGAGATGGTGGGGTTTTCTAGGTATACAATCATGTCATCTGCAAACGGGAACAATTTGACTTCCTCTTTTCCTAATTGAATACCCTTTATTTCCTACTCCTGCCTGATTGCCCTGGCCAGAACTTCCAACACTATGTTGAATAGGAGTGGTGAGAGAGGGCACCCCTGTCTTCTGCCAGTTTTCAAATGGGATGCTTCCAGTTTTTGTCCATTCAGTAAGGTATTGGCTGTTGGTTTGTCATAGATAGGTCTTATTATTTTGAGATACGTCCCATCAGTACCTAATTTATTGAGAGTTTTTAGCATGAAGGGTTGTTGAATTTTGTCAAAGGCCTTTTCGGCATCTATTGAGATAATCATATAATTTTTATTTGTGGATACTTGGTTTTTCACTTTAGGCCTCAAAGGGCTCCCAAATGTTTCTTTGCTGATTCTACAAAATGGGTGTTTTCAAGCAGCTGAATCAAAACAAAGGTTTAAATCTGTGAGATGAATGCATACATTGCAAAGCATTTTTGTAGATATCTTCTTTCTGGTTTTATCTGGGGATATTCAGTATTTACTATCAGCCTCAATGGGCTTCCCAATTTCCCTTCACAGATCCTACAAAAATATTGTTTCCAACCTGCTGAATCAAATAAATATTTAACTCTGTGGGATGAGTGCACTTATTGCAAAGTGGTTTGACAGATAGTGTCTTTCTAGTTTTTATACAGGGATATTCGGTTTTTCACTATAGGCCTCAATGGCACCCCAAATGTCCCTTCACAGCTCTTACAAACAGAGTGTATCCAACTTGATTAATCAAAGGAAAGTTTTAACTCTGTGAGATGAATGCATGCTTCCCAAAATGGTTTCACAAATAGCTTCTTTCTAGTTTTTATCTGAAAATATTCAGTTTTTCATTAGTCCTCAGTGGGCTTCCAAATGTCCCTTCATGGATTCTACAAAAAGAGTGTTTCCAACTTGCTGAATCAAAACAAGGTTTAACTCTGAGAGCCGAATCCATGCATCACAAAGTAGTTAAACAGAGAGCTTCTTTCTAGTTTTTTTTCTGGGGATATTTAGTTTTAACTTTAGGCCTCAATAGGCTCCCAAATATTTTTCCGCAGGTTTTACAAAAAGTGTTTCCAACCTGCTGACTCAAAACAAATGTTTAAATCTGTGAGATGGGTGCACACATCACAAAATGGTTTTGCAAATAGATTCTTTCTAGTTTTTATCTGGGGATATTTCGTTTTTCACTATAGGCCTCAGTGGGCTACAAAGTCTCCCTACATACATCATACAAAAAGAGTGTTTTCAACCTGCTGAAACCAAACAATGGTTTCACTCTGTGAGATGTATTCACCCATAGCAAAGCTATTTCACAGATAGCTTCCTTCTATTTTTTATGTGGGGATATTCTGTTTTTCACTATTGGCTTCAATGGACTCCCAAATGTTTCTTCACGGATCCTATAAGAAGAGTGTTTCCAAACTGCTGGATCAGAAGAAATGTTTAATACTTTAAAGTGAATCCACACATCACAAAGCCATTTCACAGATAGCTTCTTTTTAATTTTTATCTGGGGACAATCTGTTTTTCACGATAGGTCTCAATGGGCTCCAAAATGTCCCTTCTCAGATACTACAAAAAGAGTGTTTCCAACCTACTGAGTTAAAAGGACTGTTTAACTCTCTGAAATGAATGCACACATCACAAAGCAGTTTCACAGATAGCTTCTTTCTGGTTTTTATTTTGGGATATTTGGTTTTTCACTATAGGCTTCAACAAGCTCCAAAATATTTCTCTGCAGATTCCTCAAAAAGTGCCTTTCCAACCTGCCAAATGAAAAAAAAAACGTTGAACTCTGTGAGATGAATGCACAAATCCCAAAGTGGTTTGAAAGATAGGTTCTTTCTAGTTTTTGTCTTGGGATATTTGTTTTTACACTATTGGCCTCAATGGGCTTCCAAATATCCCTTCGCAGATTCTGCAAGAAGAGTGTTTCCAACCTGCTGAATAAAAAGAAAGATGTAACTCTGCAAGATGAATGCACCCATCAAAAACCCGTCTCACAGATACATTCTTTCTAGTTTTATTCTGGGGGTATCTTTTTTTTCACTGTAGGTCTCAATGGGCTCCAAATTGTTCCTTCACATATTCTACAAAAAGACTGTTCCCACCTGCTGAATCTAAAAAAAGATTTAACTCTGTGAGAGGAATGCACACCTCACAAAGTAGTTTCACAGGTAGCTTCTTTATTGTTTTTATCTGAGGATATTTGGTTTTTCACTACAGGCTTCAATGGAATCCCAAATGTCCCTTCGCGGATTTTACAAAAAAAGTGTTTACAACCTATTGAATCAAAAGAAAGGTTTAAATCTTTGAGATGAATGCATCCATTGCAAAGTGGTTTCTCAGATAGCTACTTTCTAGTTTTTATATGGAGATATTCATTTTTTGACTATAGGCCTCAAGGGGCTCCCAAATGTTCCTTTGCGGATTCTACTAGAAGACTTTTTCCAACCTGCTGAATCAAAAGAGAAGTTTAACTCTGTGAGATGAATGTACTCATCACAAAGCGGATTCACAGGTACCTTCTTTCTAGTTTTAACCTGGAGATATTTGGTTTTTCACTATAAGCCCCAATAGGCTCACAAAGGTCCCTTTTCTAAATCTACAAAAAGAGTTTTTCCAACCTGTCAAATCAAAAGAAAGGTTTAACTTTATGAGATGAATGTCCACATTGCAAAGCAGTTTCACAGATAGCTTGCTTCTGGTTCTTATCTGAGGGTTTTGGATTTTTCACTATTGGCCTCAGTGGGCTCCCAAATGTCACTTTGCAGATTTTTCAAAAAGAGTGTTTCCAGCCTGCTGAATCAAAAGTAAAGAATAACTCTATTAAATGAATGCACCAATTGCAAAGCAGTTTCACAGTTTACTTCTTTTGAGCTTTTACCTGGGGATATTAGATTTTTCACTACAGGAATCAATGGGCTCCCAAAAGACCCTTCACAAATCCTACAGAAAGTGTGTTTCCTACTGTTGAATCAAAAGAACAGTTTAAATCTGTGAGAGTAATGCACACATCACAAAGCAGTTTGACAGATTTCTTCTTTCTAGTTTTTATAAGCGGATATTCAGTTTTTTACTACAGGCCTCAATAGGCTCCAAAATGTCCCTTCGCAAATTCTACAAAAAGAGTTTCTCCAACCTGCTGAATGAAATGAAAGGTTTAACTATATGAGATGAATGCAAACATCACAAAGTGGTTTCACAGATAGCTTGTTTCTGGATCTTATCTGAGGATATTCAGTTATTCACTATAGTCCTCAAAGGGCTCCCAAATGTCCCTTCACAGATTCTACAAAAAGAGTGTTTCCAACATGCTGAATTGAATGAAAGGTTTAACTCTTTGTGATGAATGCACACATCACAAAGCAGTTTCACAGATACCCTCTTCCTAGTTTTTTCTCGGGATATTTTGTTTTTCACTTTAGGCCTCAATAAGCTTCCAAATATTTCTTCACAGATTCTACAAAAGGAGTGTTTTCAACCTGCTGAATAAAAACAAAAGTTTAAATCTCTGAGATGAATCCACACATTGCAAAGCAGTTTCATAGATAGCTTCTTTCCAGTTTTTAACTGGGGATATTCAGTTCTTCACTACAGGCCTCAACAGGCTCCCAAATATCCCTTCAAAGATTCTACAAAAAGGGTGTTTCCAACGTGGTGAATCAAAAGAAAAATTGAACTCTGTGAGATGAATCCACACGTCACAAAGTGGTTTCACAGATAGCTTCTTTCTAGTTTTTATCTGAAGGTACTTGATTTTTCCCTATACACTTCAAAGGGCTCCAAAATGTTCCTTTGCAGATTCTACAAAAAGCGTGTTTCCCACCTGCTGAATAATAAGAAAGGTTGAAAACTGCCAGATGAAAGCACACATCACAAAGCAGTTTCACAGATAGCTTATTTTAGTTTTAATCTGGGGATATTTGCTTTTTCACTGTAGACCTCAATGGGCTCCCAAATGTTTCTTAGAAGAGTGTAGAAAAAGAGTGTGTCCAAACTGTTGAAATAAAAGAAAGGTTGAACTCAGTGAGAAACATGCACACATTGCAAAGCAGTTTCACAGATACCTTCAATCTAGTTTTTTTCTGGGGATAATTGATTTTTCACTACAGGCCTCAATTGGCTCCCAAATGTCTCTTCACAGATTCTACAACAAGAGTGTTTCCAACCTGCTGAATCAAAAGAAAATTTTAAGCCTGTGAGATGAATGCACACATGGAAGTGTGAATTCAGAGATACCTTCTTTTTAGTTTTAATCTGGAGCCTTTCAGTTTTTCACTATAGGCCACGATGAACTCTGAAATGTACCCTCACCGATTCTATGAAAGGAAATGTTTAACTCTGTGAGAAGAATGCACAAATTGCAAAGCATTTTCACACATAGGTTCTTTCTAGTTTTTATCTCAAGATATTCAGTTTTTCACTATAGGCCTGAATGAGCTCCCAAATTCCCCATTGCAGATCATACAAAAGAGTGTTCTCAACCTGCTAAATCAAAAGAAAAGTTTAACTCTGTGAGATGGATCCACACACTGCAATGCAGTTTCATAGATAGCTTCTTTTTAGTGTTTACCTGGAGATAGCAGGTTTTTCACTATAGGCCTCAATAGGCTCCCAAAAGTCCCTTCACAGATTCTACAAAAAGAATGTTTGCAACCTGTTGAATCAAAAGAAAAGTTTAATTCTTTGAGATCTATGCCCACGTCGCAAAGTGGTTTCACAGATATCTTCTTTCTAGTTTTTATCTGGGGATATTCGGTTTTACCTAAAGGCCTCAAAGGGCTCCCAAATGTCACTTTGCAGATTCTACAGTAAGAGTGTTTCCAACTTGATGAATCAAAGGAAAGTTTAAATCTGTGAGGTAAAAGCACACATAGAAGAGCAGTTTCACAGATAGCTTCCTTCTAGTTTTTGTCTAGAGATATTCAGTGTTTCACTTTAGGCCTCAATTTGCTCCTAAATGTCCCTTTGCAGATTCTACAAAAGAGTGTTTCCAACCTGCTGAATCAAAAGAATGGTTTAACTCTGTGAGATTAATGCCCACATCGCAAAGCAGTTTCATAAATAGCTTCTTTCTAGTTTTTATCTGGGGTTATTTTGTTTTTCACTACAGTCCTCAATAGGCTCCCCAAAGTCACTTTGCAGATTCTACAGTAAGACTGTTTCCAACTTGCTGAATCAAAGGAAGGATTAACTCTGTGAGATGAACACACACATTGCAAAGCAGTTTCACAGATTGCTTCTTTCTAGTTTTTATCTTGCTATATAAAGTCTTTCATCATAGGCCTCAATAGAGTCCCAAATGTCTCTTCACAGATACTAAAAAATAGTGTTTCCAACCTGCTAAATCAATAGAAAGCTTTAAGACTGTGAAATGAATGCAACCATTGTGAAGAAGTTTCACCAATATCTTCTTTCTAGTTTTTATCTGCGGATTTTCAGTTTTTCACTATAAGCCTCAATGGGCTCCCAAATGTCCCATCGCAGACCATACAAAAGGAGAGTTTCCAAAATGCCAAGTAAAAACAAAGGTTTAACTCTCTGAGATGAATACAAACACTGCAAAGCAGTTTCATAGATAACTTATTTTTAGTGTATATCTTGGGATAGTCGGCTCTTCACTATAGGCCTAAATGGGCTCCCAAATATCCCTTTGCAGATCCTACAAAAAGAGTGTTTACAACTTGCTGAATCAAAAGAAAAGTTTAACTCTTTGAGATGTATGCCCACATCACAAAGAGGTTTCACAGATAGCTTCTTTCTAGATTTTATCTGGCGATATTCAGTTTTTCACTGTAGGCCTCAATGGGCTCCCAAATATCTGTTTGCAGATTCTACAAAAAGAGTGTTTCCAACCTACTGAATCAAAAGACAAGTTTAACTCTGTGAAATAAATGCACACATCACAAAGCAGTTTCATAGATAGCTTATTTTTACTTTTTCTGTGGGGATATTCTGCTTTTCAATATAGGCCTCAATGTGCTCCCAAATATCTCTTTGCAGATCCTACGAAGAGAGTGTTTCCAAACTGCTGAATCAAAAGAAAGGTTTAAATTTGTGAGATAATCACACACATAGTAAAGCAGTTTCACAGATTGCTTCTTTCTAGCTTATATCTAGAAATATTCGGTTTTTTACCCTAGGCCTCAATGTGCTCCTAAATGTCCTTTTGCAGATTCTACAAAAGAGTGTTTCCAACCTGCTGAATCAAAAGAAAGGTTTAACTCTGTGAGATTAATGCCCACATCACAAAGTGGTTTCACAGATAGCTTATTTCTAGTTTTTATCTGGAAATATTCCATTTTCGTCTATATGCCTCATTAGGATCCAAATGTCACTTTGCAGATACTACAATAAGAGTGTTTCCAACTTGCTGAATCAAAGGAAGGTTTACCTCTGTGAGGTGAATGCACACTTTGCAAAGCAGTTTCACAGATAGCTTCTTTCTAGTTTTTATCTGGGTATATATGGTTTTTCATTATAGGCCTCAATGGGGTCTCCAATGTCCCTTCTCAGAGCCTAAAAAATAGTGTTTCCAACCTGCTAAATCAATACAAAGGTTTAAGTCTGTGAGATGAATGTGCCCATCACAGAACAGTTTCACAGATAGCTTCTTTCTAGTTTTTATCAGGAGATTATTTGTTTTTCACTATAAGCCTCAATGGGATCTGGAATGTCCCATCACAGATTTTACAAAAAGAGTATTTCCAACCTCCTGAGTGAAAAGAAATGTTTAACACTGTGAGATAAATGGACACTCCTCAAAAAAGTTTCACACATTCTTCTTTCTAGTTTTAATCTGAGTATATTTGGTTTTTCACTATAGGCCTCAATGGGCTCCCAAATGTTTTTTCACAGATCCTACAAAAAGAATGTTTTCAATCTGTTGAATTAAAAGAAAGTTTTATCTCTCTGAGATAAATGCACACATCCCAAGGCAGTTTCACAGATAGCTTCTTTCTAGTTTTTTTTTTTTTCTGGGGATATTCAGCTTTTTATTTAGGTCTCAATGGGCTACAAAGTGTCCCTATGCAGATCCTACAAAAAGAGTTTTTCCAACCTGCTGAATCAAAAGGAAAATTGAACTCTGCAAGATGAATGCCCACATCTCAAAGCTGTTATACATATAGCTTCTTTTTAGTTTTTATTTGGGGATATTCAGTTTTTTACTATAGGCCCCAATGGGCTCCCAAATGTCCCTTCGCAGGTACTACATAAAGAGTGTTCCCAATCTGCTTAATCAAAATATAGGTTTAATTCTGTGAGTTGAACACACACATCACAAAGCAGTTTCACAGTTAGCTTCCTTCTAGTTTTTCTCTGGGGAGATTTGGTTTTTCACACTAGGTTTCAATGGGCTCCCAAATGTCCCCTCACAGATTTTACAGAAAAAGTGTTTTCAACCTGCTGAATCAACAGAAAAGTTTATCCTTGTGAGATGAATGCACACATCCAAAGTGGCTTCACAGATAGCTTTTTTCTAGTTTTTTTCTGTGGATATTCAGTTTTTCATTATCGGTCTCAAAGGGCTACCAAATGTCTTTTAACAGATTCTAGAAAAAGAGTGATTCCATCCTGTTGAATCAAAAGAATGGTTTAACTCTGCAAAATCAATGCCCACAACAGAAAGCAGTTTCATAGGTAGCTTCTTCCTAGTTTTTTTCTGGGGATATGTTGCTTTTCACTAAAAGCCTCAGTAGACTCCCTAATGTCCCTTCACCTATACTGCAAAAAGAGAGTTTCCAAACTGCTGAATCAAAAGAACTGTTTACTTCTGTGAGATGAAAGCACACATAGCCAAGCAGTTTCAAAAATACCTTCTTTGTAATTTTTATATGGGAATATTTGGTTTTTCACTATAGGCCTCAATAGGCTCCATAATGTCCCTTTGCCAATCCTGCAAAAAGAGTGTTTCCTAACTGCTGAATCAAAGAACTGTTTACCTCTGTGACAGGAAAGCACCCTTAGCCATGCAGTTTCACAAATAGTTTCTTTCTAATTTTCGTATGAAGATATTCCATTTTACTCTCTAGGCTTCAATAGGCTCCCAAATGTTCATTCACAGATTCTACAAAAAGAGTGTTTCCAACCTGCTGAATCAAAAGAAAGTTTAAATCTGTGAGATGAATGCACACATTGCAAAGCAGTTTTACAGATATCTTCTTTCTAGTTTTTATCTGAAGATATTCTGTTTTTCAATATAGGCTGCAATGGGCTCCAGTATGTCTCTTCACAGACCCAACAAAAAGAGTTTTTCCAACCTGCTGAATCTAACAAAGGTTTAACCCTGTGAGATGAATGCACACATTGCATAGTGGTTTCACAGATATCTTCTTTCTAGTTTTTATCTGGGGATATTCGTTTTTTCACTGTAGGCCCCAAGGGTCACCCAGATGTTCCTTCGCAGATTCTACAAAAGTAGTGTTCCAACATTTTGAATCAAAAGAAATGTTTAACTCTGTGAGATGAATACATACTTTCCAATGCTGTTTCACAGATACGTTCTTTCTAGTTTTGGTCTCACGATATTCAGTTTTTCACTATAGGTCTAAAAGGGCTCCCAAATTTCCCTTCACAAATTCTACAAAAAGAGTGTTTACATCATGCTGAATCAAAATAAATGTTTAACTCTGTGAAAAGAATGCTCACAACAGAATGCAGTTTCATAGATAGCTTCTTTCTAGTTTTTATCTGGGAATATATTGTTTTCCACTACAGGCCTCAATGGGATCCCAAATGCCCCTTTGCCAATCCTGCAAAAAGAGAGTTTCCTAACTGCTGAATCAAAATAAGGCTTCAGCTTTGTGAGTCACATACACACATAGCAAAGCAGTTTCACAGAAAGCTTCTTTCTAGATTTTATCAGAAGATATTTGTTTTTTCACTATTGGCGTCATTGGGCTCCCAAATATTCCTATGCAGATCCTACAAAAAGAGTGTTTCCAACCTAGTGAATCGAAAGAACTCTTCACCTCTGTGAGATGAAATCACACATAGCAAAGCAGTTTCACAAATTGCTTCTTTCTAATTTTTATATGGGGATATTCGGTTTTTCACTATAGACCTCAATGAGCTCCCAGCTGTTTATTTGCAGATTGTACATAAAGAGTATTTCCCACCTGTTGAATCAAAAGAAAGGTTAAACTCTGTGAAATGAATGCACATATCATAAAGTGGTTTCACAGACAGCTGCTTTCACCTTTTAATCTGAAGATATTATGTTTTTCACTATAGGCCTCAATGGGCTCCAATATGTCTCTTCACAAATTTGACTAAAAGAGTGTTTTCAACCTGCTGAATCAAAGAAAGATTTAATCCTTTGAGATGAATGCATGCATGGCAAAAGTGTTTCACACATCATGGCTTCTTTCTAGTTTTCATCTGGGGATAATTCATCTGAGGCCTATAGGCCTCAAGGGTCAACCAAATGTTCCTTTGCAGATTCTACAAAAAGAGTGTTTCCAACCTGCTGAATCAAAAGGAAGGTTTACTTCTGTGAGATGTATACACACATCACAAAGCAGTTTCACAGATAGCTCTTTCTAGCTTTTATCTGGGGATATTCTGCTTTTTGCTGTAGGCCTCAATGGGCTCCCAAATGTTTGTTCACGGATTCTACAAAAAGAGTGTTTCCAACCTGCTGAATCAAAAGAAAAAAATTTTAACTGTGTGAGATGAATTCACACATTGCAAAGTGGACTCGCAGGTAGCTTATTTCTAGATTTTATCTAGGGATATTTGTTTTTTCACTGTAGGCCTCAATGGGCTTCCAAATGTCCCTTCACAGATCCTACAAAAAGAGTGTTTCCAACGTGTTGAATCAAAAGAAACGTTTAACTCTGTGAGAGATATGCACACATTGCAATGCAGTTTTAGAGATAGCTTTTATCTAGTTTTTATTTGGGGATATTCAGTTTTTCACTGTATGCCTCAATGGGCTCCTAAATGTTCCTTCACAGATCCTTCGAAAAGAGTGTTTCCAACCTGCTGAATTAAAAATAGAGTTTAATATTGTGAGATGAATGCACACATCACAAAGCGGTTTCACAGATAGCTTTTTTCTAGTTTTCACCTGGAGATATTCTGTTTTTTCCTATAGACCTAAATGAGCTCCAAATCGTCCCTTCAGAGATCCAAAAAAAGAGTAATTCCAATGTGCTGAATAAAACAAGTTTTTACTCTATGAGATGAATCCTCCTATTGCAAAGTGGTTTCAGACATAGAATATTTCTTGTTTTATCCAGGGATATTCAATTTTTCACTATAGGCCTCAGGTGCTGACATATATCCATCCTCTGGTTCTACAAAAAATGAGTTTCCAACCTGCCGAATCAAAAAGAAGGTTTAACTCTGTGAGATGAATTCACACATCAAAAAGCGGTTTCACAGATAGCTTCTTTATAGCCTTTATCTGGGGATATTCTTTTTTTTCACTGTAGGCCTCAATGGGCTCTCATATGTCCCTGCATAGATTCTACAATAAGAGTTTTTCCAACATGCTGAATCAAAAGAAAGGTTTCACCCTGTGAGAGGTGTGCCTGCATTGCAAAGCAGATTCACACATAGCTTCTTTCTAGTTTTTATCAGTGATATTTGGTTTTTCACTATAGGCCTCAATGGGCTTCCAAATGGTCCTTCACAGATCCTACAAAAAGAGTGTTTCCAACATGCTGAATGAAAAGAAAGGCCTAACTTTTTGAGATGAAACCACACGTCATGAAGCAGTTTCAGAGATAACTTCTTTCTAGTTTTTACTTGGGGATATTTTGTTTGTCACTATTGGCCTAAATGGGCTCCCATGTGTCCCTTCATAAGTTCTACAAAAAGAGTGTTTCCAACCTGCTGAATCAAAAGAAATGTTCCACCCTTAGAGATATGTGCCTGCATTGTAAAGAAGTTTCACCCATTGCTTCTTTCTAGTTTTTATCTGGGGATGTTTTGTTTTTCACTACAAGCCTGCCTCAGTGGGCTCCCAAATGTGCCTTTGAAGATTTTACAAAAAGAAGTTTTCCAACCTGCTGAATCAAAAGAAAGGTTTCAACCTTGAGAAAAATGCACTCATTGCAAAGGGGCTTCACAGATAACTTCCTTCTAGTTTTTATATGGGGATATTCGGTTTTTCACTATGGGCCTCAAAGGGCTCTGAAGTCTCCCTTTGCAGATCCTACAAAACTTGTGTTTCCTACCTGCTGAATCAACAGAAAGTTTTAAATCTGTGAGATGAATGCACATTTTGCAAAGCAGTTTCACAGATAGATTCTTTCTAGTTTTTATCTGGTGATATTTTATTTTTCACTATGGGCCTCATTAGTGTCCCATATGCTGCTTTGCAGATTCTACAAAAAGAGTGTTTCCAACATGCTGAATCAAAAGAAACGTTTAACTCTGTGAGTTGAATGCTCACATCACAAAGTGGTTTCAGAGATATCTTCTTTCTACTTTTTATCTGAGGATATTCTGTTTTTCACTATAGGCCTTGCTGGGCTCCCAAATGTCCCTTTGCAGATTTCACAAAAAAAAGTGTTACCAAGTTGCTGAATCAAAAGAAAGGTTTAACTTTGTGAGTTGAATGCGCACATCACTAAGCATTTTCAAAGATAGCTTCTTTCAACTTTTATCTTAGGATATTAAAATTTTCACTATAGTCCTCAGTGGGCTTTCAAATGTGCATTTGTAGATTCTAAAAAAAGAGTGTTTCCAGCCTACTGAATCAAAAGAAAGGTTTAACTCTGTGAGATGAATGTGCACAGTGCAAAGCGGTTTCACAGATTGCTTCCTTCTGGTTTTTATATGGGGATATTTGGTTTTGCACTGTAGGACTCAATGGGCTCCCAAATATCACTTTGCAGATCATACAACAAAGTGTTTCCAACCTGCTGAATCAAAAGAAAATCTTAACTCTGTGAGACGAATTCATGCATCACAAAGTGGTTTCAAAGATAGCTTATTTCTAGATTTTATCTGGGGATATTCGTTTTTTCACAGTAGGCCTCAATGGGATTCCAAATGTCCCTTCGCAGATCCTACAAAAGAGTATTTCCAACTGCCGAATCAAAAGAAAGGTTTAACCATTTGAAGTGAATGCACACATGGCAGAGGAGTTTTACAGATAGCTTCGTTCCAGTTTTTATGGGGAGATATTCACTTTTTCATTATAGGCATCACTGGGATCCCAAATGTCCCTTCACAGATTCTACAAAAAGAGTGTTTCTCACCTGTGGAATCAAAAGAAACGTTTAATTCTGTGGGATGAATGCATACCTCACAAAGCAGTTTCACAGGTAACTTCTATCAAGTTTTTCTCTCAGGATATTCGATTTTTCAATATAGATCACAATTGGTTTTCAAATGTCCCTTAGCAGATTCTACAAAAAAGTGTTTTCAAGCTGCTGAATCAAAATAAATTTTTATCTATGAGAGATGAATGCACACATCACTACATGGTTTCACATATATCTTCTTTCTAGTTTTTATCTGGGGATGTTCAGATTTTCTCGTTAAGCCCCAAAGTGGTTCCTAAAAGTCCCTTCCCAGATTGTACAAGAAGATCGTTTTCAATCTGCCGAATCAAAACAAGGTTTGACTCTGTGAGTTGAATGCACACATTGCAAAGCTGTTTCACAGACACCTTCTTTCTAGTTTTTATCTTGGAATATTCAATTTTTAACTATAGGCACAAATGGGCTCCCAAATATCCCTTTGCAGATTTTACAAAAAGAGTGTTTCCAGTGTGCTGAATCAAAAGAAAGGTTTAGCCCTGTGAGATGAATTCACATATTGCAAGGCGGTTTTACAGATAGCTTCTTCCTAGTTTTTTTCATTGGAGTTTTCGTTTTTCAATTTAGGCCTGGATGGGCACCCAAATATCCCTTCACATATTCTACACACAAAAAAAATTGTTTCCAAAAGGCTGAATCAAACAAAGTTTTAACTCTGTGAGATGAATGCACACACTGCATAATGATTTCACAGATAGCTTTTTTCTTGTTTTCATGTGCATATATTATTTTTTTCACTATAGGCCTCAATGGGCTCCCAAATGTCCCTTCGCAGATTGTACCAAAGGAGTGTTTCCAACAGATTGACTCAAAATAATTTTTACCTCTGTGAGGTGAATGCATTCATAGCAATGCAGTTTCATAGATCGCTTCTTTCTAGTTTTTATCTGGGGATATTTGGCTTTTCACTATAGGCCTCAATGGGCTCCCACATGTCTCTTCACAGATCTCAAAGAAGACTGTTTCCAAACTGCCAAATCAAATGAAATTTTAACTCTTTGAGATGAATGCACACATCACAATGTGGTTTGACAGATAGCTTCTTTTTAGTTTTTATCTGGGGATGTTTGGTTTTTCACTCTAGGCCCCAATGGGCTCCCAAATATCCCTGCACAGATCCTACAATAAGTGTTTCCAAACTGCAGAATCAAAGCAAAGGTTTAAATCTGTGAGATGAACATACATATCACAAACTGGCTTTACAGATAGCTTCCTTCTAGTTTTTATCTGGGGATATTCTGTATTTCTCTATATCCCTCAGTGGGCTCCCAAATGTTCTTTTGCAGAAAAAGAGTGTTTCCAACCTGCTGAATAAAAAGCATGTTTTAACTTTGTCAGATGAATGCATATGTCACAAAGTGATACCACAGGTAGCTTCTTTCTATTGTTTATCTGGCGATATTCTGTTTTTGACTACTGGTCTAAATGGGCTCCAAAATATGCCTTTGTGTATTCTACAGAAAGAGTGTATCTAACCTGCTGCATCAATAGAAAACTTCAATTTTTTGCAATGAATGCAAATATCACAAAGTGGTTTTACAAATAACTTCTTTTTAGTTTTTATCAGGGGATATTCAGTTTTTCACTACAGGCTTCAAAGGCCTCCCAAATGTTTCTTCGTTGACTCTAAAAAAAAGAGATTTTCCAAACTGCTGAATCAAAAGTCATGTTTACCTGTGTTAGATAAACTCACACAGAGCAAAGCTGTTTCACAGATAAATTGTTTCTATTTTTTATATTGGGATATATCATTTTGCACTCTAGGCCTCAATGGGTTCCCAAATATCCCTTTGCAGATTGTACAAAAAGAGTGTTTCCAACTTGCTGAATCAAAAGAATTGTTTAACTCTGTGAGATGAATGCACATATGGCAAAGCAGTTTCACACATAGCTTCTTTCTAGTTCTTACCAGGGTTATGCAGATTTTAACTTTAGGAGTCAATGGGCTCCCAAAGACGCTTAGTAGATTCGAAAAAAAAAGTGTTTCCAACCTGCTGAATCAAAAGAAACTTTATCTCTGTGGGATGAATGCACACATACCAAAGCTGTTTCTCAGATAGATAGCTTCTTTCTAGTTTTTATCCAGGGATATTTGGTTCTTCACTATAAGCCTCAATGGACTCCCAAATATCCCTTCACAGATTCTACAAAAAAAAGTGTTTCCAAACTGCTGAATCCAAAGAAAATTTGACTACGTGAGTTAAATGCATACAACACAAAGTGGTTTCACAGATAGCATCACTCTACTTTTCATTTGGGGATATTCGGTTTTGCACTATAGGCCACAATGGGCTCCAAAATGTTCCTTCGCAGATTCTAGAGAAGAGTGTTTCCAACCTGCTAAATCAAGAGAATTGTTTAACTCTGTGAGACAAATGCACACATCATTAAGGCTTTTCACAGATATGTTCTTTCTAGCTTTTATGCTGGGATATTCTTTTTTTAATATAAGCCTCAAACAAAAGAAAACTTTAAATATAAAATGAAGGCACACATCACAAAATGGTTTCAGAGATAGCTTCTTTCTTGTTTTTATCTGGGGATATTTGGATTTTCACTATAGGCCTCAAAGGGCTCTCACATGTCTCACCACAGATCCTACAAAGAGAGTGTTTCCAACCCACTGAATCAAAGAAAGGTTTAAATCTGTGAGATGAATGCATACATCACAAAGTGGTTTCACAGATAGCTTCTTTCTAGTTTTTATCTGGGGATATTCTGTTTGTCACTGTAAACCTCAATGGTCTCCCAAATTTTTTTTCACAGATCCTACAAGAAAAATGCTTCTAACCTGCTGAAACAAAAGTAAGGTTTAACTCTGTTGAATTCATGCACACATTGTAAAGCAGTTTCACAGACAGCTTCCTTTTAATTTAACTGGGGATATTTGGTTTTTCACCATAGGTCTCAAAAAGCTCCCAAATGTTCCTTTCCGGATTCTACAAAAACAGTGTTTACAACCTGCTGAACCAAAAGGCAGGCTTAACCCTGTTAGATGAACGCGAACACCACAATGCAGTTTTACATATAGCTTCTTTCCAGCTTTTATCTGGGGATATTCGTTTTTTCACCACAGGATTCAATGAGCTCCAAATATCCCTTCACGCATTCTACAAAAAAAGGTTTCCAATCTTCTGAATCAAAAGAAAGGTTTTACTTGATGACATTAATGCAAACATTACAAAGTGATTTTACAGATAGATACTTTCTGACAATATTCAATTTTTCTCTATGGGCTTCTACGGGCTCCCAAATGTCCCTTTGCAGATTCTACCAAAAGAGTGTTTCCAAACTGCTGAATCAAAAGAAAAGTTTAATGCTGTGTAGTGAATGCACAGACTGCAAAGCAGTTTCACAGTTAGCTTCTTTGTAGCTTTCATCTGGGGATATTCTTTTTTTCGATATAGGCCTCAATGGGCTCCGAAATGTTCCTTTGCAGATTGTATAATAGGAGTGTTTCCAACCTACTGAATCAAAACTAATTTTTACCTCTGTCAAATGCACAGATCGCAAAGTGATTTCACATATAGCTTCTTTCTGGTTTTTATCTGGGGATATTTGTTTTTCACTATAAGCCTCTATGGGATTCCAAATGTCTTTCTGCAGTTTCTATAAAATAGTGTTTCCAAGCTGCTGAATCAAAAGAAAGGATAAACGCTCTGAGATAAATGCACACATTGCAAAGCGGTTTCACAGATAGCTGCTTTCTACTTTCTATCTGGGGATATTTGGTTTTTCACTATAGGCCTTAATGGGCTCCCAAATGTTTCTTTGCAGATTCTATGAAAACAGTGTTTCCAGCTTGCTGAATCAAAAGAAAGCTTTAACTCTGTGAGATGAATGCACGCTTTGCAAAGCAGTTTCATAGATATCTTCTTTTTAGTTTTTATCTGTGTATATTCGATTTTTCACTATGGGCCTCAATGGGCTCCCAAATGTCCCTTTGAAGATTCTATAAAAAGAGTTTTCCCAACCTGATGAATCAAAAGAAAGGTTTAACAGTGTGTGGTGAATGCACACATTGCAAAGCAGTTTCACAGATAGCTTCTTTGTAGTTTTTATCTGGGGATACTCAGTTTTTCACTGTAGGCCTCAATGGACAGCAAAATGTATTTTTGCAGATTTTGCAAAATTAGTGTTCCCAACCTGCTGAATCAAAAGAAAGGTTTACATATGTGAGATAAATGCACACAGCACAAAGTTGTTTCACAGATAGCTTCCTTGCAGATTGCATCTGGGGATAAACAGTTTTTAACTATGAGCCTCAATGGGGTCCTAAATATCCTTTTGCAGGTTCTATAAGAAGAGTGTTGTCAAAGTGCTGCATCGAAAAAAAAAGTTTAACCCTGAGAGATGAATGCACACATTGCAAAGTAGTTTTACAAATAGCTTCTTTTTGCTTTTTATCTGGGGATATTCGGTTTTTACAGTGTAGGCCTCAATGGGCTACAAAATATCTGTTCGAAAATTCTACAAAAAGAGTTTTTCCAACCTGATGAATCAAAAGAAAGGTTTAACTCTGTGCAATGAATGCACACATTGCAAAGTGGTTTCACAGACAGCTTCTTTCTAGTTTTTATCTTGGGATATCTTGTTTTTCACTATAAGCCTCTAAGGGATCCCAATTGTCTTTTTGCAGTTTCTATAAAATAGTATTTCCAACCTGCTGCATCAAAAGAAAAGATAAACTCTGTGTGATGAATTCACACATCACAAAGCACTTTCACAGATTTGGGGATATTCAATATTTCACCATAGGCCTCAGTGGACTCCCAACTTTCCTTTGGCAGATTCTACACAAAATTGTCTCCAACCTGCAAAATCAAAAGAAAGGTTTAACTGTGAGACGAATGCACACATCACAGCAATTTTGCAGACAGTTTCTATCTAGTTTTTATCTGTGGATATTCGGCTTTTCACTATAGGCCTCAATGGGCTCCTAAATGTCCTTTTGCAGATCCTACCAAAAGAGTGTTTCCAACCTGCTGAATCAAAAGATGGTTTAACCCTGTGAAATAAATGCACACATTGCATAGCAGTTTCGCAGATAGCTTGTGTCTAGTTTTTGTCTGAGCATATTCTGGTTTTCACTATAGGCCTCAATGTACTCCCAAATGTTTCTTCATAGATGCTACAAAAAGAATTTTTCCAACCTGCTGAATCAAAAGGAAAGTTTAACTCTGTGAGATGAATGCACACATCACACAGCAGTTTCACAGATAGCTTCTTTCCTGTTTTTATTTGTGGATATTTTGTTTTTTACTGTAGCCCACACTGGGATCCCAAATGTCCCTTCACAGATTCTACAAAAAAAAAAAATTGTTTCCAGCCTGCTGAATCAAAAGAAAGTTTTACCTCTGTGAGGCAAAGCAGTTTCCCAGATAGCTTCTTTCTAGGTTTTAACTGGGGTTATTCAGTTTTTCACCATAGGCCTCAATGGGCTCTCAATGTCTCTTCGAAGATTCTACTAAAAGAATGTATCCAACCTGCTGAATCAAAAGACATGTTCAACTCTGAGTTCAATGCACACATCACAAAGCAGTTTCACAGAGAGTTTCCTTCTAGTTTTCATCTGTGGATGTTTGGTTTTTCACTATAGGCCTGAAAGAGCTCCCAAATGTCCCTTCACAGATTCTACAAAAGGAGTGTTTCTAATCTGCTGAATCAAAAATAAGGTTTAACTCAGTGAGATGAATGCATACATTGCAAAGTGGTTTCACATGTAACTTCTTTCTATGTTTTCTCAGGGGATATTTTATTTTTCACAATAAGCCTCACTGGGCTCAGAAATGTCCTTCACAGATCCTACAAGAAGAGTGTTTCCCACCTGCTGAATCCAAAGAAAGGTTTAACTCTGTGAGCTGAATGCTCACTTCACAAAGCAGTTTCACAGATGGATTCTTTCTAGTTTTTATCATGGGACATTTGCTTTTCACTACAGGTTTTGGTGGGTTCAGAAATGTCCATTCTTAGACTCTACAAAAAGAGGGTTTTCACCCTACTGAATAAAAAAAAAGGTTTAACTTTGTGAGCTGAATTCGCACATCACAAAGCAGTTTCACAAATAGCTTATTTGTAGTTTTTCTCACAGGATATTGGGTTATAACTATACACCTCAGTGTGTTCAGAAATGTCCATTCTTAGATTCCACAAAAAGAGTGTTTCCAACTTGCTGAATCAAAATAAATTTTAATTTGTGAGCTGAATCCACACATCACAAGGTAGTTTCACAGATAGTGTCTTTCTAGTTTTTATTGTGGGACATTAAATTTTCACTATAGGCCTCAGTGGGTTCAGAAATGTCCATTCTTAGGTGTTACAAAAAGAGTCTTTATCCTGCAGCGTCAAAACGAAGGTTTAACCCTGTGAGCTGAATCCACACATAACAGAGAAGTTTCACAGATAGCTTCTTTCTACTTTCTATTGCTGGATATTTTGTTTTCAGTGTATGCCTCAGTAGGCTCAGAAATATCCCTTCCCAGATTCTACAAAAAGAGCATATCCAATCTGCTGAACAACAACAACAAAAAGTTTAGCTCTCTGAGATGAGTCCATAAAACACAAAGCAGTTTAAAAGAAAGCTTCTTTCTACTTTTTATAGCTGGATATTCTCTTCTTTTTTACTATAGGCCTCAGTGTGCCCTGAAATGTCCCTTCGCAGATTCAACAAAAAATGAGATTCCAACTTGCTGAATCAAACGACAGGTTTTACTCAGTGAGCTGAATCAACATATCAAAAAGCACTTTCACAGATAGTTTCTTCCTAGTTTTTATTGCAGGATATGCGGTTTTCACTATATGCCACAGAGGGTTCAGAAATGTTCCTTCACTCATTCTACAAAAAGAGTGTTTTCAACCTGTTGGATCAAAAGAAAGGTTTAATTCTCTGAGCTGAATACATCTTCACAAAGCAGTTTCATAGGTAGATTCTTTCTATTTTTAATGGTGAAATAATTGATTTTCACTACAGGCTTCAAAGGGCTCAGAAAATTCCATTTCCAGATTCTACAAAAAAGAGTGTTTTCAACGTGCTCAATCAAAAAACAGGTTTAACTCTTTGAGCTGAATCCACACATCAAGAAGCAGTTTCATAGGTTGCTTCTTTGTGGCTTTTATTGCAGGATATTCAGTTTTCAGTATACACCTCAGTGTGTTCAGAAATGTTCATTCTTTGACTCCACAAAAAGTGTGTTTCCAACCTGCTGAATCAAAAGAAAGGTTTAATTCAGTGGTCTGAATCCCCACATCACAAAGCAGCTTTACAAATTGTGTCTTTCTAGTTTTTCTCACAGGATATTTGGTTTTCACTACCAGAATCAGTGTGTTCAGAAATGTCCATTCTTAGATACTACAAAAAAAGTGTTCCCAACCTGCTGAGTCAAAACAAATGTTTAACTGTGTGAGCTGAATCCACCCATCACAAAGCAGTTTAACTGATAAATTCTTTCTAGTTTTTCTAGTTTTTATAAAAGGATATTGGGTTTTCATTGTAGGCCTCAGTAGGCTCAGAAATGTGTCTTCCCAGATTCTACAAAAAGACCTGCCTAATCGAAAGTAAGGTTTAACTTTGTGAGCAAAATCCACAAATCGCAAAGCAGTTTCACAGATAGCCTCTTTGTAGTTTTTAGCTTGGGATATTCAGTTTTCACTATATTCCTCAGTGGGTTCAGAAATGTCCATGCATAGACTCCTAAAAATGAGTGCTTCCAACCTGATGAAAGAAAAGAAAGGTTTAGTTCTATGAACTGTATCCACACTTCACAAAGCATTTTCACAGATAGCATCTTTCTGCTTTTTATCATTGATATTCAGTTTTCACTGTATGCCCCAGTGGTTTCAGAAATGCCCATTCTTAGATTCTACAAACAAGTGTTTCCCACCTGCTGAATCAAAAGAAATTTTTAACCCTGTGAGCTGTATCGACACACCAAAAATCAGTTTCACAGATACCTTTTTTCTAGTTTTTATCATGGGATATTATCTTTTTCACTTTAAGTCTCAGTGCACCCCCAAATGTCCCTTTGCAGTTTCTATAAAAAAAAAGTTTTTCCAACCTGCTGCATCAAATAAAGGTTTAACTTTGTGAGCTGAATCCACATAGCACAAAGGAGTTTCACAGATAGCTTCTTTCTAGTTTTTATCACAGGATACTTGGTTTTGACTATAAGTCTCAGTGAGTTCAGAAATGTCCATTTTTGGATTCTACAAAAAGAGTGATTCCAACCTGCTGAATTAAAAGAAAGATTTAACTCTGTGAGCTGAATCCACACATCACAAAGCAGTTTCACAGGCAGCTTCTTTCTAGTTTTTATCGTGGGATATTCAGCTTCCACTATAGGCCTCAGTGGGTTCAAAAATGTCTCTTCTAGATTATAAGAAAAGAGTATTACCAACCTGCTGAATCAAAACAATGCTTTAACTCAGTGAACTGAATTCACTCATCAAAAAGCAGTTTCACAGATAGCTTCTTCCTAGTTTTTATCGTGGGATATTTGTTTTCTCTGAATAGGCCAAACTTCGCTCTGAATTGTCCCTTCACAGATCTACAAAAAGATTGTTACCAAACTGTTGCATCAAAAGAAAGTTTAATTTTGAGATCTGAATCCACACATCACAAAGCAGTTTCACAGATAGCTACTTTCTGGTATTTATTACGGAATATTAGGTTTTCAACAAACACTTCAGTTGGTTCAGAAATGTCCATTCTTTGATTCCACAAAAAGTGTGTTTCCAACCTCCTGAATCAAAAGAAATGTTTATATCTGTGAGGTGAATACACACATTACAAAGCAGGTTCACAGATAGCATCATTCTACTTTTTATCACTGGATATTCAGTTTTCACTATAGGACTCTGTGGGTTCAGAAATGTTCATTCTTAGATTCTACAAAAAAAGTTTTTCCAACTTGATGAATCCAAAGAAAGGTTTACCTCTGAGAGCTGTATCAACACATCACAACGCAGTTTCACAGACAGCCCCTTTCTAGTACTTATTGTGGAATACTCTGTTTTTCACTTTAATTCTCATTACACCCTCAAATATCCCTTTGCAGATTCTACAAAAAGAGTGTTTCCAAAATGCTGAATCAAAAGAAAGGTTTATCTCTTTGAGCTGAATCCATACATCAAAAAAAAATTTCACAAATAACTTCTTTCTAATTTTATCGTGGGCTACTCGGTTTTCACTATAGGCCTCAGTGGGTTCAGAAAAGCCCCTTCATAGATTATACAGAAAGAGTGTTTCAAACACACTGAATCAAAATAAAGGTTTAACACAGTGAGCTTAATCCGCACATCACAGATCAGTTTCACAGATAGCTTCTTTTTCATTTTTATCATGGGATATTCTGTTTTTCTTTATAGGCCTCTGTGCACTCCGAAATGTTCCTTCGCAGAGTCTACAAAAAGAGTGTTTCCAACCTGTGGAATCAAGACAAAAGTTTACCACTGCGAGCTGACTCCTCAAATCAAAAAGAAGTTTCACAGGTAAATTATTTCTAGTTTTTATCATGGGATATTCAGTTCTCACTATAGGTTTCAGAAGGCTCAGAAATGTCCATTTATAGATTCTACAAAAAGAGTGTTTCCAACCTACTGAATCAAATGGAAGGTTTAACTCTGTGAGTCGAATTCACCCATCACAAAGGAGTCTCACACATAGCTTTTTGTGGATTTTTTTCATGGGATATTCAGTTTTCAACAAACATTTCAGTGGGTTTAGAAGTGTTTATTCTTAGATTCCACAAAGAGTGTGTTTCCAACTTGCTGAATCAAAAGAAAGGTGTAACTCTGTGAGCTGAATACAGGCATCACAAAGCAGTTTCACAGTTAGCGTCATTCTACTTTTTATAGCTGGATATTCGGTTTTCACTTTGGGACTTAGTGGGTTCAGAAATGTCCATTCATAGATTCTACAAAAGATGTTTTATCAACCTGCTTAATCCAAAGAACAGTTTGCCTCTGTGAGCCGTGTCAACACATCACAAAGCAGTTTCACAGACAGCTTCTCTCCAGTTTTTATCACAGGATATTCCATTTTCACTATAGGCCTCAGTGGTCTCAGAAATATCCTTTCACCGATTCTAGAAAGAAAGTGTTTCCAACGTGCTGAATCAAAAGAAAGCTTTACCTCTGTGTGCTGAATCCACACATCACAAGGCAGTTTCACAGATAGATTCTCTTTTGTTTTTATTGTGGGATATTTGGCTTTCACTATAGGCCTCATTTGATTCAGAAATGTCCCTTCCCAGATTCTACAAAAAGAGTGTTTCCAACCTGCTGAATCAGCAGAAAGGTTTAACTCTGTGAGCTGAATCCATACAAAATAAAGCAGTTTCACAGATAGCTTCTTTCTACTTTTATTGTGGGATATTCAGTTTTTGCTATAGACTTCAGTGGATTCAGAAATGTCCATTCCTAGATTCTACAAAAAGGGTGTTTCCAACCTACTGAATCAAAAGAAAGGTGTAACTATGTGAGCTGAATCCACATTCAGCAAAGCAGGTTCACAGATAGCTTTTTTCTAGTTTTTGCCACTATAGGCCTCAGTGGGTTCAGAAATGTCCCTTTTGAGATTCTACAAAAAGATCGTTTCCAACCCGCTGAATCAAAAGAAAGGTTTAACCCTGTGAGCTGAATCCACACATCACAAAGCAGGTCCACAGATAGATTCTTTCTGCTTTTTATCCTCAGATATTTGGTTTTCACCATAGGCCTCACTGGGTTCAGAAATGCTCATTCTTAGATTCTGCAAAAAGAGTGTTTCCAACATACTGAATCAAAGAAAGGTTTAATTCTTTGAGCTGAATCCACATATCACAAAACACTTTCACAGATAACTTCTTTCTAGTTTTTATCACGGGATATTTGGTTTTTCTTCATAGGCCATGTTCGCTCCAAAATTTTCCTTCACAGATTCTACAGAAAAAAGGGTTTCCAACCTGTTGAGTCAATAGAAAGGTTTAACTCTCTGAGCTGCATCCACACATCACAAAGCAGTTTCACAGATAGCTTCTTTGTAGTGGTTATTGTGAGACATTCCGTTTTCACCCTATGCTTCAATGGGTTCAGAAATGTCTATTCTTAGATTCTACAAAAATGTGTTTCCAACCTGCTGAATCCAAAGAAAGGTTTACCTCTGTGAGCTGCATCAATACATCACAAAGCAGTCTCACAGACAGCTTCTTTCTAGTTTTTATCATGGAATATTCTGTTTTTCACTTTAATTCACAGTACACCACCTAATGTCCCTTCACAGATCCTGTAAAAAGAGTGTGTCCAACCTTCTGAATCAAAAGGCAAGTTTAACTTTGTGAGCTGAATCCATACATCACAAAGCAGTTTCACAGAGAGCTTCCATCTAGTTCTTATCACAAGATATTTGTTTATCATCATAAACCTCAGTGGATTCAGAAATGTCCAATCTTAGATTATACCAAAAGGGTGTTTCCAACATGCTGAATCAAAAGAAAAGTTTAACTGTGAGCCAAATCCACACATCACAATGCAGTTTCACAGATAGATTATTTCTAGTTTTTATCACGGGATGTTCATTTTTTATTTATAGGCCTCAGCATGCTCCAAAATGTTTTTTTGCAGATTCTACAAAAAGAGTGTTTCCAATCTGCTGAATCAAAAGAAAGCTTTAACTCTGTGAGCTGAATCCTCACATCTCAAAGCAGTTTAACAGATAGATTCTTTCTGGTTTTATCAAGGAATATTCGGTTTTCACTATAGGTTTCAGCAGGTTCAGAAATGTCCATTCTTAGATTTTAGAAATAAGTGCTTCCAATCTGCAGAATCAAAAGAGAGGTTTACCACTGCGAGCTTTATCAACACGTCACAAAGCAGTTTCACAGACAGCCTCTATCTAGTTTTATCGTGGAATATTCTGTTTTTCAATTTAACCCCCAGTATGCCCACAAATGTCCCTTTGCAGATTCTACAAAAGAGTGTTTCCAACCTACTGAATCAAAAGAAATGTTTAACCCTGTGAGCTGAATCCATACATCACAGAGTAGTTTCACAGATAACTTCTTTCTAGTTTTTATCATGGGATATTCTGTTTTCACTATAGGCCTCATTGGGTTCAGAAATGTCCCTTCCCAGATTCTTCAAAAAGAGGGTTTTCAATCTACTGCAATAAAAGAAAAGTATAACTCCATGAGCTGAATCCACACATTACAAAGTAGTTTCACAGATAACTTCTTTTTAGTTTTTATCACAAAATTTCTTTTTAGTTGTAATCATTACATATTCTGTTTTTCACTTTAAGCCTTAGTGTGCCCCAAAATGTTTCTTTGTAGATTCTGCAAAAACAGCGTTTCCAACCTGCTGAATCAAAATAAATGTTTAACTCTGTGAGCTGAATCCAAGCATTACAAATCAGTTTCACAGATAGCATCTTTCTAGTTTTCTTCATGAGATGTTTTATTTTTCGCTATTGGCCAAAGTGTGCTCTGAATTGCCCCTTGGCCGAATCTACAAAAAGAGTGTTTCCTACCTGCTGAATCAAAGGAAAGTTTGAGTTCTGTGAGCTGAATTCACACATCACAATGCAGTTTCACAGATAGATTCTTTCAAGTTTTTATTGCAGAATATTCGGTATTCACTACAGACATTAGAGGGTACAGAAATGTCCAATCTTAGATTCTACCAAAAAAGTGCTTGCAACCTGCTAATTTAAAAGATAGGTTTAACTCTCTGAGCTGTATCAACACATGACAAAGCAGTATCACAGATAGGTTGTTTCTAGTTTTTTATCACAGAATATTCTGTTTTTCACTTTAAGCTCCATTGTGCCCCAAAATGTCCCTTTGCAGATTCTACAAAAAGAGTGTTTCCAACCTGCTGAATCAAAAGAAAGTTTACCTCTGTGAGCTAAAACCACGCATCACAAAGAAGTTACAAAGATAGCTGTTTTCTGGTTTTTATCATGGGATATTTGGTATTCACTATGTGCCTCGGTGGGTTCAGAAATGTCTATTCTTAGATTCCACAAAAAAGAGTGTTTCGAACCTGCTGAATCAAACAAAGGTTTACTTCTATGAACTGAATCCACGCATGGCAAAGCAGTTTCAACAATATCTTCTTTCTAGTTTTTAATGACAAAATATTCGGTTTTTCTTTATATGTCTCAGTGCCCTCCGAAATGCTCCCTCGCAGATTCTACAAAATGAGCGTTTCCAACCTGCTGAATTAAAAGAAAGGTTTAATTGTGTGAACTGAATCAATGCATTACAAAGCAGTTTCACAGATAGCATGTTTTTACATTTTATCACTGGATATTTGGTTTTCATTAGAGGCATCAGTGGATTCAGAAACGTCTATTCTTAGATCCTACAAAAACGGTTCTTCCAACCTTCTGAATCAAAACAAAGGTTTAACATCGTGAGCTGAATCTACACATAACAAAGAAGTTTCACAGATAGCTTCTTTGTGATTTTTATCACAGGATATTTGGTTTTCACTATTGGCCTCAGTGGGTTTAGAAACGTCCCTTCCTAGATTCCACAAAAAAAGTGTTTCCAACCTGCCTGAATCAAAAGTAAGGTTTAATTCTTTGAGCCATATCAATACATCACAAAGCAGCTTCACAGATAAATTCTTTCTAGTTTTTATCGTGGAATATTCTCTTTTTCACTTCAAGCCTCAGTGCATCCCCAAATGTCCCTTCTCAGATTCTACAAAGAGTGTTTCCAACCTGCTGAATAAAAAGAAAGGTTTAACTCTGTGAGCTGAATCCACTCATCACAAAGCAGTTTCACAGATAGCTTCTTTCTAGTTTTTTTCGTGGGATAATTTGTTTTTCTTTATATGCCTTAGTGCACTCCAAAATGTTGTTTCACAGATTCTACCAAAAGAGTGTTTCCTACATGTTAAATAAAAATAAGTTTAACTCTTTGAGCCGAATCCACACAACACAAAGCAGTTCAACATAGAGATTCTTTGTGCTGTTTATCGTGGGATGTTCGGATTTCACTATAGGCCTCAGTGGGTTCAGAAATGTCCGTTTTTAGATTCTACAAAAAATGTGTTTCCAACCTGCTGAATCAAAAGAAAGATTTAACTCTGTGAGCTGTATCTGCACATCACAAAGCAGTTTCAGAGATAGCATCTCTCTAGTTTTATCACGGGATAGTCTCTTTTTCACTTTCAGCCCCATAGCACCTCCAAATTTCCCTTTGCACATTCTACAAAAAAAGTTTCCAACCTGCTGAATCCAAAGAAAGTTTAACTCTATGAGCTGAATCCACACATCATGAAGCAGTTTCACAGATAGCTTCTTTCTGGTTTTATCACGGGATATTTGGTTTTCACAACAGGGCATAGGGTGTTCTGAAATGCCCATTCTTAGAGTCTACAAAAAGAGCGTTTTCAACATGTTGAATCAAAAGGAAGGTTTAACTCTGTGAGCTGAATCCACACATCACAAAGCAGTTTCACAGATAGCTTCTTTCTAGTTTTTATCACAAGAGATTGCATTTTTCTTTATAGGCCTCTGTGCATTCTGAAATGTTCCTTTACAGATTCTACAAAAAGAGTTATTCCAACCTGCTGAATCAAAAGAAAGGTTTACCTCTGAGACCTGAATGCTCTCATCACAAAGCAGTTTCACAGATAGCATGTTTGTAGTTTTTATCCCTGGATATTCAGTTTTCATTTTAGGCCTCAGTGGGTTCAGTAATATTCATTCTTTGATTTTACAAAAAGTGTGTTTTCAGTCAGCTGAATAAAAACAAAGTTTTAACTCGGTGAGTTGAGTCCACACATCACAAAGCAGTTTCACACACTGCTTCTTTGTAGTTTTTATCATGGGATATTCCGTTTTCACTGTATGCCTCAATGGGTTCAGAAATGAGAAATGTCCGTTTTTATGCTCCACTAAAACAGTGTTTCCAACCTGCTGAACCAAAAAGAAAGGTTAAATTATTTGAACTGAATCCACACATTACAAAATATTTTCACAGATAGTGGCTTTGTCGTTTTTGTCACTGGATATTTTGTTTTCACTCTGGGCCTCAGAGGTTTCAGAAATGTCCATTCTTACACTAAAATAAAAGAGTGTTTCCAACCTGCTGAATCAAAACCAATATTTAACTCTGTGATCTGTATCAACACATTACAAAGCATTTTCACAGATAGATTCTTTGAGTTTTGATCACGGGATATTCGTTTTTTCACTATAAGCCTCAGTGCACTCAGAAATGTCCTTTTGCATATTCTACAAAAATAGTGTTTCCAACTTACTGAATCAAAAGTAGTGTTTACCTTTGTGAGCTGAATCCACATATCACAAATCAGTTTCACAGATAGCTTCTTTCCAGTTTTTATCACAAGACATTCTGTTTTCACTATAGGCCTCTGTGGGTTCAGAAATGTCCATTCTTAGGTTCTACATAAAAAGTGTTTCCAACCTGCTAAATCAAAGGAAAGTTTTAACACTGTGATCTGCATCAACACATCACAAAATAGTTTCACAGATCCCTTCATTGTAGTTTTTATCATGGGGTATTCTGTTTTTCACTTTAAGCCTCAGTGTCCTCCCAAATGTCCCTTCACTGATTCTACAAAAAGAGTGTTTCCAACCTGCTGAATCAAAAGAAACTTTTAACTGTGAGCTGAATCCACACTTACTAAAGCATTTTCACAGATGATAGCTTCTTTCTAGTTTTTATTGCAAGATATTCGGTTTTCACTATAGGCCTCAGTGCGTTCAGAAATGTCCATTGTCAGATTCTACAAAAAGAGTGTTTCCAACCCACTGAATCAAAAGAAAGATAAAACTCTGTGAGCTGAATCCACACATCATAAAGCAGTTTCACAGATAGCTTCTTCCTAGTTTTTATCATGGGATATTCAGTTTTTCTTTATAGGACTCAGTGTGCTTCGAAATGTTCCTACACAGATTCTACAAAAAGAGTGTTTCCAACCTGCTGAATCAAAAGAAACTTTTAACTGTGAGCTGAATCCACACTTACTAAAGCATTTTCACAGATGATAGCTTCTTTCTGGTTTTTATTGCAAGATATTCGGTTTTCACTATAGGCCTCAGTGCGTTCAGAAATGTCCATTGTCAGATTCTACAAAAAGAGTGTTTCCAACCCACTGAATCAAAAGAAAGATAAAACTCTGTGAGCTGAATCCACACATCATAAAGCAGTTTCACAGATAGCTTCTTCCTAGTTTTTATCATGGGATATTCAGTTTTTCTTTATAGGACTCAGTGTGCTTCGAAATGTTCCTACACAGATTCTACAAAAAGAGGGTTTCCAACCTGCTGAATCAAAAGAAAGGTTGAACTCTTTTAGATGCATCCACACATCGCAAAGCAGTTTCACAGATATATTTGTTCTAATTTTTATCACAAGATATTCAGTTTTCACAATAGGTTTCAGCAGGTTCAGAAATGTCCATTCTAGGTTCTAAAAAAAGAGTGTTTCCAACCTGCTGAATCAAAAGAAACATTTAACTCTGTGAGCTGAATCCACACATCACGAAGCCATTTCACAGATGGCTTCTTTCTAGTTTTTTTTTATCATGGGATATTTTGTTTTCACTATAGGCCTCAGTGCATTCAGAAATGTCCATTCTTATATTCTACAAAGAGTGTTTCCAACCTGCTGAATCAGAAGATAGGTTTAACTCTGTGAGCTGAATCCACGCATCACAAAGCAGTTTCACAGATAGCTTCTTTCTAGTTTTTATCGCGAGATATTTGGTTTTTCACTTTAAGCCTAAGTATGCCACAAAATGTCCCTTCACACATTCTACCAAAAGAGTGTTTCCAACCTGCTTAGTCAAAAGAAAGCTTTAACTCTGTGAGCTGAATCCACACATCACAAAGCTGTATCACAGATAGCTTCCTTCTACTTTTTATCATGGGATATTCAGTTTTTACTATGTGCCTCTGTGGGTTCAGAAATGTACATTCTTAAATTCTACAATAAAAATGTTTCTAACCTGCTAAACCAAAAGAAAGGTTTAACTCTGTGAGCTGTACCAACACATCACAAAGCAGTTTCACAGATGGATTCTTTCTAGTTTTTATTGCCACATATTCTGTCTTTCACTTTCATCCTGAGCACACCCCCATATGTTCCTTCTCAGGTTCTACAAAAAGAGCATTTCGAACCTGGTGAATCAAAAGAAAGTCTTAAATCTTTGAGCTGAATCCACACATCTCAAAGCAGTTTCAGAGATAGCTTCTTTGTAGTTTTTTTTGTGGGATATTCAATTTTCATTATATGCCTCAGTGGGTCTAGAAATATCCATTTTTAGATTCCACAAGAAGAGCGTTTCCAACCTGCTGAATCATAAGAACGTTTTAACGCTTTGAGCTCAATCCACACATCTCAAACCAGTTTCATAGCTTCTTTTTAGTTTTTTATCACGGGATATTCGGTTTTCATGATACTCCTCAGTGGGTTCAGATATATCCATTCTTAGATTCTACAAAAAGAGTGCTCCTAACCTGCTGAATCAAAACCAAGGTTTAAATGTGAGGTAAATCCACAAATAACAAAGAAATTTCATAGATAGCTTCTTTCTAGTTTTGATTGTGGGATATTCAGTTTTCACTGTAGGCCACAGTAGGCTCAGAAATGTCTTCCCAGATTCTACAGAAAGAGTGTTTCCAACCTGCTAAATCAAAAGAAAAGTTTAACCCTGGGAGCTGTATCAACACATCCCAAAGAAGTTTCACATACTGTTTCTGATTTTTATCATGGAATATTCTGTTTTCACTATAGGTTTCAGTGGTTTCAGAAATGTCCGTTCTTAGATTGTACAAAAAGAGTGTTTCCCCCCTGCCGAATAGAAGATGTTTAACTCTGTGCGCTGAATCCACAAATCACAAAACAGTTTCACAGATAGCTTCTTTCTAGTGTCTTTCACTGGAAATTCAGTTTTTCTTTATAGGCCTTAGTGCACTCTGAAATATTCCTTCTCAGGTTCTACCAAAAGAGGGTTTCCAACCTGCTGAATCAAAAGAAAGGTTAAATCTGTGAGCTGAATCCACACATAAAAAAAGCAGTTTCAGAGATAGCTTCTTTCTAGGTTTTATCATGGGATATTTTGTTTTCACTATAGGCTCCAGGAGGCTCAAAAATGTCCCTTCCCAGATTCTACAAGAAGAGTGTTTCCAACCTTGTGAATCAAAAGAAAGGTTTAACTCTGTGAGCTGAATCCATACATAAAAAAGAAGTTTCACAGACAGCTTCTTTCTACTTTTTATTGCGGGATATTTGGTTTTCACTATAGGCCTCAGTGGGTTCAGAAATGTCCGTTCTTAAATTCTACAAACAAGTTGATTTCAATCTGCTGAATCAAAAGAAAGTTTTAACTCTGTGTGGTGAATCCACACATCTCAAAGCAGATTCAAACATAGATTCTGGTGTTTATCACGGGATATTCGGTCCCCACTATCGATCTCAGAGGGCTCAGAAACGTCCATACATAGATTCTACAAAAAGAGTGCTTCCAATCTGCTCAACCAACAGAAAGGTTAAACTCTGTGAGCTGCATCCACACATCACAAGGCATTTTCACAGCTAGCTTCATTCTAGATTTTATCACAGGATGCTTTGTTTTCCCTATAGGCTTCTGTGAGTTCAGAAATGTTTCTTCGCAGATTCTGCAAAAAGAGTGTTTGAAATCTGTGGATTCAAAAAAAAAAAAAAAGATTTAACTCTATGAGCTGAATCCACACATCACAAAGCAGTTTCACAGATAGCTTCTTTCTACTTTTTATCGTGGGTTATTCAGTATTTCACTATAGGCCTCAGTGCACTCCAAAATTTCCCTTCTCAGATTCCACAAATAGAGAGTTTCCAAACTGCTGAATCAAAATAAAGGTTTAACTCTGTGAGCTGAATCCACACATCACAAATCAGTTCCACAGACACGTTGTTTCTCGTTTTTATCATGGGATATTCGTTTTTTCACTATAAACCTCAGTGTGTTCAGAAATGTCCCTTCACAGGTTATACAAAAAGAGTGTGGACAACCAGCTGAATCAAAAGAAAGGTTTAACTCTGGGAGCTGAATCCACACATCACAAAGCTGTTTCACAGAGAGCTTCTGTCTTTTTTTTTTTTTTTTTATCGAGGGGTATTTGGTTTTCACTAAACAAATCAGTGGGTTCAGAAATGTCCATTCTTAGAGTCCACTAAAAAGTGTTCTTAATCTTTTGAATCAAAAGAAAAGTTTAACTCTGTGAGCAGAATCCACAGATGAAAAGCTTTTTCACAGATAGCTTCTTTGTAGTTATAATCACTGGATATACAATTTTCACTATAGGCATCAGTGCGTTCAGAAATGTCCATTCTTAGATTCTACAGAAAGCGTCATTCCAACCAGCTGAATCAAAAGAAAGGCTCAACTCTGTGAGCTGAATGCACACATCACAAAGCTGTTTCACAGACAGCTTCTTTATAGTTTTTTTTTTTGTGAGATATACAGTTTTCAGTATATACCTCAGTGGGTTAAAAATGTCCATATTTAGATTTTACAAAAACAGTGGTTCCAAACCTCTCAATCAAAAGAAAGTTTTAACTCTGTGAGACGAATATGCAGATCTCAAATCAGTTTCACAGATAGCTTCTTCATAGTTTTTAATCGCTGGATATATGGTTTTCACTATAGGCCTCAGTAGGTTCAATAATGTCCCTTTGCTGATTATACAAAACAGTTTTTCCTACATGCTGAATTAAAAGAAAGGTTTAACTCTGTGAGCTGAATCCACACATCAAAAAGCAGTTTCACAAGTAGCTTCTATCTAGTTTTTATCATGGATTATTTGGTTTTCACTATACACCTCAGTGGGTTCAGAAATGCCCATTCTTGGGTTCCACAAAAAGAGTGCTTCCAAACTGGTGAATAAAAAGAAAGGTCTAACTCTGTGAACTGAATCCACAGATAACAAAGCAGTTTCACAGATAGCTTTTTGTAGTTTTCATCGCTGGATATCTAGTTTTCACTGTAGGCTTCAGTGTGTTCAGAAATGTGCATTGTTAGATTCCAAAAGAAGAGTGTTTCCGACCTGATGAATCAAAAGAAAGGTTTAACTCTTTGAGCTGGATCCACACATCAAAAAGCAGTTTCACAGAGAGCTTTTTGTAGTTTTCATCGCTGGATATCCAGTTTTCACTTTAGGCTTCAGTGTGTTCAGAAATGTGCATTGTTAGATTCCAAAAGAAGAGTGTTTCCGACCTGATGAATCAAAAGAAAGGTTTAACTCTTTGAGCTGGATCCACACATCACAAAGCAGTTTCACAGATAGCTTCTTTGTAGTTTTTATCAGGGGATATTCAGTTTTTCTCTACAGGTCTCAGTGCACTCCAAAACGTCTCTTTGCAGATTCTATTTTAAAAAGGGTTTCCAACCTGTGGAATGAAAAGAAAGGTTTAATTCTGTGAGCTGAATCCACACATCACAAAGCAGTTTCATAGATGCTGTCTTTCTAGTTTTTGTCGTGGGTTATACGGTTTTCACTATAGGCCTCAGTGGGCTCAGAAATGTCCCTTCCCAGATTCTACAAAAAGAGTGTTTCAACCTGCTGAGACAAAAGAAAGGTTTAACCCTTCCGGGCTCAGTGCAGGGGCTGCAAAGAAGGAACTGACCTCCAGTGGAGGACCCACGCCTCCCCTTCAGCCTCACCAGTATTTTCCTCGGGCTGACTCAATATCCCCCTGAAAGACTGGGGTCCTCTCCAAGTCCCCCGGGGGAATTCTTGCCACCATTGTGTGCCCCCATGGGAGAGGCACACTCTCTGGGTGAAAGCAAGGGACTCCAAAACTCCCTCAGGGTTGGTGCAGGGGCTGCGCAGAAGGCACTGGCCTCCGGCGGAGGATGCCAGCCTCCTGTTCGGCCTTGCCACTTTTTTCCTTGGACTACCTCAATGTCCCCCGAAAGCACAGTGTCATTTCCCAGTCACCCGGACGATTTCTTGCTGCTTTGGGGTGTCCCCTGTGGGAGAGACACGAACCCTGGATGAAAGCTAGAGACTCCACAACTCCCCCGGGCCCAGTGCATTGGCATCTGGTGGAAGACCCCTGCCTCCTCTTTGGCCTCGCCAGTTTTTCCTCAGGCTGCCTCAACGTCCCTTTTAAAGCCTGGCATTTGGTCTCTGTCCCCAGGGGAAATCTTGACACTTTGGCACTCCCCCCATGGGAGAGACACACACTCTAGGTGAAAACCAGGGACTCCATGACACTCCCTAGCCCAGTGCAGAGGCTGTCCTGAAAGCCCTGGCCTCTGGTGGAGGACCCCTGTCTCCTCTTTGGCCTTGCCACTTTTTTCCACAGGTTGACCCAGCATCCCTCTGAAAGCCTGGCATCTTATCCCCAACTCTGGGGGGACTTCTTTCTGCATTGGGCTGCCCCCTGTGAGAGAGACATGCACCCTGAGTGAAAGCCAGGGACTCCACGACACCCTGGGCCCAACGAAGGAACTGCCAGGAAGGCACTGGCCTTCGGTGGAAGACCCCAGCTTCCTCTTCAGCCTCACCACTTTTGTCTTCAGGATGCCTCAACGTCCCTTTGAAAGCCTGGCATCCTGTTCCCATCACTTGGTGGAATTCTTTCCCCCTTTAGGCTGTTCCCCATGGGAGACTTGTGCATCCTGGGTGAAAACCAGGGTCTCCACGACCCCCTGGGCCCAGCACAAGTGCTGCCGGGAAGGTGTTGGCCTCCAGCAGAGGACCCCAGCCTCCTCTTTGGCTTTGCTGCCTTTTTCCTAGGACTGCCTCAATCTCCCCATGAAAGCCTGGCATCCTGTTCCTTTACCCAGGGGGACTTCTTGCCGCTTTGGTCTGCCCCTGACCCCCACAGGAGAGACATGCACACTGGGTGAAACCCAAGAACTCCATGACACCCCCAGGCCTGGCACAGGGGCTGCCAGGAAGACACTGGCCTGTGGTGGAAAACCTCAGCCTCCTCTTTGGTATCACCACATCCTTGGATTGCCCCAAAATCCCTGTGAAAGCCTGGCGTCCTTTTCTTGTCCCCCTGGGGACATCTTGTTGCTTTGGGCTGCCCCCTGTGGGAAAGACACGCACCTTGGGTGAAAGTCATGGGCTCCACAACCCCACTGGGCACAGTGCAGTGGTTGCTGGGAACCCACTGGCCTCCGGTGGACAACCACAGCCTCCTATTTGGCCACACCACTGTTTAACTCGGGCTTCCTCAATGTCCCCCGGAAAGTCTGGCGTCCTGTCGCCATATCCCAGGGGACTTCTTGCTGCTTTGGGCTACTCCCTGTTGGAGAGTCACGCACTCTCAGTGAAAGCCAGGGACCCCACAAACAACCTCGGTCCTGGCGCAGGGTCTGCTGGGAAGCCAGGGGTTTCCGGTGGAGGATGCCAGACTTTGGCCTCGCCGCTTTTTGTCTTGGGTTGCCTCAACTTCTGCCTGAAAGCCTGGCATCCTGTCCCCATCTTCCAGAGGTCTTCTTGCCACATTGGCGTAACCCCTGTTGGAGAGACATGAACCCTGGGTGAATACCAGGGATTCCATGACCTCCCTGGCCTGGTGCAGAAGCTGCTAGGAAGGCACTGGCCTCCTTTGGAGGACCCCAGCCTACTCTTTGGTTTTGCCACTTTTTTTTTTTGGACTGCCTCAACGTCCCCATGAAAGCCTGGCATCCTGTTCTCATCCCCCGGGGGACTTCTTGTCACTTTGGTCTGCCCCCCATTTAAGACACACACACCATAGGTGAAAGGCAGGGACACCACAACCCCTCCAGTCCCGGCGCAGAGGCTACCATTAAGGCACTGGCTTCTGGTGGAGGATCCCAGCTTCCTCTTCAGCCTTGTCGGCTTTGCCACTTTTTTTTTTTTTTTTTTGGACTGCCTCAACATCCCCATGAAATCCTGGCATCCTGTCTCCTTCCCCTGGGGTCTTCTTGCCACTTTGGGCTGAGTCCTGTGGGAGAGAAACACCCTGGATGAAAGCCAGGGACTACAAGACTTCCTCGAGCTTGGCGCAAAGGCTGCCCGGAAGGCACTGGCCTCCAGCGGAAGATCCGAGCTTCCTCTTCAGCCTCGTCACTTTTTTCCTTGGGCTGCCACAATGTCCCCCTGAAAGCCTGACATCTTGTCCCCATCCCCCAGTGGACTTCTTGCCCCTTTTGGATGCCCCCCGTGGGAGACACACGCACCCTTGGTGAAAGCCAGGGACTCCACAACCACCCAAGGCCCAACGCAGGGGCTGCCCAGAAGGCACTGGCCTCTGGTGGAGGACCCCAGACTCCTCTGGCCTCACTGCTTTTTTTTTCCGAGATGCCTCAACGTTTCTCTGAAAGCTTGGCATCTTATCCCAATCCCCCAGGGGACTTCTTCCCACTTTGGGCTGCCCCCCATGAGAGAGACACGCACCCTGGGTGAAAGCCAGGGACCCAACGACCAACCCCCAGGCCCGGGGCAGGGGATGCATGGAAGGCACTGGCCTCCGGTGGAGTACCACAGCCTCCTCTTCTGCCTTGCCATTTTTTTCCTTTGACTGCCTCAACGTCCCCCTGAAAGCCTGGCGTCCTGTCCTTGTACTCCGGGTGACTTCTTGCATCTTTGCGGTGCCTCCTGTAAGAGAGACATGCACTCTGAGTGAAAGCCAGGGACTCCAGGACACCCCTGGGCTTGGTGCAGGGGCTGCCAGGAAGGCACTAGCCTCCAGTGGAAAATGACAGCCTCTTCTTTGGCCACACAGCTTTTTTCCTAGGGCAGCTTCAATGTCCACCTTCAGGTGGTTAGGCGACAGCCTGGTGTTCTGTTGCTGTCCCCAGGGGGAATTCATGCCAATTTGGGTTCCCCCCATGAGATCGGCAGGCACCCCAGGTCCAAGACATAAACACCACGACCCACCTGGGCCCAGCACAGAGGCTGCCAGGATAGGCACTGGCCTCCAGTGGACGACCCTAGCCTTTTGTTTGGCCTCGCAGCTTTTATCCTCGGGCTGCCTCAACGTCTCCATGAAAGCCTGTGGTCCTGTCCCCGTCCCCAGGGGCACTTCTTGCCACTTGGGCTGCCCTCCATGGAAGAGACACACACCTTCAGTAAAAGCCAGGTACTCCACAAGCCCCCAGGCCTGGCACAGGAGCTGCCAGGGAAGCACTGGCGTCCGGTTGAAGACCCCAGCCTCCTCTTTGGCCTCTCCACTTTTTCCCTTGGGCTGTGTCAACTCCTTCCTGAAAGCCAAGCATCCTGTCCCAGTCCCCCGAGGGACTTCTTGCCACTTGGCTTGCCCCACATGGGAGAAACATGCACCCTGGGTGAAAGCCAGGGACTCCACGACCCCCCAGGACCTGGTGCAGGGGTTGCCGGGAAGACACTGGCCCCTGGTAGACAACCTCAGCCTCCTTTCAGCCTTGCCACTGTTTTCTTTGTGCTGCCCCAACGTTCCCCTAAAAGCCTGACGTCAAGTCCCCATCCCCAGGGGGAATTCTTACTGCTTTGGTGTGCCCTCCATGGGAGATACACACCCCCTGGTTGAAAACCAGGGACTCCACGACCCCCACAGGCAAGGAGGAGATGCTGCCGGGAAGACACTGGCCTCTGGTGGAGCACCCCAGCCTCCTCTTTGGCCTTGCTGCTTTTTTCCTTGGGCTTCCTCAACATACCCCTGAAAGCCTGACATCCTCTCCCTATCCCCAGGTGGACTTCTTGTCACTTTGGGCTTCCCCTCGTGGGAGGGACATGCACCCTGGGTGAAAGCCAGGGACTCCACAACCCCCGGGCCCAGCACATGGTGCTCGAGAAGGCAATGGCCTCCAGTGGAGGATGGCAGCCTCCTCTTTGACCTCGCCGGTTTTCTCCTTGGGCTGCCTCAAATTCCCCCTAAAAGCCTCTCGTCCAGTCCCTGTCCTCCTGGGGAGATTTTGGCCCTTTGGGGTGACCCCCATGGGGAAGACATGCACCCTTGGTGAAAGCCAGGGACTCCACGACACCCCGGGACTGGCACAGGGGCTGCCGGCAGGCACTTGCCTCCAGTGGAGTACCCCAGCTTCCTCTTCAGCCTTGCTGCTTCTTTTTTTGGGCTGCCTCAACTTCTTCCACAAAGCCTGGCTTCCTGTTTTTTTTCTCCAGGGACGTCTTGACTTTTTGGGCTGCCCCTCGTGGGAGACACGCAACCTGGGTTAAAACCAGGGACTCTACTACTCTCCCTGGCCCGACGCAGGGGCTGCCGGGAAGGCAATGTCGTCTGGTGGATGACCCCAACCTTCTCTTCAGCCTCGCTGCTTTTATCCTCGGGCTGCCTCAATGTCCCCCTGAAAGCCTGGCATCCTGTCCCCGTACCCCGGTGGACTTCTTGCCACTTTAGGATGTTCCCTGTAGGAGAGACACACTCCCTAGGTTAAAGCCAGGGACTCCACAAACCCCCTGGGCCCAGTGCAGTGGCTGTTGGGAAGGCAATGGCTTCTGGTGGAGGACCCCAGCCTCGTCTTCAGCCTGACTACTTTTTTCCTCGGGCTGCCTTAATGTCCCCCTAAAAGCCTGGCATCTCCCTGCCCCCCGGGGTCTTCCTGCTGCTTTGGGGTGCCCCCGTGGGAGAAACACGCACCCTAGGTGAAAGCCAAAGACTCCATGACCCCCTCTGGGCCCAGCGCAGGGGCTGCAGACAAGGCACTGGCCTCTGGTGGAAGACCCCAGCCTCCTCTTTGGCCTTGCCAGTTTCTTCTTTGGGCTGCCTTAACGTCCCCCTGAAAGCCTGGAGTTCTGTCGCTGTCCCTTGGGGGAATTCTTGCTGCTATGGCTTGCCCCCCGTGGGAGGGACACACACCCTGAGTGAAAGCCAGGGACTCCACGACCCCACCCCCAGGCCCAGCGCAGGGGCTGCCCGGAAGGCATGGGCTTCTGGTAGAGGACCCCAGCCTACTCATCATCCTCACCACTTTTATCCTCGGGCTGCCTCAAAATCCCACTGAAAGCCTGGCGTCCTGTTCACGTCCCTTGGGGGACTTCTTGACAATTTGCTCCCCTTAAGAGTGACACACACCATGGGTGAATGCCAGGGACTCCACAACTCACTCGGGCCCCTTGCCAGAGCTGCCGGAAAGGCACTGACCTCTGGTGGAGGATCCAAGCCTACTCTTCAGCCTTGCTGCTTTTTTCCTTGGGCTGCCTCAACCTCCCCCTGAAAGCCTGGTGTCCTGTAACTGTTCCCCTAGGGATATCTTCCCACTTTGCGGTGCCCCCCATGGGAGAAACACACACCCTTGGTGAAAGCCAGGGACTCCACGACCCCCTTGGGCCCGGCTCTGGAACTGCTGGAAAGGCACTGGTCTCTGGTAGAGTACACCAGCCTCCTATTCGGACTCGCCACTTTTTTCCTCCAGCTGCCTCAATGTCACCCTGAAATCCTGGCATCGTGACCACGTCCCTCGGGGACTTCTTGCCATGTTGGGCGGCCGCCTGTGGGACAGACACACACACCCTGTGTGAAAGCCAGGGACTCCACAACCCTGCAGGGCCCAGGACAGGAGCTGCTGGGAAGGTACTGGCCTCCAGTGGAAGACTTCAGCCTCCATTTCAGCCTCGCCGCTTTTTTCCTCAGGCTGCTTCAACGTACCCCTGAAAGCCTGGCATCCTGTTTCAGTCACTCGGGATACTTATTGCCACTTTGGGGAGCTCCCCCGTAGGAGAGACATGCACCCTGCATGCGTGGCCTGAGAAAAAAGTGGTGAGGACAAAGAGGAGACCAGGATGCCCCACCAGAAGACAGCGCTTTCCCGGCAGCCCCTGCGCATGACCCAGGTGGGTGGTGGAGTCCCTGACCCCACTAGGGGTGTGTGCCTCTCCCACAGAAGGCACCACAAAGCAGCAAGAAGTCCCCCAGGGAACAGAGAAAGGCAGCCAGGCTTTCAGAGGGGAGGTTGAGGCAGGCTTGGGACAAAATAGGGAAGGCCAAAGAGGACGCCTGGGTGCCTCGCCAGAGGTCAGTGCCTTCCTGGAAGCTCCCGAGCCCGATCTGGGGGAGTCCTGACGTCCCTGGCCCTCATGCAGGGTGCGTGTCTCTGCCACAGAAGGCACCTTAAAGCCGCAAGAAGTCCCCAGGGGACAGAGACAGGCGGCCAGGCTTTCAGGGGGAGGATGAAGTAGGCCTGGGACAAAAGCGGCGAGGCCAAACAAGGTCAGGGTGCCCCACAGGAGGTCAGGGCCCTCCTAACAACCCCTGCGCCCAAACCGGGGGTGTCGTGGAGTCCCTGGCTCCCACCAGGGGCACGTGTCTCTCCCACCGAGGACACCCCAAAGCTGCAAGAATTCTCCCGGTGGACAAAGACAGGTGGCTAGGCTTTCAGGGGGAAGTTGAGGCAGGCCTCAGACAAAAGCAGTGAAGCCAAAGAGGAGGCCCAGGCGACCCGCTGGAGGTCAGGGCCTTCCTGGCAGCCCCCGCACCTGACACGGGGCCGGGTGTTGTAATATCCCCAGCTCCCAACAGTGGTGCGTGTCTTTCACTGAAGGCACCCCAAATCGGCAAGGAGTCCCCCTAGGGATGGAGACAGACAGCCAGGCTTTCAAGGGGAGTTTGAGGCATGCCTGGGACAAAAGCGGCAAGGAAAAAGACAAAGCCTGGGTGCCCTGCCATAGGTCAGGGCCTTCCCGACAGCCCCAGTGCCAGACTCAGGGGAGGAGTCCTGGCTTCTTCCACGCGTGCATGTCTCTCCCACCGAAGGCACCCCAATGCAGAAAGAATTCCCCCAGGGGATGGAGACAGGTGTCCAGGCTTTCAGGGGGAGGTTGAGGCAGGCCAGAGACCAAAGCAATGAAGCCAAAGAGAAGGCCTGGGTGCCACACCGGTAGTCGGGGCCTCCCCGGCAGTTCCCTTTCCCGACCTGGGGGTATCGTGCAGTCCCTGGTGCCCACTTGGGGTGCGTGTCTCTCCCACCCAAGTCAACCCAAAGTGTCACTCAGTCCCCCAAGGGACAGAGACAGGCGGCCAGGCTTTCAGGAGGAGGTTGAGGGAGGGCTGGGACAAAAGCGGTGAGGCCAAAGAGGAGGCTGGGGTGCCCCAACTAAGGTCAAGGTCTTCCTGGCAGCCCCCACACCCGATCTGGGGTGGTCGTAGAGATTCTGACTCCCACCCAGGGTGCGCGTCTCTCCAAACGAAGTCCTGCCAATCTGCAAGAAGTCCCCCGGGAGACGGAGACAGGTGGCCAGGCTTTCAAAGGGAGGTTGAGGCAGGCCTGGGACGAAAGCAGCAAGGCTAAAGAGGAGGCCATGGTGTCCTGCCAGAGGTCAGGGCCTTCCCGGCAGGCCCTGCACCCATCCCAGAGTTGGTCGGGGAGTCCCTGGCTCCCATCCAGGGTGTGTGTCTAACTCACCAAAGGCACCCTGAAATGGCAAGAAGACTTCTGGCAGATGGAGACAGGCGGACAGGCTTTCACGGGGAGGTTTAGACAGGCCTGGGATAAAAGCAGCAAAGCCAAAGAGGAGGCCAGGGTGCCCCAACGGAGGTCACGGCCTTCCTGGCTGCCACCATGCCCGACCCTTGGGTGGTCGTGGAGTCTGTAGCTCCCACCCAGAATGCATGTTTCTCCAACTGAAGCTATCCCAAAGCTGCAGAAAGTCCCCTGGGGTACAGAGACAGGCAGCCAGGCTTTGACGCAAAGGTTGAGGCAGGCCTGGGACAAAAGCAGCGAGGCCAAATAGGAGGCCGAGGTGCACTGCCAGCAATCAGGGCCTTTTTGGAAGCATTTGCTCCCGACTCGGTGGTGTCGTTGAGTCCCTGTCTATTACACGAGGTGTGTGTCTCAACCACCGACGGCACCCCAAACTGGCAAGAAGTCCTCTGGGGGATGGAGGCAAGTGGCCAGGCTTTCAGGGGGGAGGTTGAAGCAGGCCTGGGACAAAAGTGGCAAATCCAAAGAGGAGGCCAGGGTGCCTAGCTGGAGGCCAGGGCCTTCCCATCAGCCACTGAGCCTGACCCGCGGACGGGTCATGCAGTCCCTGGCCCCAACCCGGGGTATGTGTCTCTCCCACTGTAGGCACCCCAAAGCGGCAAGAAGTCCCACTGGAGATGAAGACAGGCAGCCAGGCTTTCAGGCAGAGGTTGAGGCAGGCCTGGGACAAAAGCAATGAGGCCAAAGAGGAGGCTCGGGTGACCTGCTGGATGTCAGGGCCTTCCTGGCAGCCACTGCGCCCCACCCAGGGAGTCGGGGAGCCCCTGGTTTCCACTCAGTGTGCGTGTTTCTCCCACTGAAGGCACCATAAAGCAGCAAGAAGTCCCCAGGGAAACAGAGACAGGCGGCCAGGCTTTCAGGCAGAGGTTGAGGCAGGCCTGGAACGAAAGCAGCCAGGCCAAAAAGGAGGCCCAGGAGCCACGCCGGAGGTCAGGGCCTTCCCAGTAGAACCCGCACCTGATCTGGGGTGGTCGTGGAGATTCTGGCTCCCACCCGGGGTGTGGGCCTCTCCAAGCAAAGTCCCCCCGAGCTGCAAGAAGTACTCCAGGGGTCGGAAACAGGCAGCCAGGGTTTTAGGCAGAGGTTGAGACAGGTCTGAGACAAAAGCGGTGAGGCAAAAGAGGAGGCCGGGGTGCTTTGCTGGAGGTCAAAACCTTCCCGGCAACCCCCGCATCCAAAGCAGAGGGGGTTGTGGAGTCCCTGGCTCCCAGCCATGGTGCGTGTCTCTCCCACCAAAGGCACCCGAAAGTGGCAAGAAATCCCCTATGGGACAAAGAAAAAGGTGGCCAGGCTTTCAAGCGGCAGTTGAGGCAGGCCCGGCACAAACGCAGTGAGGCAAAAGAGGATGCCGGGGTGCCCCTCCAGAGGTCAGTGGCTTCCCAGCAGCCCTCATGCTCAATTTTGGGGGGTTGTGGTGTCCCTGGCTCTCATGTAGAGTGCATGTCTCTCCCGCAGAAGGCACCTGAAAGTGGCAAGAAGTCCCTTAGAGGACAGAGACAGGCGGCCAGGCTTTCATGGGGAGGTTGAGGCAGGCCTGGGACAAAAGCAGAGAGGCCAAAGAGGAGGTCAGGGTGCCCTGCAGGAGGTCAGAGCCCTCCCAACAACCCCCATGCCAGAACCGGGGGCTTCATGGAGTCCCTGGCTCCCACCCAGGGTGGGTGTCTCTCCCACCGAAGACACCCCAAAGCTGCAAGAAGGCCCCTGGGGGACAAAGACAGGCAGTGGCGAGGCTTTCTGAGAGAGGTTGAGGCAGGCCTCGGACAAAAGCAGAGAGGCGAAAGAGGAGGCCCGGGTGACCTGCCGGAGGTCAGGGCCTTCCTGGCAGCCCCTGTGCCTGACACGGGGCGGGGTTCATAGTGTCCCTGGCTCCCACCACAGGTGCGTGTCTCTTTCAATGAAGGCACCCCAAATTGGCAAGAAGTGCCCCGGGAGATGGAGACAGGCAGCCAGACTTTTAAGGGCAGTTTGAGGCATGCCTGGGACAAAAGCAGTGAGGAAAAAGACAAGGCCGGGGTGCTCTGCCGTAGTCCTGGAGTCCCTGGCTTCCACCACGGGTGCGTGTCTCTCCCACTAAAGGCACCCCAATGTGGAAAGAATTCCCCCGGGAGACAGAGACCGATGTCCAGGCTTTCAGGGAGAGGTCAAGGCAGGCCAGAGACCAAAGCAGTGAGGCCAAAGAGAAGGCCTGGGTGCCACGCTGGAAGTCAGGGCCTCCTCGGCAGTTCCTGCTCCTGACCCGGGGGCATCGTGGAGTCACTGGTTCCCACCCAGGGTGCATGTCTCTCCCACCGAAGGCAACCCAGAGTGGCAAGCAGTCCCCCAAGAGATAGAGACAGATGGCCAGGCTTTCAGGAGGAGGTTGAGGCAGGCCTGGGACAAAAGCGGCGAGGCCAAAGAGGAGGCCGGGGTGCCCCACCAGAGGTTAAGGTCTCCCTGGCTAGCCCTGTGCCCACCCCTGGGGGGTCGGGGAGTCCCTGACTCCCACCCTGGATGCATGTCTATCCCATTGAAACCACGGCAAAATGGCAAGAAGACTTCTGGGGGATAGAGACAGGCAGACAGGCTTTCAGGGGGAGGTTTAGACAGGCCTGGGACAAAAGCGGCAAGGCCAAAGAGGAGGCCAGGGTGCCCCAACAGAGGTCACGGCCTTCCCGGCTGCCACGGCACCTGACCCTCGGGTGGTCGTGGAGTCCATAGCTCCCACCCGGAATGCGTGTCTCTCCCACCAAAGGCACCCCAAAGTGGCAAGGAGTCCCCCAGGAGACGGAGACATGTGGCCAGGCTTCCAGGGGAAGGTTGAGGAGGCCAAGGTGCCCTGCCAAAGGTCAGGGACTTCCCGGCAACCCCTGTGCCCAACGTAGGATGTGTGACTCTCCCATGGAACGCACCCCAAAGAGGCAAGAAGTCCCCCAGCCTTTCAGAAGGAGGTTGAAGCAGGCTTGGAACAAAAACCGCAAGGGCAAAGAGGAGGCCTGGGTGCCACACCAGAAGTCAAGGCCTTCCAGGCAGACCCTGAGCCCAATCTGTGGGGTCGTGGAGTCCCTGGCTACCACCCCGGGTGTGTTTCTCTCTCACTGAAGATACCCCAAAGCGACAAGAAGTTCCATGGGGGACTGAGACAGGCGGGTAGGCTTTCAGGGGGAGGTTGAAAAGGCAAGGGTGCCCTGCCAGAGGTCAGGGACTTCCTGGCAGCCCACACGTCCTACCCTCAGGGCCGTGGAGTGTCTGGCTCCCAACTGGAGTGTGTGTCTCTCCCACTGAAGGCACCCAAAAGCAGCAAGAATTCCCCCGGGGAATGGAGACAGGAGGCCAGGCTATCAGGGGCAGGTTGAGGAGACTGGGGTGCTCTGGCAGAGGTCAGGGCCCTCCCGGAAGCTACCGTGCGGGAACCCAGGGGGTCATGGAGTTCCTGGCTTCCACCCAGGTTGTGAATCTCACCCACCAAAGGCACCCCGAACAGGCAAAAGTCCCCCTGGAGACAGAGACAGGTGGCCAGGTTTTCAGGGGGAGGTTGAGGAGGCCGGGGTGCCCCGCCAGAGGTCAGGGACTTCCTGGCAGGCCCTGCCCCCCGACCCGGGTGGTCGTGGGGTCCTTGACCCCCACCAGGGATGCATGACTCTTCCACCGACAGCACCCCAAAGCGGCAAGAAGTCCCCCGGTTGATGGAGACAAGTGGCCAGGCTTTCAGGGGGAGTTTGAGGAGGCCAGGGTGCTTCGCCAGCGGTCAGAACCTTCCCGGCAGACCCCACACTCTACCTGGGTGGGTTGTGGAGTCCCTGGCGCTCACCTGGGGTGCTTTTATTTTCCACTGAAGGAACCTCAAAGCAGCAAGAAGTCCCCTGGGGAACAAAGACAGGCGGCCGGGCTTTCTAGAGGAGGTTGAGGAGGATGGGGTGCCCTGCTGAATGACAGGGCATTTCCAGTAGACACTGCCCCCAACCCACTGGGGGCATGGAGTCCCTGGCTCCCACCAGAAGTGTGTGTCTCCCCCACTGAAGGCAACCCAAAGCGGCAAGTCCATTGGGGGACAGAGACAGGCAGCCAAGCTTTCAGGGTGTGGTTGAGGCAGGCCTGGGGAAACAGCAGCAAGGTCAAAGAGGAGGCTGGGGTGCCCCGCCGGAGGTCAGTGCCTTCCCGGCAGCCCCTGTGCCCTACCAGGGGTGTTCGTGGAGTACCTGTCTCCCAAGCTGGGTGCGTGTCTCTCCCACCGAAGGCACCCCAAAGGGGCAAGAAACCCCCATGGACGGAGACAGGTGGCCAGGCTTTCAGGGGGAGGTTGAGGAGGTGGGGTGACCTCCCTGAAATCAGGTCTTTCCTGGCAGCCCCAGTGCCCTAACTAGGGTGCATGTCTCTCCCAATAAAGGCACCCCAAAGTTTCAAGAAAAGTCCCCTGGTGGATGGAGACAGGCTGCCACGCTCTCAGGGGAAAGTTGAGGCAGCCATGGGACAAAAGCGGTGAGACCAAAGAGGAGGCCAGAGTGCCCTGCTGAAAACCAGGGCCTTCCCGGAAGCCACGGAACCCGACTTTTTGGGTCGTGGAGTCCGCGCCTCCCACCCAGGGTGTGTGTCTCTTTCACTGAAGGCACCCCAAAGTGGAAAGAAGTTCACCAAGGGATGGAGACAGACATCCAGGCTTTCAGGGGGAGGTTGAGGAGGCCCAGGTGCCCCACTGGAGGTCAGGGCCTTCCAGGCATCCCCCTCACATGACCAATGGGGGTTGTGGAGTCCCTGGCTTCCACCCTGGTTGTGTCTCTCCCACAAAAGGCACCCCAAAGTGGCAAGAAGTCCCCCGGGGGACAGAGACAGGCAGCCAAGATTTCAGGGAGTGGTTGAGGGGGCCTGGGTTACCCGCCTGAGGTCTGCGCCTTCCTGGCAGCCTTTGTGCCCATCCCACATGGGTCGTGGAATCCCTGGCTTCCTCCCAAGGTGTGTGACTCTCCCACTGAAGGCACCCCAAAGCGGCAAGAAGTTTCTTGGGGGATGGGACAGGCAGCCAGGCTTTCAGGGGGAGGTTGAAGCAAGCCTGGGACAAAAGCGGCAAGGCCAAAGAGGAGGTCGGTGTGCCCCGCTGGAGGTCAGGGCCTTCCTGGCAGCTGCTGCACCCAGCCCAAGGGGGTCGTGTAGTACCTGGTTCCCACCCGGGATGCGTGTCTCTCCCACCGATCGCACCCCAAAGCAGCAAGAAGCCCCCAGGGAAATGGAGACAGGCGACCTGGTTTTTAGGGGGAGGTTGAGGAGGCCGGCGTGCCCCATCAGGGGTCACGGCCTCCTTGGCAGCCCCCGCACCCCACCCAGGGGAGTCGTGAGGCCCCTGTCTTCCACTGGGGTTGTGAGTCACCACCACTGAGCACACCCCAAATCGGTAAGAAATCGCCTAGGGGACAGAGACAGGGGGTCAGTCATTCAGGGGGAGGTTGAGGAGGCCAGGGTGCCTTGCCGGAGGTCAGCGCCTTTGCAGCAGCTGCTGCGCCAGACCCAGACGGATCATGGAGTGCATTGCTTCCATCCTTTGTGCATATCTATTCCACTGAAGGCAACCCAAAGTGGCAAGAAGTCCCGTGGGGGAAGAGACAGGTGGTCAGGCTTACAAAAGCAGCTTGAGGCAGGCCTGGGACAAAAGTGGCGAGGCCACAGAGGAGCCCGGGGTGCCCTGACACAGGTCAAGGCCTTCCAGGCAGTGCCCCTGGCTGACTCGGGGTTTCGTGGTTTCCCTGGCTTTCATCCAGGGTGCGTTTCCCTCACACTGAAGGCACCCAAAAGCAGCAAGAAGTCCCCCGGGAAACAGAGACAGGCGGCCAGGCTTTCACAGGGAGTTTTAGGAGACCCGGGTGGCTGCCAGAGTTCAGGGCCTTCCCAGCAGCTTCCTCGCCTGACCTGGTGGTCAGAGACAGGAGACCAGGGTTTCAGGGGGAGGTTGAGGAGGCCGGGGTGCCCCGCCAGAGGTCACGGCCTTTCCGGTAGCCCCCGTGCCCGAACCGGAGGAGTCGTGGAGTCCCTGGCTCACACCTGGGCTGTGTGTCTCTCCCACCAAAGGCACACCAAAGCTACAAGAAATCCCCCTGGGGACAGAGACAGGTGGCCAGGCTTTCAGGGTGAGGTTGAGGAGGCCAGGATATCCCACCTGAGATCAGGGCCTTTTGGGCAGCATTTGTGCCCGACCTGGGGTGCATGTCTTTACCACAGAAGGCACCGCAATGCGGCAAGAAGTCCCCCAAGGGACAGAGACAGGAGCCCAGGCTTTCAGAGGGAGGTTGAGGCAGGCCTGGGACAAAGTCAAAGAGGATGCCAGGGTGCCCCACCAGAGGTCAGGGCCTTCCTGTCGGCAACTGCACCCAACCTGAGTGGATCATGGAGTCCCTGGATCCCAACCGGGGTGCGTTTCTCTCACAACAAAGTCACCCCAAAGTGATAAGAATTCCCCCGGGGGACAGAGACAGGTGGCCAGTCTTTCAGGGGGAGGTTGAGGAAGCTGGGGTGCCATGTCTGAGTCAGGGCCTTCCCGGCAGCTCTCACGCCTGAACCGGGGGTGTCGTGGATTCCCTGTCTCCCTCCCGGGGTGCGTGTCTCTCCCACCAAAGGCACCCCAAAGTGGCAAGAAGTTTCCTGGGAAACAGAGACAGGCGACCTGGCTTTTGGGGATAGGTGAGGAGGCAGGAGTGCCCTGCCAGAGGTCAGGGCCTTCCTGGCAGTCCATGCGCCCAATCCAGGGGGGTCGTAGAGTCCCTGGCTCATACCCAGGGTGTGTGTCTCTCCCACTGAAGGCACCCCAAAGTGGCAAGAAGTCCCCCGGGGGACGGAGACTGGTGGCCAGGCTTTCAGGAGGAGGTTGAGACTGGACTGGGACAAAAGCCAGGAGGCCAAAAAGGAGGCCAGGGTACCCCACTGGAAGTCAGTGCCTTCCCGGCAGCCCCTGCGCCTGACCCAGGTGGGTCTTGGGGTCCCTGCCTCTCACCCGAGGTGTGTGTCTCTCCCACCGAATGCACGTGCGCCCCAAAGCAGCAAGAAACTCCCCTGGGGATGGAGACAGGTGGCCAGGTTTTCAAAGGAAGTTGAGGAGGCCAGTTTGCCCCACCAGAGGTCAGAGCCTTCTCTGCAGCCCCCGCGCCCAACCATGGTGGGTTGTGGAGTCCCTGGCTCCCAGCCAGGGAGCGTGTCTCCCACTGAATGCACCCCAAAGTAGCAAGAAGACCCCAGGGGATGGAGACAGTCGGCCACGCTCTCAAGGAGAGGTTGAGACAGGCCTGTGACAAAGCGACAAGGCCAAAAAGAGGCCGGGGTGCAGGGCCGGAGGTCTGGGCCTTCCCAGCAGCACCTGCACCTGACCCAGTGGGGTCATGGAGTCCCTGGATCCCACCTGGAGTGCATTTCTCCACCACCGAAGGCACCCCAAAACGGCAAGAGGTCCCCGGGTGATGAAGACAGGTGGCCAGGCTTTCAGTGGGAGGTTGAGGCAGGCCTGGGACAAAAGCAGCGAGGCCAGAGGCTGTAGTGCTTTTCCAGAGGTCAGTGCCTTCCTGGCAGCCCAAGCACCTGACCCGGTGGGGTCGTGTAGTCCCTGGCTCCCACCCGGTGTGTGTGTTTCTTCCACCGAAGACACCTTAGAGAAGCAAGAAGTGCCCCAAGGGATGGAGACAGGCATCCAGGATTTCAGCAGGAAGTTGAGGAGGCAGGTTTGCCCCGCCAATGGTCAGGGCCTTCTCTGCAGTCCCTGTGCCTGACCCAGGGGGGTCATGGTGTTTCTGCCTCCCACTCGGGGTGTGTGTCTTTCACCAAAGGCACCCCAAAGCAGCAAGAAGTCCCCCGGGGGACAATGACAGGCGTCCAGGCTTTCAGGGAAAGGTTGAGGAGGCCGGCGTACCCCACTAGAGGTCAGGGCCTTCCCGGCAGCTCCCTCACTCAACCCGTGGGGGTCATGGAGTCCGTGGCTCACGTTCGGGGTGCATTTCTCTCCCACCAAAGGCACCCCAAAGTGCAAGAAGTCCCCCCGGGGAAGGAGACCGGCAGCCAGGCTTTCAGGCAAAGGTTGAGACAGGCCTGGGACAAAAGTGGTGAGGCCAAAGAAGAGGCCAGTGTGCCCTGCTGGAGGTCAGGGCCTTCCCGGCAGACACCATGCCCAGCCTGTGTGGGTTGTGGAACCCCTGCCTCCCACCAGCGATGTGTGTCTCTCCCACCGAAGGCACACCAAAGCGGCAAGAAGTTTCCCGGGGGATGGAGACAGGCGTCCAGGCTTTCAGGGGAAGGTTGAGGAGGCCGGAGTGCCCTGCCAGGAGTCAGGGCTTTCCCGGCAGCCCTTGTGCCTGACCCATGGGTGCCTGACCCCTTGCCTGAACCAGTGGGGTCGTGGAAACCCTGGCTCCAACTCTGGGTGCGCGTCTTCCACCAAAGGCACCACAATGTGGCAAGAAGTCCCCCGGAAGGCAGAGACAGGTGGCCAGGCTTTCAGGGGGAGATTGAGGAGGCCAGCATGTCTTGTGAGAGGTCAAGGCCTTCCCGGGAGCCCCCGCACCCAACCCAGGGGGGTCGTGGAGTCCGTGGCTCCCACCCATGGTATGTGTCTCTTCCACCGAAGGCACCCCAAAGCAACAAGAAGTCCCCTGGTAGACAGAAACGGGCTGCCAGGCTTTTAGGGGGAGGTTGAGGCAGGCCTGGGACAAAAGGGGTGAGCCCAAAGTGGAGGCCTGCATGCCCTGCTGTATGTCACGGCTTTCCAGGCAGACCCCGTGCCTGAACTGGGGGGTCATCGAGTCCCTGGCTCCCACCCTGGGTGCGTGTCTCTCCCACCAAAGGCACTCCAAAACGGCAAGAAGTCCCTCGGGGGACAAAGACCAGCGGCCAGGTTTTCAGGGAGTGGTTGAGGAGGCCGGGATGCCCCACCAGAGGTCAGGACCTTTTCAGCTGCCATTGTGCCCAACCCAGGGGGATGGTGAAGTCCAGGGCTCCCAACCAGTGTGAGTGTCTCTCCCACACAAGGCACCTTAAAGCAGCAATAATCCGCTGAGGATGGAGACAGGCAGCCAGGCTTAGAAGGAAAGGTTGAGGAGGCTGGGGTGCCCCATCAAAGGTCAAGGAACTTTTGGCAACCCTGGCGCCCAACCCAGGGATCATGGAGTCCCTGGCTTCCACCCGGAATGCGTGTCTATCCCACTGAAGTCATGCCAAAGTGGCAGGAAGTCCGCTGGAAGACGGAGACAGGTGGCCAGGCTTTCAGGGGCAGGTTGAGGATGCTAGGGTGCCATGTCTGAAGTCAGGGTTTACCCAGCAGTCCTAGCGCTTGACCCAGGGGGAGTTGTGGAGTCCCTGGCTCCCTCCCTGGGTGTGTGTCTCTCCCACTGAAGGCACCCCAAAGCAGCAAGAAGTTTTCTGGGGGACAGAGACAGGTGAACAGGCTTTCAGGGGGAGGTTGAGGCAGGCCTGGGACAAAATGGGAAAGGCTAGAGAGGAGGCCGAGGTGCCTCGCCAGAAGTCAAGGCATTTCCAGCAGCCCCCATGCCCTACTGGAGGTGTCTTGGGTTCCCTGGCTTTCACTTGGGGTGTGTGTCTGTCTTACTGAAGGCACCCCAAAGTGGCAAGAAGTCCCCCGGGGGACGGAGATAGGTGGCCAGGCCTTCATGGGGAGGTAGAGAAGGCTGGAGTGCCCCGCCTGAGGTCAGGGCCTTCCCGGCAACCACAGTGCCCGAACCTGGGGGGTTGTGGAGTCTTTGGCTTGCACCCAGGGTGTGTGTCTCTCCCACCGAAGGCACACCAAAGCGGCAAAAAGTTTCCCGGGGGGCAGAGATAGGCGGCCAGGCTTTCAGGGAAAGGTTGAAGAGGCTGGGATGCCCCGGCTGAGGTCAGGGCCTGCCTGGCAGCTTCCGCACCTGACCCGGGCTTTGGTGGCATCCCTGGCTCCCACCTGGCGTGGGTGTCTCTTTCATCGAAGGCACCTCAAAGCAGCAAGAACTCTCCCTGGGGACGGAGACAGGCGCCCAGGCTTTCAAAGGGAGGTTGAGGCAGGCCTGGAAAAAAGCTGTGAGGCCAAAGAGGGGACTGGGGTGCCCCAGTGGAGGTCAAGGCCTTGACCCCCCGTGCCCGAACCTGGGAGGTCATGGATTCCCTTGCACCCAACTGGGGTGCGTGTCTTTCCCACCTAAGGCACCCAAAGTGGCAAAAAGCCCCCGGGGGATGGAGACAGGAAGCCAGACTTTCAGGGGGAGGTTGAGGAGGCCAGGGTGTCCCGCCGGAGGAAAGGGTTTCTTTGGCAGACCCCATGCCCGATCCGGTGGGGTTGTGCAGTCTCTGGCTTCCTCCAGGGGTGCGTGTCTGTTCCAGCAAAGGCACCCCAAAGCAGAAAGATGTCCCCCGGGGTACAAAGACAGGAGGCCAGGCTTTCAGAGGGAGGTTGAGGCAGGGCAGGGACAAAAGCATCAAGGCCAAAGAAGAGGCTGGGGTGCCCTGCCGGAGGTCAGAGCCTTCCCGGCAGCCCTAACAACTGACCCGGGAGGGTCGTGGAGTGCCTGGCTTTCACCCAGGGTGTTTGTCTCTCCAACCAAAGGCGCCCCAAAGTGGCAAGATCTCCCGGCAGACCCCGTGCCCAAAGCGTGAGGGTCATGGAGTCCCTGGTTCCCACCTAGGGAGAGTGTCTTTCTTACCGAAGGCACCCCAAAGCAGCAAGAAGTCCCCCAGAAGACAGAGACAGGTGGCCAAGCTTTCAAGGAGAGGTTGAGGAGACTGGGGTGCCCCGCCTGAAGTAAGGGATTTCCCGGCAGCACCTGCTGCCCCTGGGCAGGGTCGTGGAGTCCCTGGCTCCCACCCGGGGTGCATGTCTCTCCCACCGAAGGCACTGCAAAGTGGCAATAAATCCCCCAGAGGACAGAGACAGGTGGCCAGGCTTTCAAGGAGAGGTGGAGGCAGGCCTGGGACAAAAGAGGTGAGGCCCATGAGGAGGCTGGGGTCCCCTACTGGAGGTCATGACCTTCCTGGCAGCCCCGCGCCCAACCCGGGGGGGTTGTGGAGTCCCTGGCTCCCTCCGGGGTTGTGTGCCTCTCCCACCGAAGGTACCACAAAGTGGCAAGATTTCCCCTGGGGGTTGGAGATAGGCCGCCAGGCATTCAGGGGGAGGTAGAGGCAGGCCTGGGACAGAAGTGGCGAGGCCAAAGAGGAGGCCGGGGTGCCCCACCAAAGGTCAGGGCCTTTTCCACGGCCTACCGGTGTGGTCGTAGAGTCCCTGGCTCCCACCTGTGGTGCGTGTCTTTCCCACCGATGGCATCTAAAGCAGCAAGAAGTCCCCTGGAGAACAGAGACAGGCGGCCAGGCTTAAAGGGGGAGGTTGAGGCAGGCCTCGGAGAAAAGTGGTGAGGCCAAACAGGAGACCGGGGTGCCCCGCCAGAGGTCAGGGCCTTCCCAGCAGCCCTGGTGCCTGACCCGGAGGTGTTGTGGAGTACCTGGCTTTCACCCGGCCTGCTTGTCTCTCTCACTGAAGGCACCCCAAAGCCGGGAAGAAGTCCCCCAGGGAACGGGGATGGGTGACCAAGCTTTCACGGGGAAGTTGAGGAGGCCAGGGTGCCACGCCTGAATTCAGGGCCTTCCTGGCAGTCCTCGCACTTGACCGGGGTGTGGGGGGGCTTGGAGTCTGTGGCTCCCTCCCTGGGTACGTGTTTTTTTCAACTTAGGCACCCCAAGGTGGGAAGAAGTCCCCCGGGGAGCGGAGAAAGGAGGCCATGCTTTCAGGGAAAGGTTGAGGCAGGCCTGGGACAAAAGCGGCGAAGCCAAAGGAAAGGGCAGGGTGCCCTGACGGAGGTCAGGGCCTTCCTGGCGGCCCCTTCGCCCGACATGGGGTGGTCGTGGAGTCCCTGGCTTCCACCCAAGGTGCGTGTCTCCTGTCAAATTCATCCCAACGTGGCAAGAAGTCCCCCAGAGGACGGAGACAGATGGCCAGGTTTTCAGGAGTAGGTTCAGGAGGCCGGGGTGCTTCGCCAGAGATCAGGGCCTTCCCAGCAGCCCCTGCGCCCGAGGCAGGGGGATCCTGGAGTCCCTGGCTGCCACCCAGGGTGCAAGTCTCTCCCACTGAAGGCACCCCAAAGCACAGGAAGTCCCCCGGGGGACGGAAACAGGCGGCCAGGCTTTCAGGAAGTGGTTGAGGCTGGCCTGGGACCAAAGCGGCAAGGCCAAAGAAGAGTTCAATGTGCCCCACCAGAGGTTGGGGCCTTCCTGGCAGCCCTGGTGCCAGACCAGGGGGTGTTGTGGAGTCCCTGGCTCCTACCCAGGGTGCAAGTCTCTCCCACTGAATGCATGCCAAAATGTCATGAAGTCCACTGGGGCAAGGAGACAGACGGCCTGGCTTTCAGGGGGAGGTTTAGGAGGCTGGGGTTCCTCCCAGAGGTTAGGGCCTTCCTGACATCACCTGAACCCATCACGGGGTTCGTGGAGTCCCTGGCTCCCACCTGGGGTGCATGTCTCTCCCACAGAAGGCACCTCAAAGCTGCAAAATGTCCCCTGGGGGACAGAGACAGGCGGCCAGGCTTTCAAGTGGAGGGTGAGGCAGGCCTGGGACAATCACGGCAAGGCCAAAGCAGATGCCGGGGTGCCCCGTCAGAGGTCAGGGCCTTCCTGGCAGAAGCTGAGCCCACTCCGTCGGGGTCATGGAGTAACTGACTTTCACCCAGGGTGCCTGTTTCTCCCACTGAAGGCACACCAAAGCAGCCAGAATTCCCCCAGGCAACAAGACTTTCAGGGGGAGGTTGAGAAGGCCGGGGTGCACTGCTAGAGGTCATGGCCTTCCCAACAGCTTCAGTGCCTGACCTGGTGGGGTGGTTGAGTTTCTGACCCCCACCCGGGGTGGGTGTCTGTCCCACCGAAAAAACCTCAAAGTGGTGAGAAATCCCCAGGGGAACGAAAGCAGGCGGCCAGGCTTTCAGGGTGAGGTTGAGCAGGCTGGGGTGACCAGCTGGAGGTCAAGACCTTCCCAGCAGCACCCGCACTTGACACGGGGGGTCCGTGGAGTCCCTGGTTCCCAAGTGGGGTGCATGTCTCTCCCACTGAAGGCACCCCAAAGTGGCCAGAAGTCCCCCAGTGGATGGACACAGGCGGCCAGGCTTTCAGGGGGAGGTTGAGGAGGCTGAGTGCCCCACCAGAGGTAAGGGCCTTCTCGGTGGCTCTTGCACTTGACCTGGGGTGCCTGTCTCTCCCACCAAAGGCACCCAAAAGTGGCCAGATGCCCCCCGGGGGATGGATACAGGCGGCCAGGCTTTCACGGGGAGGTTGAGGCAGGCCTAGGACAAAAGCCTTAATGGCAAAGACGAGGCCAGTGTGCCCCACTGGAAGTCAGGACCTTCCTGGCAGATACTGCACCCAACCCAGGGAGGTCATGTAGTCACTGGCTACCACCTGGGGGGCATCTCTGTCTTATCCAAGGCAACCCAAATAGGCTAGAAGTTTCCCAGGGACAAAGACAGGTGGCCAGGGTTTCATGGAGATGTTGAAAACCCGGGGTGCCCTGCCAGAAGTCAGGGTTTTCCCAGCAGCCTCGTGCCCCACCTGGCGGGGGGTCATGGAGTCCCTGGCTCCCACCCGGTGTGCATGTCTCTCCCACCAAAGGCACCCCAAAGCAGCAAGAAGTCCTGCGGAGGACGGATTCAGGTGGCCAGGCTTTCAGGGGGAGGTTGAAGAAGCCAGGGTGTTCTGCCAGAGGTCAGGGACTTCCCGAAAGCCCCTGCGCCTGACCCGGGGGGGGGGGGGTTGTGGAAACTCTGGCTACCACCCGGTGTGCGTGTCTCTCCCTCAGAAGGCACAGGGTCACCCCAAAGCAACAAGAAGTTCCCTGAGAAACAAGGACAGGACACAAGGCTTTAAGGGGGACGTTGAGGCAGCCCAGGGAAAAAAGGGGCGAGGCTGAGGAGGAGGCTGGTGTCTTCCCTGGAGGCCAGTGCTTTCTGGGCAGCCCCTGTGCTGGGCCCGGGGTGTTCATGGAGTCCCTAGCTTTCACCCAGGGTGCGTGTCTTCCCCACGGGGGGCACCCCAAAGGGGCATGAAGTTTCCCGGGGGATGGGGATATGACGCCAGGCTTTCAGTGGGACACTGAGACAGCCGGGGGAAAAAAGCCGGGAGGGCAAGAAGGCTGGGGCACTTCCATGGAGGCCAGTTCCTTCCCAGCAGCCTCTGCGCCAGGCCCCGGGGGGTCACGGCTTTTCTGGCTTTCACTCAGAGTGCGGGCTTCTACCACAGGAGGGGGCGCCCAAAAGGCGTGAAAAGTACCCCAGGGGACGGGGACAGGATGCCAGGCTTTCAGGGGGACATTGAGGCAGCCCGGGGACAAAAGTGGCTAGGCCAAGCAGGAGGCTGGGGTCCTCACCCAGAGGCCAGTGCCTTCCCGGCATTCCCTGTGCCGGGCCTGGTTGGGGGTGGGGGGCGTGGAGTCCCTGGCTTTCACCCAGGGTGCGTGTCTTCCCGACGGGGGTTACCCCAAAGTGCCAAGAAGTCCCCCCGGGGATGGGGACAGGACGCCAGGCTTTCAGGGGCACTTTAAAGCAATCCAGGGAAAAAAGCAGTGAGGCCGAGGAGGCTGGGGTTCTTCCCGGAGGCCAGTGCCTTTCCAGCATCTCCTGCGCCAGGGCCAAGGGGGTCATGGAGTCGCTGGCTTTCACCCAGTTTGTGTGTCTTCCCCACTTGGGGCACCCCAAAGTGACAAGAAGTACCTTAGGGAATGGGGACAGTACGCCAGGCTTTCAGGGGGACATTTAGGCAGCCTGGGAAACAAGAGGCGAGGCCGAGACGGCTGGGGTCCTCCCCAAGAGCCAGTGCATTTCCGGCAGCCTCTGTGCGGGGCCTGCAGGGGTCGTGGATTCCCTGCCTTTCACCCAGTGTGCGTGTCACTCCACGGGGAGCACACCAAAGCAAAAAGAAGTCCCTTGGGGGACGAGGACAGGACTCAAGGCTTTCAGGGAGATGTTGAGGCAGCCTTGGGAAAAAAGCGACGAGGCCAAGGAGACTGGTGTCTTCTCCGGAGACCATAGCCTTCCCAGCAGCCCCTGCATGGCACCTGGGGGTGTGTTGGAGTCCCTGTCCTTCACCCAGGGTGCGTGTCCTTCCCACAGTGGGGGGCAACACAAAGTGGCAAGAAGTCCCTGGGGGTATGGGGACATGACACCAGGCTTTCAGGGGGACATTCAGGCAGCCCAGGGAAAAAAACACTGAGGCAAAGCAGGAAGCTGGGGTACTCCCAGGGAGGCCAGTGCCTTCACGGCAGCCCCTGCACTGGGCCCGGGGTGGGGGCGGGGGGTGGTTGTGGAGTCCCTGGCTTTCACCCAGCGTGTCTCCTTCACGGGGCGCACCCCAAAGCGACAAGATGTTTCCCAGGAAATGGGGAATGGACGCCAGGCTTTCAGGGAGAGGTTGAGGCAGCCTGAGGTAAAAAGGGACGGGCCGAGGAGGAGACTGTGGTCCTCCCCAAGAACCCAGTGCCTTCCCGGCAGCCCCTGCGCAGGGCCTCAGGGGTTCATGGAGTCCCCGGCATTCCCCTAGGGTGCATGCCTCTCCAACGGGTGGCACCCCAAAGCAGCAAGAAGATACCCTGGAGATGGTGACAGGACATCAAGTTTTCAGGTGGCATTAAGGCAGCCCGGGGAAAAAAGCAGCGAGGCCGAGGAGGAGGCTGGGTTGTTCCCCCAAATTCTAGTGCCTTCCCACCAAGCCCTGCATCGGGCCATGAGGGGTCGTGGAGTCCCTGGCTTTCACCCAGGGCGCGTGTCGCCCCCACAGGGAGCACCCCAAAGCATCAAGAAGTCCCTCAGGGGATGGGGACATGATGCCAGGATTTCAGCGGGACATTGAGGCAGCCCAGAGAAAACAGCGCTGAGGCTGAGGAGGAAGCTGGGACGCTACCCCAGAGGTCAGTGCCTTCCCAGAAGCTTCAGTGCCAGGCCCGACCCTTCGTTGGGTCCCTGGCTTTCACCCAGGGTGCGTGTCACTCCACGGGGGTCACACCAAAGTGGAAAGAATTCCCCGGGCAGACGAGGACAGGAAGCCAGGCTTTCAGGGGGATGTTAAGGCAGCACGGGGAAAAAAGCGCAGTGGCCGAGGAGGCTAAGGTTCCCCTGGGAGGCCAGTGCCTTTCCAGCAACTCCTGCGCAGGACCCGGGAGGGTTGTGGAGTCCCTGGCTATCACCCATGTTGCGTGTTTCCCCTACTGGTGGCATCCCAAAGCAGCAAGAAGTACCCCATGGGATGGGGAGAGGACACCAGGCTATCAGGGGGATGTTAAGGCAGCCCTGTGAAAAAAGTAGCAAAACCAAGGAGCAAGCTGGTGTACTCCCCCTCAGGCCAGTGCTTTCCCAGCAGCCCCTGCGCCGCACCGGGTGGGACGTGGAGTCCCTGGCTTTCACCCAGGGTGCATTTTTCCCCCAACAGGGGCACCCCCAAAGTGGCCAGAAGTCCCCCAGGGATGGAAACAGGACGCCAGACTTTAAAGGGGACATGGAGGAAGCCCGGGAAAAAAAGTGGCGAGGCTGAGGAGGAGGCTGGGGTCCTCCCCCAGATGCCAGTGCCTCACCGGCATCCCCTGCGCTGTCCCTGGCGGGGGGGGGAGTGGTGGAGTCCCTGGCTTTCACCCAGGGTGCGTGTCTCCCCCATGGGGGGCACGTCAAAGCCGCAAGAAGTCCCCAGGGGACAGGGCCAGGACGCCAGGGTTTCAGGGAGACACTGAGGCAGCCTGGGGAAAGAAACCGCAAGGCAGAGGAGGAGGCTGGGGTCCTGCCGTGGAGGCCAGTGTGTTCTCGGCAGCCCCTTTGCCGGGCCTGGCGGGTGGGGGGGGATCGTGGAGTCCCTGACCTTCATTCAGTGTGTGCGTCTCCCCCAAAGGGGGCACACCAAAGCGGAAATAATTCCCCCAGGAAAGAGACAGCATGCCAGGCTTTCAGGCGGATGTTGAGGCAGCCCGAGGAAGAAAGAGGCGAGGGCTAGGAGGAGGCTGTGGTCCTTCCCCAAAGGCCAGTGCCTTCTCGGCACGTCCTGCACCAGCCCGGGGTGGTCGTGGAGTCCCTGGCTTTCACCCAGGGTTTGTGTCACCCCACAGGGTGCACACCAAAGCAAAAATCAATCCCCCGGAAACGGGAACAGGACACCAGGCTTTCAGGGGGACGTTGAGGCAGTGCAGGGAAAAAAGCGGTGAGGCCGAGGACGAGGCTGTTTTCTTCCCAAGAGACCATTGCCTTCCTGGCAGCCCCTGCATGAAACCCCGGGGGTCATGTAGTCCCTGGCTTTCATCCAGGGTGCGTGTCTTCCCCACAGGGCACACCCCAAAGTGGCAACAAATTTCCCAGGAAACATGAAAAGGAAGCCAGGCTTTCAGGGGGACGTTGAGGACTCCCAGGGTAAAAATCGGCGAGGCCAAGGAGGAGGCTGTTGTTGTCCCACGGAGGCCAGTGCCTTCCCAGCAGCTCCTGCCACACCGGGCACTCCAAAGCGACCAAAAGTGCCCCTAGAGAGGGTGACAGGACGTCAGGCTTTCAGGGGGCATTGAGATAGCCAGGGGAAAAAAGCGGAGAGGCGGAGTAGGAGGCTGGAGTCATCCTCCGGAGGCCAGTGGCTTCCCGGCAGCCCCTGTGCTGGGCCACTGGGGGTCGTGGCGTACCTGGCTTTTGCCCAGGGCACACGTTGCCTTCGCTCGGGGCACCCCAAAGCAGCAAGAAGTCCCTCCGTGGACGGGGAAAGGACACCAGGCTTTCAGGGTGACGTTGAGGCTGCCCGGTGAAAAAAGGGGCGAGGCCGAGGAGCAGGCTGGTGTACTCCCCCGCAGGCCAGAGCCTTTCCAGCAGCCCCTGGGCCAGGCTGGGGGGGACGTGGAGTCCCTGGCTTTCACCCAGGGTGTGTGTTTCCCCCACAGGGGGCGCCCCAAAGCAACAAGAAGTACCCAGGGGACTGGAACAGGATACGAGGGTTTCAGGAGGACGTTGAGGCAGCCCGGGGAAACAAGCAGCTAGGCCGAGGAGGAGGCTAGGCTCCTCCCACGGAGGCCAGTGTGTTCTCGGCAGCCCCTTTGCCGGGGCTGGGTGTGGGGAGTCGTGGGGTCCATAGACTTCATTCAGGGTGTGCGTCTCCTCCAAAGGGGGAACACCAAATCAAAAATAATTTCCCCAGGAAACGGGGACAGCAATCCAGGCTTTCAGGGGGATGTTGAGGCAGCCCGAGGAAAAAAGAGACGAGTGCTAGGAGGAGGCTGTGTTCCTCCCACAAAGGCCAGTGCCTTCCCGGCAGGTCCTGCACCGGGCACGAGGTGGTGGTGGAGTCCCTGGCTTTCACCCAGGGTGTGTGTCACCCCACGGGGTGCACCCCAAAACAAAAAAATATCCACTGGGAAACGGGGACAGGACACCAGGCTTTCAGGGGGACGTTGAGGCAGCGTGGGGAAAAAAGCGGCAAGGCCAAAAACGAGGCATTTGTCTTCTCCGGAGACCATTGCATTCCCGGCAGCCCCTGCATGGGACCCAGGGGATCATCTAGTCCCTGGCTTTCACCCAGGGTGCGTGTCTTCCCCACAGGGCGCATCCCAGAGTGGCAGGAAGTTTCCCAGGCAACTTGGAAAGGATACCAGGCTTTCAAGGGGACGTTGAGGTAGCCTGGGTTAAAAAGCGGCGAGGCCAAGAGAGAGGCTGTTGTCGTCCCCTGGAGGCACCTCGGGAAAACAAGCGGCGAGGCTGAGGGCTAGGCCTGGGTCCTTCCAGGGAGGAATGTGACTTACCAGCAGCTCCTGCGCTGGACTTGTGGGGGTCGTGGGGTCCCTGGCTTTCATCCACGGTGAGTGTCTCACCCATGGGGGGCACCCCAAAACGGGAAGAAGGCCCCTGGTGGAAGGGGACTTTGAGGCAGTTCAAGAAAAAAAAAGCCGCCAAGGTGAGGACTAGATCAGGGTCCACCCACGGATGACCGTGACTTCCCAGCAGCCACTGTGCAGGGCCCGCGGGGGCAGTAGGGTCCCTGGCTTTCACCCAGGGTGCATGTGTCGCCCACGGAGGACTCCCAAAGGCGGCAAGAAGGTACCCGGGGAAAGGGGACATTGAAGCAGCTCTGGAAAAAAAGCAGCCAGGGCGAGGACTAGGCCTGTGTTCTCTCACGAATGACTGTGACTTCCCAGCAGCCCCTGCGCAGGGCCCGCGCGGGTCGTGGGCTCTCTGGCTTGCACTGTGGGTGTGTGTCTTGTTCATGGTGGGCACCCCAAAGCGGCAATAATGCCCTCGGAAAAAGACCGCACCTAAGGCTTTAAAGGGGACGTTGAGGCACCTTGGGAAAAGAAGTGGCGAGGCCGAGGACTAGGCCTGGGTCTTCCAAGGGACAACCGTGACATCTCAGCAGTTCCCGCGCCGGTCCCGCGGGGGTCTTGGGGGTCCCTGGCTTTCCCCCAGGATGCGTGTCTCGCCCATGGGGGGCAACCCAAAGTGTCCAGCACGCCCCCAGGGGGAAGGGGACCTTGAGGCAGCTCCGTAAAAACAGCCTCAAGGCCGAGGGCTAGGTCTGGTTTGTCCCACGTACGACCTTGACTTCCCAGCAGCCCCTGCGCCAGGCCCAAGGGGGTCGCAAAGACCCTGGCCTGCACCCTGGGTGTGTACCTGTCCCACGGGGGACACCCCAAATCGTCAAGAAGGCCCCCGGGGGAAGGGGATGTTGAGGCAATTCACGAAAAGCAGCAGCGAGGCCGAGGGCTTCTGGGAATTCACAGTCCTCCCTGGGATGACCCAGGCCTAGTCCTCGCCCTGGCGGCTTCTTTTCATGAGCTGCCTCAAAGTCCCCTTTGTCCGGGGGCTTTCTTGCCGACTTGGGGTGCCGCCTAGCCCTCGGCCTCATCGGTGTTTTTCCCAAGCTTCCTCAAAGACCCCAGCGGGCCTGGTGCAGGGGCTGCTGGGAAGTCACGGTCATCCATGAAATGACCCAGGCCTAGCCCTCTGCCTTGCCGCTGCTTTTCCTGAACTGCGTCAACGTAGTTTTCCCTCGGGGCCTTCTTGACCCTTTGGGGTGCACCCCGTGAAGCAGGTACGCACCCAGGGTGCCGGCCAGGACTCTGCGACCCTGGAGGGCCGGGCGCAGGGGCTGCTGGGAAGTCACAGTCATCTGTGGGAGGACCCAGGCCTAGTCCTTGCCCTGGCCACTTTTTTTTCCCCGAACTGCATCAATGTCCCCTTCTTGATGCTTGGGGTGCCCCCGTAAAACAGGTACGCATCCAAGATGCAGGCCAGGGTCCCCCCGAACCTCGCGGGCATGGCGCAGGTGCTTTTGGGAAGTCGCAGTCGTTCCTGTGAGGACCCAGGCCTAGGTCTCGGTCTTGCCGTTTCTTTCCTTGAGGTGCCTCAACATCCCGTTTAAAGCCTTATGTGCGGTCTCTTTTTCCCAGGGGACCTCTTACCAATTTGGGGTGTCCCACATGGGAAAGACACGTACCCTGTGTCCAATCCTGGGACCCCACGACACCCACGGGCCCAGCGCAGGAGCTGCTGGTAAATCACGTTCGTCCGTGGGAGGAACCAGACCTAGCCCTCGGAGTAGCTGCTGCTTTTCCCAAAGTGCCTCAATGTCCCTCAGGGGCTGTCTTGACAATTTGGGGTGCCCCCGTGGGACAGGTGCAGGCCAGGGCCCACGCCACCCACGCGGGCCTGGCGCAGGGGATGCTGGGAAATCACGGTCATCTGAGGGACGACCCAGGCCTAGCCCTAGGCCTCGTCGCTTTTTTTTTCCTGAGCTGCTTCAACGTCTCCTTCCTCTGGGGGCCTTCTTGCTGCTTTGTGGTGAATCCCCTGGGCGACACATGCACCCTGGGTGAAAACTAGGGACCCCATGACCCCCGCGGGCCCGGCGCAGGGGCTGCTGGGAAGTCACGGTCACCCATAGGATTACCCAGGCCAATTCCTCACCCTGGCCTCTTTTTTTCCCGAGATGCCTCAATGTCCCCTTTAAAACCTTATGTGCGTCTCCTTTACCCAGGGCATTCTTGGTGCTTTGGGGTGCCCACCAGCCCCCCGTGGGTGAGACATGCATCCTTGGCGAAAGCCAGTGATGCCAGGACCCCCGCGGGCCCAGCACAGGGGCTGCTGGGAAGTCACAGTCATCCATGAGAGGACCCAGGCCTAGCACTCGGCCTCGCTGCTGTTTTTCCTGAGCTCCCTGATTGTCCCCTTCTTCCGGGGGCCTTCTTCCCGTTTTGGGGTGACCCCAGTAAGTGAAACACGTGCCCTGGGTGAAAGCCTGGGTACCCACGACCACTGCGGGCCCAGCGCCGGGCTGCAGGGAAGTCACGGTCAACCGTGGGAGGACACAGGCCTAGCCCTGGCCTCGCGGCTGCCTTTCCCAAACTGCTTCATTGTCTCCTTCCTCCGGGGGCATTCTTGCCACTTTGGGGTGCCCCTGTGGGACAGGTACGCACCCTAGGTGCAGGCCATGGTCCCTGCTACCACGGCGGGCCCAGCGCAGGTGCTTCTTTGAAGACAAGGACATCCTTGGGAGGATCCAGGCCTATTCCTCGCCCTGTCCCCTATTTTTCCAGAGCTGCCTCCACGTCCCATTGGCCTGGGGGCCTCCTAGCCACTTTGGGGTGACCCCCATGGGCGAGACACATACACTGGGTGTAAGCCAGGGACCCGACGACCACCGTGGGCCTGGAGCAGGGTCTGTTGGGAAGTCACGGTCACCCGTGGGACGACCCAGGCCTAGCCCTCTGCCTCGTTGCTCTTTTTCCTGAGCTGCTTCAACATCCCCTTCCTCTGGGGGCCTTCTTGCTTCTCTGGGGTGCCCTCTGTGGCTGAGACTTGCACCCTGGGTGAAAACCAGGGAGCCCCCTGACCTGACCACCGTGGGCCAGACACAGGGGCTGCTGGGAAGTCAATGTCGTCCGTGGGATGACCCAGGCATAGCCCTCGGCCTCGCTGCTTGTTTTCCCAAGCTGCTTCACCGTCATCTTACACCGGGGACCTCTTTGCTGCTTTGGGGTGCCCCCTGTGGTCAAGACACGCACCCAGGGTGCAGTCCAGGCACCTCATGAACCAAGCGGGCCTGGAGCAGGGGCTGCTGGGATGTCCCAGTCATCTGTGGAAGGATCCAGGCATAGCTCTTGGCCTTGTCGCTGTTTTTCCCGAGCTGCTTCATTGTCCCACTTCGCTGGGGGCCTCCTTGCCGATTTGCGGTGCCCCTGTGGGCTTGACAAGCACCAAGAGTGCAGGCCAGGGTCCCCGAGACCCCCATGGGCCCGGCGCAGGGGCTGCTGGGATGTCACGGTCATCTGTGGGATGACCCAGGCCTAGCCCTCGGCCTCGCCGCTTTTTTTCTCGAACTGCCTAAACGTCCCCTTTCCATGGGGGAATTCTTGACGTTATGTGGTGCCCCCCTTGGGCGAGACACACACCCTGGGTGAAAGGCAGGCATCCCACGACCCCTGCAGGTGCAGCGCAGGGGCTACTGGGATGTCACGGTTGTCCGTAAGAGGACCCAGGCCTAGCCCTCAGCCTCACCGCTTTTTTCCCAAACTTCCTCAATGTCCCCTTTCCACCGGGGGATTCTTGACCTTATGTGGTGCTCCTCTTGGGCGAGACACACACCCTGGGTGAAAGGCAAGGACCCCACGACCCCTACGGGCCCAGCACAGGGGCTGTTGGGAAGTCATGGTCATCCATGGGACAACCCAGGCCTAGCCCTCGGCCTAGCCACTTTTTTTCCCGAAGTGCCTCAACGTCCCCTTCACCCAGGGGCATTCTTAACGCTATGGGGTGCCCCCGTGGGTGAGACATGCACCCTTGGGTGATACACGAATCCTGCACAGAAGCCAGGGACACCACGAATACCACGGACATGGCGCAGGGGCTGCTGGGAAGTCATGTTCATCCGTGGGAGGACCCAGGCCTAGCCCTCGGCCTCGTGGCTGCTTTTCATGAACTGCCTCAATGTCCCCTTCCTCTGGGGGCCTTCTTGCCATTTTGGGGTGCCCTCCTTGGGTAAGTCACCCACCCAGGGTGCAGGCCAGTGTCCCCGCGACCCCTGCGGGCCTGGCGCAGAGGGTGCTGGGAAGTCACGGTCGTCCGTGGGAAGACCCAGGCCTAGTCCTCACCCTAGTCGCTTTTTTTCTCATACTGCCTCAACCTCCCCTTCCTCCGGGGGCATTCTTGCAACTATGGGTTGCCCCCCGTGGGTGAGACATGCACCCTGGGTGAAAGCCAGTTACCCACAAAACCCGCGTGCCCAGCACAAGGGCTGCTTGGAGTCACGGTCTTCCGTGGGATGACACAGGCCTAGCCCTCATCTTTGCCACTTTTTTCCCCCGGCTGCCTCAAAGTCCCCTTCCTCTGGGGGCTTCCTTGCCACTTTGGGGTGCCCCAGTGTGAGAGACAGGCACCCTGGGTGAAAGCCGGTGACCGCACGAGCCCCACTGCCCCTGCTTTTCACCAGCTGCTTCAATTTCTCCATCTGCCAGAGGCCTCCTTGCCACTTTGGGGTGCCCCCCATGGGCGAGACACACACCCTGGGTGAAAGCCAGTGACCCCACGAACCCCGCAGGCCTGGTGCTGGGGCTGATGGGAAATCACTGTTTTCCGTGGGAGGAACCAGGCCTAGACTTTGGCCTTACCAGTGCTTTTCACGAATTGCCTCAAAGTCCCCTACCTCCAGGGGCCTTCTTGCTACTTTGGCGTGCCCCCCGTGGGCGAGACTAGCACCCTGGATGAATGTCAGGGACCCCACAAACTCTGCGGGCCTGGCGCAGGGGCTGCTGGGAAGGCCCGTTCATCCGTGGGAGGACCCAGGCCTAGCCCTCGGCCTCGTCGCTACTTTTCATGAACTTCCTCAATGTCCCCATTTTTTGGTGGCCTTCTTACCTCTTTGGGGTGCCCCCCGTGGGTGAGACATGCACCCAGGGTGCAGGCCAGGTTCCCACAACCCCCACGGGCACGGCTCAGAGGCTGCTGGGAAGGTACGGTCATCCGTGGGAGGACCCAGGCCTAGTCCTTGCACTGGTCGCTTTTTTTCTCAAACTGCCTCAACATCTCCTTCCCCCGGGGGCATTCTTGATGCTATGAGGTGTCCCCTGTGGCCGAGACACATACCCTGGGTGCAGGCCAGGGTCTCTTAGGTCCCTGCAGGCCCAGCACAGGGGCTGTGGGGAAGTCACAGTGGTCCATAGGAGAACCCAGGCCTATCCTGCGTCCTCGTCACTGTTTTTCACAAACTGCCTCAACGTCTTCTTCCTCCGGGGGTTTCTTGATACTTTGGGGTGACCCCAGTGGGCGAGACACAAACCCTCGGTGAGAGCCACGGACCCCACAAACTTTGCGGACCAAGTGCAGGGACTGCTGGGAAGTCACAGTCCTCTGTGGGAGGACCCAAGCCTAGCCTTCAGCCTTGCTGCTTTTTTCCCCAGTTGCTTCAACACCCCCTTCCCCCTGGGGCTTCCTTGCCGCTTTGAGGTAACCCCATGGGTGAGACACAAACCCTGCATAAAAGCCAGGGACCCCACGAACCCCCCAGGCCTGGCGCAGGGGCTGCTGGGAAGTCATGGTCGTCCGTGGGAGGACCCAGGCCTAGCCCTCACCCTCATTGCTGCTTTTCATGAGCTGCTTCACCGTCCCCTCCCTCCAGGGGATGCCTTGGCACTTTAGGGTGCCTTCCGTGGGCATGATACAAACCCTGTGTAAAAGCCAGAAACCCCAAGACCCCCAAGGGCCTGGTGCAGGTGCTGCTGGGAAGTCATGGTCATCTGTGGGATGACCGAGGCCAAGCCCTGGGCCTCGCCACCGCTTTTCAGGAACTGCCTCAAAGTCCCCTTCCTCCAGGGGTCTTCTTACGGCTTAGGGGTGCCCCTCGTGGGCGAGACATGCACCCAGTGTGCAAGCCAGGGCGCAGGGGCTGCTTGCAATTCATGGTCATCCTTGCGAGAACCCAGGCCTAGCCCTCAGAGTCGTCACTGCTTTCCACTAACTGCCTCAACGTCTCCTTCCACTGGGGTCCTTCTTGACACGTTGGGGTGACCCCCGTGGGTGACACACAAACTCTGGGTGAAAGTTAGGGACCCCACAAACCCCGCAGGCCCAGCACGTGTGCTGGTGGGATGTCACAGCGGTCCGTGGGAGGATCCAGGCCTAGCCCTGGGCCTTGCCGCTGTTTTTCCGGAGCCGCTTCAACTTCCCCTTCCAACGGGGGCTTCCTTGCCGCTTTGGCGTGCCCACCATGGGCATGAACAAGAACACTGCATAAAAGCCAGGGACCCCACGAACCCAGAGGAAATGGCGCAAGGGCTGCTGAAAAGTCATGGTCGTCCGTGGGAGGACCCAGGCCTAGCCCTCTTCCTCATTCCTGCTTTTCACGAGCTTCTTCAACATCCCCTTCCTCTGGGGGCTTCTTTGCTGCTTTGGGGTGACCCTGTGGGTGAGACACGAAACCTGGGTGAAAGCCAGGGACCCCTACAAACCCTGTGGCCCTGACACAGGGGCTGCTGGGAAGTCACAGTCATCCGTGGGAGGACACAGGCCTAGCCCTTGGCCTCTCCTCTGCTTTTCATGAGCTACTACAATGTCCCTTTCCTCCGGGGGCCTCCTTGCCACTTTGGGATGCCCCACGTGGGTGTGACATGAACCCTGCGTAAAAGCCAGGGAACCTAAGACATGCAAGGGCCCAGCACTGGGGCTGCTGTGATGTCACGGTCATCCACGGGAGAACCCAGGCCTAGCCCTGGGTTTTGCTGCTTTTTTTGCTGAGCTGATTCAATGTCCCCTTCCCTCCTGGGGCTTTCTTGCCACTGTGGGGTGCCCCCAGTGGGTGAGACACGCACACTGGGTGAAATCCAGGGACTGCAAGAATCCTTCGAGCCCAGCACAGGGGCTCCTGGGAAGTCACGGCCGTTGGTGGGAGGACCCAGACCTAGCCCTCAGCCTCACTGCTTTCTCTCCCGAGCCCCTTCAAGGTCCCCTTCTTCCTGAGGGGGTTCCTTGCTGCTTTGGCGTGCCCACCCCGGTGTGTGAGACATGAATGCTGTGTAAGGGTCAGGGACCCTCTAAACACAACGGGCCAGCGCAGAAGTTGCTGGGAAGCCGTGGTTGTCTGTGGGACGACCCAGGCAGAGCCCTTGGACTCGTCGCTGCTTTTCAAGAACTGCCTCAATGTCCCCTTCCTCCCGGGGCATTCTAGTCGCTTTTGGGTGGGCCACGTGGGTGTGACGTGCACCCAGTTTGCAAGACAGGATGCCCGCGACACCCACGGGCCTGGTGCAGAGGCTTCTGGGAAGTCTCGGTAGTCCGTGGAAGAACCCAGGACTACCCTCAGCCTCGTTGCTGCTTTTCACGAACTGCCTCAATGTCTCCTTCCTCCGGGGGCTTTCATGACATTTTGGGGTGACCCCGTGAGTGAGACATGAATACTGGGTGAAAGGCAGGGACCACAGTAATGCCGCAGGCCTGGCGCAGGGGCTACTGGGACGTCACGGGCATCCGTGAGAGGATCCAGGCCTAGCCCTGGGCATTGCCACTTTCCTTTCCGAGCTGCTTCAACGTCTCCTTCTACCGGGGACTTCCTTGCCACTTAGTGGTACCCCCCTTCAGTGAGACATGCACCCTGCATAAAAGCCAGGTACCCTACAAACTCAGCAGGCCTGGCTCAGGGACTGCTGGGAAGTCACGGTCCGAGGGAGAACCCAGGCCTACCCCTCTGCCCCGTCTCTGCTTTTCACGAGCTACATCACTGTTGCTTTCCTCCAGGGGCCTCCTTGCCATTTGAAGGTGCCTCTCGTGGGTGTGACATGAAACTTGCATAAAAGCCAGGGACGCCAATACCCCTGCCAGCCCTGCGCAGGGGCTGCTGGGTAGTCACAGTCGTCCGTGGGAGGACCCAGGCCTAGCCCTCGGCCTCATTGCTGCTTTTCAAGAACTGTCTCAAAGTCCCCTTCCTCTGGGGGCCTTCTTGCTGCTTTGGGGTGCACCCCCATGGGCAAGACACATACCCAGGGTGCAGGACAGGGTGCCTGCGACACCCGCGGGCTCAGCGCAGGGACTTCTGGGAAGTCACAGTTGTCAGAGAACCCAGGCCAAGCCCTGGGTATCCTCACTGCTTTTCACAAAGTGTATCAATGTCTCCTTCCTCCGGGGGCCTTCTAGAGACTTTGAGGTGACCCCGTGGGTGAGACACAAACCCTGGGTGAAAGCCAGGGGCCGCATGAAACCCGAAGGCCAGGTGCAGGTGATGCTGGGACATCACCATCATCCATGAGAAGACCCAGAACAAGCCCTCGGTTTCACCCCTTTTGTTCTTGAGCTGCTTCAACGTCCCTTTTCACCAGAGGCTTCCTTGCTGCCTTGGAGTGGCCCCAGTCAGGGAGACATGAACCCTGCATAAAGCCAGGAACCCCATGAACCCAGCGGGCCCGGCGCAGGGACTGCTGGGAAGTCACGGTCATCTGTGGGAGGACCGAGGCCTAGCCCTCGGCCTCGTCGGTGATTTCACAAGATGCTTCACCATCCCCTTCCTCCCGGGGCCTCCTTGCTGATTTGGGGTGCACTCCATCCACGAGACATCCACCCTGCATAAAAGCCAGGGACAACATGAACCCCGTGGGCCTGGCACAACGGCTGCTGTGCCTTGTTGGGGTGCCCCCCATGGGCAAGACACGCACCCGGGTTGCAGGCCAGGATCCCCACGACCCCTGCGAGCCCTGTGCAAAGGCTACTGGGAAGTCACAGTCATCCACTGGAGGAACCAGGCCTAGTCCTCGCTCTGGAGGCATTTTTCCTTCAACAGCTTCAACATCCCCTTCCCCTGGGGTATTCTTGACACTATGGGGTTTCCCCCATGGGTCAGACACGCAACCTGGGTGAAAGCCATTTACCCCACTAATCCAGTGGGCCCAACACAGGTGCTGTAGGGAAGTCACAGTCACCTGTGGGAGAACACAAGCCTAGCTCTCAGCCTCGCTCCTTTTTTCCCCTAGATGCATCAACGTCCCCTTCCTCTGGGGGCTACCTTGCTGCTTTGGGTGGCCCCTGTGGTTGAGATACGCACCCTGGATGAAAGCCAGAGTCTGCACGAAACCTGCGGGCCCAGCTCAGTGGCTGCTGGGAAGTCACGGTCATCCATGGGAGAACCCAGGCCTAGCCTTCTGCCTCGTCGCTGCTTTTCACCAACTGCCTCAAAGTCTCCTGCCTCCAGGGACCTTTTTGAGACTTTGGGGTAACCACACTTGGCAAGACACAAACACTTGGTGAAAGACAGGGATCCCGTGAATTCTGTGGGCCTGGCTCAGGGGCTTCTGGGACATCACGGTCACCCGTGGGAGGACCCAGGCCTAGCCCTCCGCCTTGCCGCTTTTTTTCCCGAGCTGCTTCAACGTCCCCTTCCCCTGGGGGCATTCTTGACACTATGGGATGTCCCTAGTGGGTGAGACACAAACTCTGGGTGAAAGCCAAGACCCCACAAACCCCACGGGCCTGGTGCAGTGGCTGCAGGGAAGTCGCGGTCGTCCATGGGACGACCCAGGCCTTGTCCTCGCCCTGCCCGCTTTTCTCCGGAACTGCTTCAACGTCCCCTTCCCCCGGGGCATTCTTGACGTTATGGGTAGCCCCAGCCTGGGTGAGCACGTACCATGGGCAAAAGCCAAGAACGGCATGAACCCAGTGGGCTTGGCACCATGGCTGCTGGAAAGTCATTCTCGTCCGTGTGACTATTCAGGCCTAGCGCACACCCTGGCCGCTTTTTTTCTCGAACTGCCTCAACGTCACCTTCTCCCAGGGGCACCCTTGCTGCTTTGGGGTTCCCCCGGGTGGGAGACATGCACACAGCATGCATGCCATGGTCCCCTCAACCTGTGTGGGCCCAACGTAGGGGCTGCTAGTCTGTGGTTGGACCCAGGACTAGCCCTCGCCGTGACGGCTTTTTTCCTCAAATTGTCTCAATGTCCCCTTCCCCCTGGGGCATCCTTGCTGCTTTGGGGTGCCCCCTTTGGGGGAGACACTCACCCAGCAGGCAGTTCACGGTCCCCACGATCCCCACAGGCACAGTGCAGGGGCTGCTGGGAAGTCATGGTCGTCCTTGGGAGGACCCAGGACTACCTTGCCATGGCTGCTTTTTTTCTCGAATTGCCTCAATGTCCCCTTTCCCCGGGGGCATCCTTGCCACTTTGGGGCACCCCCCGTCGGGGAGACACTCACCCAGCCTAGAGGCCGGGGTCCCCGAGACCCCCGTGGGCCTGGCTCAGGGGCTGCTGGGAAGTCATGGTCGTCCGTGGGACAACCCAGGACTAGTCCTCGCCCAGGCCGCTTTTCTCCAGAACTGCTTCTTGACACTATGGGGTGCCACTAGTGAGCAAGACACGAACCGTGGGTGAAAGCGAGGGAACCCACGAACCAGTGAGATGACTAGGCCTGGGTCATCACACAGATGACCATGACTTCCCAGCAGCCCCTGTGCTGGGCCCTCTGGGGTCACCGGAACCCTGGCCTGAAACCTGTGTGGGTGTCTCACCCAACGGGGGGCAACCCAAAGCAGCAAGGAGGCCCCCAGCTGAGAGGGACGGTGAAGTAGCTCAGGAGAAACAGCGAGAAGGTCGAGGGTAGGCCTGGATCCTCCCACGGATGACTGTCGCTTCCCAGGAGTCCCAGTGCTGGTCTGCGAGGATTGCGTGGACCCTGGCCTGCACTCTGGGTGCATGTGTCACTCACATGAGGCACCCTAAAGCAGCAAGAAGACTCCTGAAGGAAGGGGAAGTTCAAGCAGTAAGTGAAAATCAGCGACAAGGCAGAGGGCTAGGCCTGGGTCCTCCCACGGACAACCGTGACTTCCCAGTATCCCCTCTGTTGGGCCCTTGGGGGTCGCGAGGACACTGGACTGCACCCTGTGTGCGTGTCTAACCCATGGGGCATATCACAAAGTGACAAGAAGTCCCCCGGGGGAAGGAGACATTGGGGCAGGTCCTGAAAGGCAGGGGCGAGGTCCAGGGCTAGGCCTGGGTCCTCCCACGGACAACTGGGACTTCCCAGCAGCCTCTGTGACGGGACCACCGGTGTGGCGGGGAAGCTGGCCTACACCCTGGGTTCATACCTGTCCCACAGGGAGAACCTCAAAGCGTTAAGCATGCCCCCGGGAGGAAGGGGACAGTGAAGCAGTTCTGGGAAAATAGCAACGAGACTGAGGGCTAGGCCTGGGTCCTCCCAGGGAAGACCATGACTTCCCAGCAGCTCTGGCAATGGGCCTGTGGATGTCATGGGGACCCAGACCTGCACCCTGGGTGTGTGTCTCCCCGACGGGGTGCACCCCAAAGTGGCAAGGATGCCCCCGGGGTAAGGGGAAGTTGAGGCAGTTTGAGAAAAAAGGGGCAATGGTTAGGCCTGGGTCCTCCGACGGAGGACCGAGACTTCCCTGCAGCCCCTGCGCCAGGCCTGCAGGGTTCATGGTGTCCCTGGCTTTCACCGAGGTTTCATGTCTCTCCCCTTAGGGGCACCCAATAGCATCAAGAATGCCCCTGGGGGAAGGGGACGTTGAGGCAATTCAAGAAAAAAAGCGGCAAGGGTGAGGGCTAGGCCTGGGTCCTCCCATGGAAGACTGTGACTTCCTAGTGGCCCCTCAGGGGTCACGGGGACCCTGGCCTGCACGCTGGGTGCGTGTCTCTCCCACAGGGTTCACCCCAAAGCGGCAAGGATGCCACTAGGGGAAGGGGACATTAAGGCAGTTTGGGAAAAGAAGCAGTCAGGGTAACCGGTAGTCCTGGGTCCTCCCATAGACAACTGTGACTTCCCAGCAGCCCTGGCGCTGGGCCCCCGGGGATCGTGGTGTCCCTGGCTTTAGCCCAGTGTTCCTGTCTCGCCCACTAGTTGCAACCTTTAGTGTCAAGAATGCCCCCGGAGGAAGGGGACTTTGAAGCAGTTAGAGAAAAAAAGCGGCCAGGGCAAGGGCTAGGACCGGGTCTTCCCAAGGAAACCCGTGACTTCCCAGCAGACCCTGTGCCATGCCCGCGGGGGTCGCAGGGACCCCAGTCTGCACGCTGGGTGCAGGTCTCCCCCATGGCGGGCACCCCAAAGAGGAAAGTATGCCCCCAGGGTAAGGTGACGTTGAGGCAGTTGGAGAAAAAAAGCGGCCAGGGCGAGGGCTAGGCCTGGGTGCTACCATGGACGACCGTGACTTCCCAGCTGCCCTGCACTGGCCCCGTGGGATCATGGGGTCCCTGGCTTTTGCCAAGGGTTCGTTTCTCACCCACTAGGGGCACCCCATAGCTTCAACAATGCACATGGGGGAAGGGGATGTTGAGGCAGTTTGAGAAAAAAAGTGGCCAGGTTGAGGGCTAGGCCTGGGTCCTCCCATGGACGACCGTGACTTCCCAGCGGCCTCTGCACTGGTGCCCGTGGGGATCTTGGAGTCCCTGGTTTTCACCGAGGGTTCATGTCTTGCCCACCAGGGGCACCCCATAGCATCAAAAATGCCCCCGGCGGAAGTTATCGTTGAGAGAGTTTGAGAAAAAAAGTGGCCAGGGCAAGGGCTAGGCCTGGGTCCTCCCACAGATGACTGTGACTTCCCAGCAGCCACTGCACTGGGCCAGTGGGGTTCGTGGCTTTCACCCAGGGTTCGAGTCTCACCCACTAGGGGCACCCCATAGCATCAAGAATGTTCCCGGGGTAAGGGGACGTTGAAGCACTTCCAGAGAAAAGCGGCCAGGGTGAGGAATGGGCCTGGGTGAGGTCGCCCAGTTGTCCTTAGCATTAGAATGCCTGGGTCGGCCAAGAGCCACTATTATAAGACTGCCTGGGGTTGGTCAGAAGTCTCTCCCGCTTGAATGCCTGGGGTCAGACAGGTTTCTCTATCCTTAGAATGCCTAAGGTCCCCCAGGTGTCTCTATCAGTAGAATGCTTGTGGTAGGCCAGGAGTCTCTACTATTAGAATGGCTGGGGTCGGCCAGGACTCTCTCCTGTTAGAATGCTTGTGGTCTGCCAGCTGTCTCTTTTGATAGAATGTCTGAGAGTGAACAACTGTCTCTATTATTTCAGTGCCTGGGGAAGGACAATAATCTCTATAGTTAGAATGCCTAGAGTCAAACAAAAGTCTTTCTTGTTGAATAACTGGGCCAGCCAGATGACTTTATCCTTAGAATGTCTGAGGACGCACGGGTGTCTTTATCTTTAGAATGCCAAGGGACAGCATGTGTTTCTCTTATTAGAATGCCTAGGGTCCTCTTAGAGTCTTTCCAGTAGCATTGCTTGGGGTCTTCTAGGTGACTTTATAACCCCTGAGGTCGCCCAGGTCTATCACTAAAATGATTTGGATAGGCAAGGAGCCTTTATCGTTTGGAATCCTAGGGTGGACCGGGAATCTCTCCCATTAGAATGCCTGGGGTTGGCCAGGTGTCTCTATCCTTAGAATAGTGAGGTCCCCCAGGTGTCTCTATCATTAGAATTCTTTGGGTCAGCCAGGAGTCTCTACCTTTAGAATGCCTTGGGTCAATCAGGAGTTTCTCCCATTAGAAAGCCTGGAGTCAGCCAGGTGTCTCTGTCCTTAGAATAGTGAGGTTGCTTAGGTGTCTCTATTATTGGAATGCCTGGGTTGGCCAGGAGTCTCTGTCATTAGAATGCCTTGGGTCGGCCAGGTGCCTCTATTTTTAAAATGGCTGATGTCACACAGGTGTCTCTATCATTAGAATGCCTGGGTTCCCCCAGGAATCTCTATCGTTAGAATGTCTGGGGTTGGCACGGTGTCTCTCTTGTTAGAATGCCTTAAGTCAGCCATGTGTTTTTATCCAAGTGGTGAGGTTGCCCAGGGGTCTGTATCATTGGAATGCATGGGGTTGGCCAGAAGTCTCTATCATTAAAATGCCCGAGGTTGCCCAGATGTGTCTATCTGGCCCAGAGTGCCTGAGTGCCTGAGTGCCAGAGTGCCTGAGTGCCCAGAGGCCCAGAGTGCCTGGGGTAGGCCAGAAGTCTGTGTCATTCGAATGCCTGGGTTCAGCCAAGAGTCTCTTCCAATAAAATGCCTGGGGTCGTGCAGGTGTTATTATTCTTAGAATGCCTGAGTTCGCCAACCTGTCTATCATTAGAATGCCTTGGATAGGCCAGGAGTCCTTATCATTAGAAAGCCTGAGTTAGGCCAGGAGTCTCTCTCATTAGAATGCCCTAGGTTGGCCAGGTGCTTCTATTCTTAGAATGGCGAGGTCGCCCAAGTGTCTCTATCATTAGAAGGCCTGGGGTCAGCCAGGAGTCTCTATCATTAGAATGCCTAGAGTTGGCCAGAAGTCTCTCCCATTAGAATGCCTGGGGTCATCCAGGAATCTCTATTGGTAGAATGCCTGGGGTCAGCCCAGTATCTCTATCCTTAGAATGCCTGAGTTTGCTCAGGTGTTTCTATAATTAGAACATCTGGGGTCAGACAGGAGTCTCTATCATGAGAATGCCTGGGGTTGGCCAAATGTGTCTCCTCCCATCAGAATGCCTGGGCTTGGCCAGGTGTTTCTATCCTTAGAACGACGAGGTTGCTCAAGCATCTGTATCATTAGAAAAACTGGGTTTGACCAGGAGTCTTTGTCATTAGAATGCCTGGGGTCAGCCAGGATTCTCTGCTGTTAGAATGCCTGTGGTTGGCCAGATGTCTTTCTTTTAAAAATGCCATAGGTCGCACAGATGTATCTATCATTAAAATGCCTGGGCTAGGCCAGTAGTCTCTATCATTCAAATGTCTTGGGTTGGCCAGGAGTCTCTTTCTTTAGAATACCTGGGGTTGGCCAGGTGTCTCTATTCTTAAAATGGCGAGGTTGCCCAGGTAACAGTATCACTGGATTGCCCACGATGAGCCAGAAGTCTGTATCATTAGAATGCCTGGTGTTGGCCAGGATACTCTCTTGTCAGTATGCCTGGGGTCAGCCAGGTCTATCTATCCTTAGAATACCTGAGGTCACACGGTTTCTCTATCATTAGAATGAATAAGGTAGGTCAGGAGTCTCTATCATTAGAATGCTTGTGTGGCCAGGAGTCTCTCCTGTTAAAATGCCTGTGGTTGAAGAGGTGTCTCTATTTTTAGAATAACTTAGGTGGCACAGGTGTCTCTATCATTAGAATGCCTCTGGTCGGCAAGAATTCTCTTCTGTTAGAAAGCTTGGGGTTGGCCAGGTGTATGTATTTTTAGAATGCCTTAGGTCACACAGGTGTGTCTATTACTCAAATCCCTATTTTCAGCCAGGTGGCTCTATCATTGCAATGCCTGAGGTTGGTCAGGGGTCTTTCTCAATAGAATGCCTGGAGTCAGCCAGGTGTCTCTAGCTTTATACTGTCTGATGTCACCCAGGTGTCTCTATCATTAGAAAGCCAGAGGTTTGCTATGAAACTCTCCCAGTAGAATGCCTGGTGTTGGCCAAAAATCTTTGTTGTTAGAATGCCTGACATTGCCCAGAGGTCTTTATCATTAGAATGACTGGAGTAGGTCAGCAGTCTCTATCACTGAGAAGCCTTGGTCTGGCCATAAGCCTCTCTTTTTGAATGCCTGGGGTTGCCTGAGGTCACCCAGATGTCTTTATCATTAGAACGACTGGAGTAGGTTAGGAGTCTCTATCACTGAGAAGCCTTGGTTTGGCCAAAAGTCTCTCTTTTTGAATGCCTGGAGTTGGCCAGGCGTCTCTACACTTAGAATAGTGAGGATGCCCAGGTGTCTCTATCATTGGAATGCCAAGGTCAGCCAGGAGTCTCTGCTGTTAGAATGCCTGGGGTCAGCCAAAAGTCTCTCCCATTAAAATGCCTGGAGTTGGCAAGGTATCTCTATCCTTGAATGCCTGAGGTCGCCCAGGTGACTTTATCATTAGAATGCCTTGGGTCGGCCAGGAGTCTCCCTCTTTAGAATGCCAAAGTCGACCAGAAGTCTCTGTTGTTGGAATGCCTGGGATTGGCCAGGTGTCTCTATTTTTAAAATGCCTGAGATGCCTTAGGCCTCTGTTATTAGAGTGCCTGGGTTAGGCCAGGTGTCTCTATTCTTGCAACGCCTGAGATTGCACAGGTGTCTCTAACCTTAGAATGCCTGTGGTCAGCCTGGAGTCTCCATCATTAGAATGCTTAAAGTCAGCCAGGAGTCTTTCTTGTTAAAATGCCTGGGATCAGACAGGTGTCTCTATTCTTAGAATGCCTGAAGTCGCCCAGATGTCTCTATCATTACAATTCCTGAGGACGGCCAAGAGTCTCTTTCATTAGAATGCCTGAGGTTGGCTAGGAGTCTCTCTTGTTAGAATGACTAAGGTCAACCAGGTGTCTCTATCATTAGAATGCCTGGGGTTGGCCAGTACCTCTACTATTAGAGAGCCGAAAATCGGCCTGCAGTCTCTCCCCTTGGAGTGCCTAGGCGAGACTAGGTGTTTCTATCTTTAGAATGCCTGAAGTTGCCCAGGTGTCTCTATCATTATAATGTCTGGGTTCATCGAGGTGTCTCTGTGATTAGAATGGTTGTGGTCAACCATGTGTCTCTCCCATTCGAATGCTTGATGTTGGCCATGAGTCTCTATCCTTAGAATGCCTAAGGTTACCCAAGGGTCTCTATCTTTAGAATGCCTGGCTTCAGCAGATATCTCTATCTTTAGAATGCCTAAGGTTGCCCAGGCGTCTCTATCATAAGAATGCCTAAGTTCAGCCAGGAGTCTCTCCCATTATCATTCCTGGGGTCATCCAGGTGTCTCTCTTGTTAGAATGCATAGTGTCGGCCAAAGGTCTGTCCCATTCAAATGCTTGGGGTTGGCAACGTGTCTCTATTCTTAGAATGCCAAAGGTCGCACAGATGTCTCTATCATTGCAATGCTGGGGTAGGCCAGGAATCTCTATCATTAGATTGTCTTGGTTTACCCAGGAGTCTCTCCAGGTAGAATGGCTGGGGTTGGCCAGGTGTCTCTAACCTTAGAATGCTTGAGGTCGCCCAGGTGTCTCTATCATCAGAGTGTCTGGCGTCACCCAGGAGTCTCTATTATTAGAATTCCTGGAGTCAGAGAGCAGTCTCTCCTGTTAGAATGCCTGGGGTCGACCAGATGTCTCTATCCTTAGAATGTCTGAGGTCGCCTATGTGTCTCTATCATTAGAATGCCTGGGGTCATGTAGGAGTCTTTATAATGATAATGCCTTGGCTTGGCCAGGAGTCTCTCCTCTTAGAATGCCTGGGGTCAGCCAGGTGTCTTTATCCTTAAAAATACCTGAGGTTGCACAGGTGTCTCTAACATTAGAATGCTTGTGGTGGGCCAAGAGTCTCCATCTTTAGAATGCCTGGGTTCAGCCAAAAATCTCTCCCATTAGAATGCTTGGGGTCAGCCGGGTGTCTCTATTTTTAGAATGCCTGTGTTTGGCCAGCAGTCTCTATTATCAGAATGCCTGGGGATGGCCAGGAGTCCCTTTTCTTAGAATGCCTTGGATAGGCCAGGGGTCTCTATTTTTAGATAGCTTGAGGTTGCACAGCTGCTTCTATTATTAGAATGCCTGGGGTAGTCCAGAAATCTCTATCTTTAGAATGCCTGAGTTCTGCAGGGAGTCTCTCTTGTTAGAATGCCTGGGGTCAGACAGAAGTCTTTATCCTTAGAATGCCTGTGGTAACCCATGTGTCTCTATCACTAGAATGCCTATGGTTGGCCAGAATTCCTTATCATTACACTGCCTGTGGTTGGCCAGGAGTCTATGAGGTTAGAATGCCTCAGGTTGCCCATGTATCTTTATCCTACAAAGGACCTGAGGTAGTCCTGGGGTCTCTATCATTAGAATGCCTGGGGTTGGCCAGCAGTCTCCTTTTAGAATGCCTGGGGTCGTACAAGAGTCTCTCCAGTTAGAACGCTTAAAGTCAGGCAGGTGTCACTACCATTAGAATGTCTGAAGTGGCCCAGTTTTTTTCTTTCATTAGAATGCCTGGAGTTGGTCAGGAGACGCTATAAGAATGTCTGCGTTCAGCCACGTGTCTCTATCCTTAAAATGCTTGAGGTTGCCCAAGTGTCAATATCATTAGAATGCCTGGGGTCGGCCAGGAGCCCCTCCTGTTAGAGTGCCTGTGGTCAGCCAGGAATCTCTCCCATTAGAATGCCTGGGATTGGCCAGGTGACTCTATCTTTAGAATGCCTGAGGTGATCCAGGTGTTTCTATCAATAGAATGCCTGAGTTTGGCCAGAAGTCTGTATCATTAGAAAGCCTTGGGTCAGCCAGGATTCTCTCCCATTAAAATGCCTGGCATTGGCCTGGTGTGTCTCTCCTTGTAATGCCTGGGTCACTTGTCTATATCATTAGAAGACCTGTGGTCGGCCAGGAGTCTCTATCATTAGATGGCCTGTGGTTGGACAGGAGTGTCTCCCATTGGAATGCCTGGGTCAGCTACGTGTTTCTATTCTTAAAATGCCTGAAGTCTCCGAGGTGTCTCTCTCATTAGAATGCCTGGGTTTGAATGGATATCCCTATCTGTAGAATGCATAAATTCGCCCAGGTGTCTCTATCATTAGAATGCCTTGGGTTGGACAGGAGTCTTTACCATTAGAATGCCTAAGGCCAGCCAGGAGTCTCACCCATTAGAATGTTTGGCGCTGGCCAGTTACCTTTATTCTGAGAATGCCTGATGTTGCACAGGTGTCCCTATAATTAGAAAGCCTAAGGGAGGCCAGAAGTTCCCATCATTTGAATGCCGTGGGTCTGCCAGGAATCTCTCCCATTAGAATGCCTGAGGTCAACCAGGAGTCTCTCCTGTTAGCATGTATTGGGTAAGCCAGGTGTCTCTATCCTTAGAATTCCAGAATTTGCACAGGTGTCTCTAACATTTTAATGCCCGAGGTAGGCAGAAGTCTTTATCATTAGAACACCTGTGGTCGGCCAGGAGTCTCTCCCATTAAAATGCCTGGGGTAGGCCAGGTGCCTCTATCCTTAGAATGCCTGAGGTCGCCCTGTTGTCTCCATCATTAGAAAGCCTGGGTTCAGACTGGAGTCTCTATCACTAGAATGCCTGTGGTCAGCCAGGACTCTCTCCCGATAGAATGCCTGGCTTTGGAGAAATATCTTTATTCTCAAAATATCTGAGGTCGCACAGATGTCTTCATCAATAGAATGCTAGTGGTGTGCCACGAGTCTCTATCATTAGAATGCCTGAGGTCTGCCAAGAGTCTCTACCCTTAGCATGCCTGGGATCCACCAGGTGTCTCTATCCTTAAATTGCTTGAGTTCTCACAGATGTCTCTATTCTTAGAATTCCAGTGATAGGGCAGCGGTCTTTATTATTAGAATGCTAGGTGCTGGCCAGAAGTTTCTCTTGTTAGAATGCCTGTGGTCGCCAGGTATCTCTATCCTTAGGATGGCTGAGTGTGCTAAGGTGTGCCTATCATTATAATGCCTGGAGAAATCCTGGAGTCTTTTCATAAGAAAGACTGGTGTGGGCCAGGTGTCTCTCGTTAGAATGATTGGGTTGGCCAGGTGTCTCCATTCTTAGGCGGCCTGAGGTCACCCAGGTGTCTCTATAATAAGAATGTCTGTGGTCATCCAGGAGTCTCTATAATTAGAATGGGTGTGGTTGACCAGAAGTCTCTCCCTTTAGAATGCCTGGGGTCGGCCAGGTGTCTTTATCCTTAGAATGCCTTAAGTCACCAAAGTGACTCTATCTTTAGAATGCCTGTGGTCAGCCATGAGACTAACATTAGAATGCCTGTGGTTGGTCAGGAGTCTCTCACATTAGAATGCCTGGAGTTTGCCAGGTTTCTATAGCTTTAGAATGCCTAAGGTCACAAAGGTTTTTCTATCATTGGAATGAATGGGATAGGCTAGGACTTTCTCTTATTAGAATGCCTGGGGCTGGCCAGGAAACTCCTACTTCAGAATGAATGGGTTCATCCAGGTATCTCTATCCTTAGAATGACTGAGGTTAGAAAAGTTTATCTATCATTGGAATGCCTGGGGTAGGCCTGGAGTCTGTATTATGGGTCAGCCAGGAGTCTCTCCTGTTAGAATGCTTGGGGTCAGCCAGAAGTCTCTCCGACTACAATGCCTGTGGTCGTCCAAGTCTCTCTATCATTAAAATGTCTGAGGTCACCCAGGTGTCTCTATCATTAGAATGCCTAGGGCAGAATAGCAGTCTCTATCATTAGAATGCCTGGGGTTACCAGGCAGTCTCTCCTATTTGAATGACTGGGGTGGGCCAGATGGCTCTCTCCTTAGAATGATTGAGGTCACAGATGTTTCTCTATCTTTAGAATGCCTGGGGTCATCCAAAAATCTCTACCATTACAATGCCTGGGGTTGGCCAGGAGTCTCTCTCATTAGAATGCCTGGGGTATGCCAGGTGTCCCTATCCTTAGAATGCCTGAGGGCATCAGCATGTCTGGGGTTGGTCAGAAGTATCTTTCATTAGAATGCCTATTGCCAGCCATGTATGTCTATCCTTTAAATGCCTGAGGTCGCCCAGGTGTCTCTGTCATTAGAATTCCTGGTCTTTTCCAGGAGCCTCCATCTCTACAATGCCTGGGTAGGGCCAGGAGTCCCTCTTGTTGGAATGCCTGGGGTCGGCCAGGAGACTTTCCTGTTAAAATGCCTTGGGTCATCCAAGTGTCTTTATCCTTAGAATGCCTGAAGTCCCACAGGTGTTTCTAGCATTAGAATGCCTGGGGTAGGACAGAAGACTCTATTATTAGCATACTTTTGGTGCTGTTAGAATACCTGAAGTCAACCAGGTGTCTCTATCCATAGAACGCCTGAGGTCACTCTGATGCCTCTATTATTAGAATGCCTGGGGTTTTCCAAGAGTCTCTCCCATTAGAATGCCTTGAGTCGGCCAGGAGTGTGTCTTGTTATAATGCCTGGGGTGAGAGAAGTGTCTCTACACTTAGAATGCCTGAGGTCCCCAAAGTTTCTCTTTCATTAAAATGCCTAGGGTCGGCCAGGATTATCTCTCATTAGAATGCCTAGGGTTTACCAATAATCTCTCCTGTTATAATGCCTGGAGTTTACCAGGAGTCTCTCCTGATAGAATGTCTTAGGTTGGCCAGTTGTCTCTATTTTTAGAATGTCTGAGATCGCCCAGGTGTGTCTATCATTAGAATTCCTTTGGTCATCCAGGAGACTCTATTGTTAGATTACCTGCATTCGACTTTGTGTCTCTTCCATTAGAATGCATGGGTTTGGCCAGAAGTCACTCCTGTTGGAATGCCTAAGGTCAGCCAGATATCTCTATCCTTAGTGTGCTTGAGGTCACACAGGTGTCTCTATCATTAGAATGCTTGGGGTAGACCTGGTGTCTCTAACATTGGAATGCCTGGGGTTGGCCAAAAGTCTCTACCATTAGAATGCCTGGTGTTGGCCTGGTGTCTCCATCTTTAGAATGACTAAAATCACACAGATTAATCTATCATCAGAATGCCTCGGGTCAGCCAGGAGTCTATATTATTAAAATGCCTCAGGTTGGCCAGGAGTCTCTCTTGTTAGAATGCCTGGGCCCGGCAAGCTGTCTCTATTCATAGAATGCCTGAGGTTGCCTAGTTTTCTCTATTATTAGAATGCCTGGGGTCAGCTGGGAAGCTCTATGATTAAAATGTCTTGGGTCCATTAGTAGTCTCTTCCTTTAGAATGCCTGAGGTTGGCCAAGTGTCTCTATCCCTAGAATGCCTGAGGTCCCCTGGGTGTCTTTATCATTAGAATGCCTAGGGTTGGCCAGGAGTTTCTATCATTAGAAGGCAGTGGATCAACCAGGAGTCTCTCTAGTTAAAATGCTTCAAGTTGGCCAGAAGTCTGCCTTGATAGAATGCCTTGAATGACCAAGAGTCTTTCCCTTTAGAATGCCAGGGTTTGGCCAGGTGTCTCTATCCTTAGAATGCCTGAGGTCACCTTGATTTCTCTGTCCTTAGAATGCCTGTGGTTGGCCAGGCATCTCTGTCATTAAAATGCATGGGTTTGGCCAGGAGTCTCTCCCATTAAAATTCTGGAATCAGCCAGGTCTCTCAATCCTTACAATGCCTGATGTCCCCCTGGTGTCTCTGACATTAGAATACCTGGGGTCGGTCAGGAATCTCTCTAATTAGAATGCCTGGGTTTGACCAGGAATATCACTCATTACAATGCCTGGGTTGGCCAGTTGTCATTATCCAGAGGATGCCTTTGAACACACAGGTGTCTCTATCTCTAGAATTCCTGTGTTTGGCCAGAGGACTCTTCCGTTAGAATACCTTGGGTTGACTCCAGACATTAGTGACCAGATCACTATTGTTAAAATGTCTGATGTTGCCCACGTGTCTGTATTATTAGAGTGCCTGTGGTAGGATAGGAGTCTCTCTCATCTTAATGCCTGGGGTCGGCCAGGTGTCTCTATCTTTAGAATGACTGAGGTCGCATAGGTATGTCTATCGTTAGAATGCCTGGGCAAGGCCAGGAGTCTCTATCATTAGAATGCCTGGTGTCAACCAGGAGTCTCTCCCATTAAAATACATGGGGTTTGCCAGGTGTCTCTATTCTTAGAATTCCTGAGGTCATGAAGGTGTCTCTATCATTAAAATGTCTGGGGTAGGCCAGGAGTCTATTATTAGACTGCCTGAGTTCAGCCAGGAGTCTCTCCCGTTAGAATGCTGGAGTCACCTGGGTGTCTCTATCCTTAGATTGTCTGATGTTGGAGAGGTGTCTCTATCATTCAAATGCCTGATGTCGGCCAGTAGTCTCTTTGGCTAGAATGACTGTGGTAAGCCAGTTGTCACTATCCTTAGAATGTCTGGGGTCACCCAGTAGTCTCTTTGGCTGGAATGACTGGGGTAAGCCAGTTGTCATTATCCTTAGAATGCCTGGGGTCACCCAGGTGTCTCTATTATTAGAATGCCTTGGTTCAGATAGGAGTCTCTATTATTAGAATGTCTGGTGTCAGGCAGGAATGTCTCCCATTAGAATCCTGTTGTTGGCCCAGTGTCTCTATCCTTAGAATGACTGAGGTCGCACAGGTGTCTTTCATTAGAATGCCTAAAATAGGCAAGGAGACTCTACAATTAGAATGCCTGGGGTCAGCCTGGAGTCTCTCCTGTTAGAATGCCTGGGGTCGGCCAGGTGTCTTTATCCTAAAATTGCCTGAGGTTGCACTGGTGTCTCTATTATTAGAATGCCTGGGCTAGGCCAGGAGTCTCTCTTGTTAGAATGACTGGGGTTGGCCAGTTGTCACTATTTTTAGAATGCCCAAGACTGCCCAGGTGTCTATCATTAGAATGCCTGTGATAGGCCAGGAGTCTCTATTATTAGGAAGCGTGGGTTCCGCCAGGAGTCTCTACCATTAGAATGCCTGGGGTTGTCCAGATGTTACTATCCTTATAATGGTGAGGTCAACCTGGTGTCTCTATCATTAGCATGCCTGGGGTCAGCCAGGAGTCTCTATCATTAAAATGCCTGAGGTCAGCCAGATGTCTTTCCCATTAGGATCCTGGGGTCAGCCAGGTGTCTCTATCCTAAGAATGACTGAAGTCTCAAAGGTGTATCTATTATTAAAATTAATGGAGTAGGCCAGGAGACTCTCTCATTAGAATGCCTGGGGTGGGCCAGGAGTCTCTCCCATTACAATGCCTGGGGCCGTCAAGGTGTCTCTATTTTTAGAACGCCTGAGGTCGCACAGGTGTATCTATCATTGGAATGCCTGAAGTAGGGCTGGAGTCTCTATAGTTAGAAAGTCTGGTGTCAGCCAAAAGTCTCTTTTTAGAATGCCTTCGTTCAGCCAGGTTCTCTATCCTTAGAATGCCTGAATTCACCCAGGTGTCTTTATCGTTAGAGTGGCTGAGGAGAACCAGGAGTCTCTCCCGATAGAATGCCAGGGGTTGGCCAAGAGTCTCTCCCATTAGAATACCTGGGTTCGGACAGGCATCTCTATCCCTAGATTGCCTGAGGTCGCCCAGTTCTTCTGTATTCGGCCTGTAGTCTCTATAATTGGAATGCCTGAGATTGGCCTTGAGTCTCTCTTAGAATGCCTGAGGTTGGTGAGGTGGCTCTATCCTTTGAATGCCTGAAGTTGAACAGTTGTCTCTATCATAATAATGTGTGGGAGCGTCCAGAAGTCTCTTACATTACAATGCCTCAGATCGGCCAGGATCTCTTCCATTAGAATGCCTAAAGTCAGCCAAGTGTCTCTATACTTAGAATTCCCGAGGTCCCCCAGGTATCTCTATCATTAGAATGCCTGGGTTCAGACAGGAATCTCTCTTATTAGAATGCCTTCGGTCAAACACAGTCTCTTTTGTTAGAATGCCTGGAGTCAGCCAAGATTCTCTCCCGTTAGAATGCCTGAGCTTGTCCAAATGTCTCTATCATTAAAACGCCTAATGCCGGCCGGTTGTCTCTATTATTAGAATACCTGGGGTCAGCTAGGAATCTCTCCCATTATAATACCTGGGGTTGGACAAGAGTCTCTCCCATTAAAATGCCTGGGGTCTGCCAGGTGTCTCTACCCTTAGAAAGCCTGAGGTCACACAGGTGTCTCCATCATTAGAATTCCTAGGTTAAGCAAGGAGTCCCAATCACTAGAATGTCTGAGTTCAGCCTGGAGTCTCTCCCATTAGAATACCTGAAGTTGGTGTGGTGTCTCAATCCTCAAAGTGACTGAGGTAACGCAGGAGTTTCAATCATTAGAATGCCTGGGGTCGGCCAGGAGTCTCTATCATTAGAAGGCCTGCGTTGGCCAGGAGTTTCTCTTGTTAGAATGGCTGTGGTCGGACAAAATCTCTTCTGTTAGAATGCCTGGGGTCAGCCAGGTATTTCTATCCTCAAAATGCCTTAGATAACACAGGTCTTTCTATCACTAAAATGCCTGGGATAGACCAGGAGTCTCTATGATTGGAATGCCTGTGGTGGTGAAGGAGTCTTTTCCATTAAAGTGCCTGGATTCGGCCAGTCTTCGCTATCTTTAGAATGTCTGAGGCCATGCAGGTGTCTCTATCATTAGAATGCCTCGGGTGAGCCAGAAGTCTCTATCACTAGAATGCCTGATGTCCACCAGGTGTCTCTAACATTAGAATGCCTTGGGTCAGCTTGGAGTCTCTATAATTAGAATGCCTGAGGTCAGAAGGGGGTCTCTACAGTTAGAATGCTAGGGGTCCACAGTTAGAATGTCTGGGATTGGCCAGGTGTTTTTATTCTAATAATGTCTGAGGTCTGACAGGTGTCTCTATTATTAGAATGCTTTGGCTAGGCCAGGAGTCATTATCATTAGAATGCCTGAGGTCAGCCAAAAGTCTCTCACCTTAGAATGCCTGGGGCAGGCCAGTTGCCTCTATTGTGTCTCTATGATTAAAATGCTTGGGATTTGCCAGGAGTCTCTCTAATTAGAATGCCTAGGGTGAACCAAGAGTGTCTTCTGTTGGAATCCTTGGGGTTGGTCAGGTGTCTCTATCCTTAGCATACCTTAAGTCTCACAGATATCTCTAGCATTGGAATGCCTGGGGTATGCTAGGGGTCTCTAGCATTAGAATGCATGGGTCTGGCCAGGAGTCTCTTTGATAGAATGCCTGGAATCTCTCTCATTATAATGCCTGGTTTTGAACAGAATTCTTTTTCGTTAGAATGCCTGGGGTCTGCCAGGTGTCTCTATTATTAAAATGCCTTTGGTCACACAGGAGTCTCTATCATTAGAATGCCTGGGGTAAGCAAGGCGTCTCTATCATTTGAATGCCTAGGTTCAACCAGGAGTCTCTCTTGTTAGAATGCCTGGGGTCAGCCTGGTGTCTCTATTGTTAGAACGTCTGATGTCACCCAAGTGTCTCTGCCATTAGAGTGCCTCGGGTCAGCCAGGAGTCTCTCCTGTTAGAATGCCTGTGGTCAGCCAGTAGTTTTGATAGTTAGAATACCTGGGGTTAACCAGGTCTCTATCCTTGGAAGGAGTAGGGTCAGCAAGAAGTCTTTCCCATTAAAATCCCTGTGGTCGGCCATGTGTCGCTATCCTTAGAATGACTGAGGTTGTGCAGGTGTCTTTACATTAGAATACCTGGGGTCAGCCAGGAGTCTCTATCATTATAATGCCTGAGTTTGCCGGGCATGGTGGCTCACGCCTGTAATCCCAACACTTTGGGAGGCCAAGGCGGGCAGATCACGAGGTCAAGAGATTGAGACCATCCTGGCCAAATGGTGAAACCCTGTGTCAACTAAAAATACAAAAATTAGCTGGGTGTGGTGGCATGCACCTGTAGTCCCAGCTACTCGGGAGGCTGAGGCAGGAGAATCACTTGAACTCAGGAGGCTGAGGATGCAGTGAATCAAGATTGTGCCACTGCGCTCCAGCCTGGTGACAGAGTGAGACTCTGTCTAAAAAAATAAAAAATAAAACAACAACAACAACAAACAACAACAAATGCCTGCAATTTCTTAGGTATCCCTATCATTAAAATGCCTGGGGTAGGCAAGGAATGTCTATCATTAGAATGCCTGAGGTTGGCCAAAACTCTCTCCCATTTGAATGTCTGGGGTTGGCCATATGTCTCTAACACTAGATTGCCTGAGGTCGCCCAGGTGTCTCTATCATTAGAATGCCTGAAGTCT